>NC_000004.12:43457864-43767288 GCF_000001405.40 Homo sapiens | reverse complement strand
GAACTAGAATTTATGTCCTAGCTCCGTCTGATATGAATTGTGTGAATTTTTGCATGCATACACCTTCTCTACACCTTAGCTATGTCACTTATAACATGTAAATTGAGAATGAGGTTTCTGTAAAGAGTGAAGAAAATAATACTTGTACGATGTTTAATGGTGATTGGCAGATGTTAACTAGTCAATAAAATAAAAAACTGAATTTCAAAATTATAGATGAATTAATAAAAGGTTGAATTAAACACACTTTTTACATTGCACACAGCCTTTTCAGCAGCAGAGGCCATACTGAACCTGCAAATGCAACAGAGTTAAGAGGATCAGAGTATACATAAATTTTTCTTAAATAAGTAATTTTAAAGAGCAAAAGATGCCCAATTCACTGAGCATGCTAGTCACATGAATGCATTTGGAGTAGAAACAGGAATTGAGAAATCTCTGCAGGAAGTCCACAAAACTCAAGATAAAGTTTGCTTGTTTCTAGATTTGTTTGTTTTATTTTCACTTTTTGATTCCCCTTATTGTTTCCTGTGTTTGCTCTTTTATTAGATCATGGAACCATTTATTAACACAGGAAGAGATGAAGGAGAGAGAACTATGTGGTTCTTTACTTCCTAATCTTGCCCCATCAATATCAAGCCCTGATTTAAAACAACAGCAACAGCAAAAATAGAAAACAAAACCCATGACATAAATGAAATGTCTAAATAGCGGCTGTCAAGTCATACACCTTTCAAAAGGGAGTGTCATGAAGTATTCATTGACCAATATTTACAAAGCAGTTCATATTTGTTTTTAGAATCATGAAGAAAAATGACATATTAATATTAAAAGAAGACAACTACCAGAAAAGGGTATGTTTTTATTATATTTATTAGCATGAAGAACATTACTTTGACAAAATTCTTGGACATAAAGAATTAGACTGCCTGAGCAAAAGGGGGCCTAGACTTACAAATTATCTTGTATATTGTGACTATTATAATGACTATGAACCAGAAAATCCTCTTAGACACCCATTCCCCTCCCATATTTACATTACTATCCAAATTTAATCTTAAAAATAACACTGATTAGAAAGTGTGGAACCATTCATGGAGCAAAAATAAAATGTAGATGAAATCTTTGTTTTATATTGCAATGGAAATGTTCAGGTAATGAACAGACATTTATCAAAATCATCTGTTGACTGCTCAGTCTGGCTTAAGAATACTAAAGAGCTTTTCTTTTGCATGCAAATAAATATTTACACAGCTCAGTATTTATTAAAGATGGTTTATATTTTAATAGATGTTGGTGCGGCAATAGTGTTTGGGGGCTATTCTGACAAATGTCCTTTACTGTGAGTATAAATAAAGGTATAGATATAAACATGTAGATAGATACTTCCTTTTCCTCCTCCTTCTCTTTTTCTATCCTTCTGTCTTTTCCTCTCCACACTCTTAGTGAGATGGGGTGCAATTTGGGATTCTGAGAATTCTCTGAGGAGCAGAAGTCACCAAAATCTGACGGCCAAACCTCCTGGCAGATCAGATCAACCCAGGATGGAAATTACCCAGGTCAAAGCAGATTAGCTCAGCATAATAGACTCAGGTTTTGGTTTGTGACATAAGAACACTGCATGATTTGAACAGACAACTTCCCTTATACAGCTCGAGGGATTATGACCACAGGTGACAGAAATGTGGCAGAGAAAACAGTATCCCATTTCTGCTTACAATTAATTAAAAAAAAGTCAGTAATTAAGGTGGAAGTTCAACTTTTTTTTTTTTTTACAGAGTGTTCTGAATATTTACCTGTTTAGCATTGCAGTAAGCTTACATACAGATACACACACATTAATTAAATGTATCTAAATTTTAAAACATTAAAAATGATTCAAATAAATGGAAAGGCATATTATACCTCTAGGAAGAAAAATCAATATCATAAAGATATAAATTCTCCACAAATGGATCAATAGATTCAATGAACTGTTCATAATATAAAAGTTTAATATGATGTATAATAAGGAAAGAAACCCATATGTCTATCTACAGAAGGATAGGTTAATTAATTGTGGTATATTTGTAAAATGGAATATTATTGAGCTATGTCAATGAACAAACTTTTCACAAACATCAAATGGAAGATATTCAGTAAAATGGCAACTCCTATTAAAGATATTATATTGTATTATGTATACTGAAGATAATATTTATTAATTTTGATTCCTGCAGGGATATTTACCTGAGTAGAGCATTGTTAAAACTTAAATATTTTTCCACTGCTATTTCAGCATACACTGTACCACATTAATTTAAAATGATACTGTAGCAACAATTAGCTATGTTGAAAATGGCTGCTTTTCAACTCAGAAAAGGAAAAATAGACAAAAATTCTCATGAGAATTTTTATTTATACATAAATAATTCTGTCTTTATTACTCAATGTTATTGATTACTCAGGAGTAAAAACACAGTAGTAACAAATTTAGAACAGTTTGGAAATATATATTTGGCCTGAAAACATGCATACTACCATTTTAATTTTTAAGAGATTTTTTAAATATATATAAGGAAAAATGGCATGGTAAACCAATGTCCAAATGTAGAAGTAGGAGTAGCAACTTAAATAATTCTTAAGAGTAGAAAGCTGATAATAGTTGTCCTCAGTCTTCGTTTGCATATATAAGTAGCAATATTTCTTTTACTGTAGCTTTTCTTCCTTTTTTTTTTTGTATTTTATTGAGATCACCTTTCTCAAATCCTCTCTATGAAAATTTTAGGCCTTTGATGAAATGACCTTCATATTTGGGTGCCAAAGAACCAGAGGATTTCAAATGTTCCTGATAAAGACGAGTTAAGAAATATATTTTTATTCAGTATGCCCATCCATACTCACTTACATTCAACAAGGTATAAAATTAATACATCCACTATGTTATGTCTTAAAGGCAGTTTGAAAAACAGAACCAAGGATTTGAGTTTGGGAAACCTTTGCTAGTGCAAAGACTCATGGCAAGACAAGCACCAAATACACTTTAAAATATTTATTCAGATTTATTTGTACTTCACTCTGATCCCTCCCTGCCTCTCCACCCACCCTCTTACCTGTGTACAGATTTCTAACATTATCTTCTTGAATGTACAATAGTCTAATCTACAGTTTTTTTCTGTTGTAGATATAGCCACTCCAATCCATTTTCACAAGCAGCAAGTGACATTTGTAGAAGATAGAAACCAAAATCCTACTCTAAAAATAGATTATAATGTGGTTTCTTTCTGGCTTTATTTTCTGCTACTCCCCACATTCATCCTCTCCTCTAGACACACCATCTATTTATAGTTGCTAGATGAACACTTTAAATTATTTACCATAAGTATAGGTTAGGATTCAATCATGGAACCAGAACAACTGTGAGTGATATAAAATAAAACACATTATAAGGATTTATGCCTTACAAAATTCTGGGGAAAGTGGGTGAAGTAAAGTTCCAGGAGACGGTTGAAGCATCAGAGAAAAGTCACTTACCAAGGAGACAGCTAAGGAAAACTGGTGAAGAAATCTATGGAAGAAGTTGCCTCTGTATCTGCTGGTGAGGTAGAAGTTGCTTTGATCGGTAGATAAGCCATCAGGAAGAAAAGCTCTAAACGAAATAGAAAAAAAAAAAAAAGAAAAGAAAAGACAACCTAAAATCCTTGAGAATAAACTGGTATTCACAAAGACACATCAGAATATGCTTCAAACCCAAATGATACAGGTAATCTGCAGAAGAAGCTGGTGTCTTTCACCCCAGAGTTGCACACGTGTCTGACTCAGGACTTGGAAAAGCTGAAGGAAGCGATCTGACAGCAGGCAGAGGAGCTGTGGGTCTATGCACACCAGTGAGAGAAGCCCGTGAATCAGCAGCAAATGTGCCAAGGGTTGGCCATGCATGGAGGCTTGTACTAATCTTCTGTAATGACTGCTGTTCCTCTTGTACCTTCCAAATCTCACTTAAAGCTCTTTGTGCCAAATCCTAATTATACAGGGAAAGTAGTTCTAGAAAATTCCGTGCCTGCTTGGCTAAAATCTTATAGTAAAAAACCACCACATTCTATTTATGTGTATTCCCTCCTCTGCCTGGAGAGTCCCTTCACCTCAGTGTTACCACCTAATCTAGATAGTATCTCCTCCCCCACAGAGAATTCTCTTTTAAATACACAATTTGTTTTAAATATCTCTCCTCTCATACTTCCTAACTAATGTTGCTAATGGCTATTATAATAATATATTATAAACCATAATTATTATAACATATCATATAATAATGTCTAAATATTATATTTTCTTCATTTTACATTTATGAATTTTCTAATTTTACTAACTTAAATTTCACTCCTTTAAACTTGTGTTTAAGTGTTTAATATTATTAAAAACTATTTGTGGAGGAAATAAATGAATACTATTTATCACATCCTACCCTATATATCGAATTATTTATCTGCCATCCCAACTGTATTATATGCTTCTTGAGGACAGGACTGAGTGGTCTTTTGGTGTCTCTCTATCCTCAGCACTTACTAAATGCCAGAAACATTTTATATGTTCAACCAATTTGGTTCAACATATGATTTTATATACATCACTATCTTCCTTTCTAGCAGTCAAAAAGGAGTCTTTCTTGACAGTTTTTGTATATTTGTCACAAGTTCATATTAATTGGCCACATAGTCAGAGGGCACCTAATAAGTGCTGCAAAATGTTATATTTAAATCGATATGTGTTTTTTTACGTATACCTGTATGTATACCTGACAATTCAGGATGTCTGATGTGTTCATGAGTGGATAGATACTTCATGAATAGGACAAGAAATTTTAATGTATTCATAATATTACTTGTCAGAAAGCCAAGTCATTGATCATCTTTATAATTCTCACAATGAATGACTCTAACTCATGCATACAGGCCGTCGATACTTGCTGTCACAATATAAGAATTAATTTCAGTTAAATGTTCACAGATAAATTAGAACACTTTTGCTGTTTGGATATCTGCTTTGCCTCATCACTTTTATGACTTCTCTTATCTTTCTGTTAGGCTTATAAGCTCTCTGTCTACAAATTTGACTGAGTAAGACACACCATTTGAGATATACATGTTCACATCTTACAGAAAAAAATCGTTAAACTACTCACCAGTTGAATGTAATTTAGTTCCATGCCAGTTTACTAGGCAACACATTTATTCAGCCTAATGCACTGTGTTCTGATTTCTAACAACAGAAGCCAGCTGATTTTCACAGTGAAAAACAATTTACAGATAAAAATCAATCTGTTTTACTTGACTGGATGGCAAACACCTTACAAATATTTACTTTAGCTGTTTTTTTGTTTTTTTTTTTCCTAAAGCAAAACGCTTTTAAAAATTTCAATTTGATTCGTTTTGTAAAACATTTTGGAGTTGTCCTCCTTCTCTTATTCTCTTTTCTCAGGAATTCCTTGCCCATTTTTACACTTATCATGCTCCCTTATTATTTTAATTTTTTTCTGCTTACACATCTTCAATCAAAAATCTTATTTAGGGCCAGGCATGATGGCTCACACCTGTAATCCCAGCACTTTGGGAGGCTGAAGCAGGTGGATCACTTGAGGTCAGGAGTTCAAGACCAGCCTGGCCAAAATGGTGAAACCCCGTCTCTACTAAAAATACAAAAAAATTAGCCAGATGTGGTAGTGCACTCCTGTAATACCAGATACTCTGGAGGCTGAGGCAGGAGAATTGCTTGAACCCTGGAGATGAAGGTTGCAGTGGGCCGAGATCATGCCACTGCACTCCAGCCTGGGCAACAGAGTGAGACTCCACATCTCAAAAAAAAAAAAAAATCTTAAAACCTTTTAGGGAGAGTCTTATACAACTTCCACTTCTGATTATGACAGATTATATTTTACCAGACCAATCTGTCTGTGAAAGCAACAACTGTAGATGATGTGTGAATTACAAAAACAAAAACAACAAAATTGCTCCTTAAAGCCATCAGAGAATATTCAGTAAAATCAAAATGTGAGTGGCCAAACTCCAGAACAGAAATGGTTTGATTCACTGGATAAGACATTGACTGACTCTTTATTGATGCAGAATCCATTTGAATAGAAAGTAGGGGGTCAGCGTGTTTTCAGCCTCCCAGGACTAAGAGACAAAAACTGAAGTTCTGGGCTACCAAGGCAGCTAGGAATTGGGAAACTAGGATTCTGGAGAATAGGAAACCATATGCATTTTGTCCATTTTTCTCTTTATAGTACTTGTAGATTTTGAAGATGAATGGAAAAAGAGGAGAAGAAGCCAAATATAAAGCAAAAATGGAGAGACAAAGCAAAGGAGAGCTCCTGGTAGCCTTGAAGTATTGAGGAAACAGTTGTGAGTTCAGAGCAAACCAAGCAGAAAGGTCCCCAGTAAATACCCAGGCTTTCAACTGCAACCTCTGAAAGGAGATACTCAGGGAGGAAGAGGAAACTGGAAATTGATTGGTGCAGAATAATTTAAAACCCCTTCTCCAATCATTTGCTCCAGATTGATACAAGGTATTCTGTTCCTATTTGGTTGACTTTCCAAAATAAATAAATAAATAAATACACACACAAAATCCTTCCAGGAGGAACATCACATCACCTTGAGTTTTTACAGTGCTTTCTTATACAACGATCTAAAATGGCCCAGCATGTCTAGAGAAAGGATCAGAAAGAAAAGAAAAAATAAGACAATAATAATAAAAGATAAACAAAAAATGGGAGTTTTTAGACATGAACATTAAAATAATTTTTACTTATATGTTTAAGTAAATAAAGACAATATTGTGAATTTCACCAGTGAGATAGAAAGGTCCCAGCGACAATCTCCTTTTCTTGTGTGTGCAATGGAGTCTTGCTCTGTCACCCGGGCTGGAGTGCAGTGGTGTGATCTTGGCTCACTGTAATCTCCGCTTCCTGGGTTCAAGCGATTCTCCTGCCTTAGCCTCCTAAGTAGCTGGGATTACAGGTGCCCACCACCACACCTGTCTAATTTTTTTATTTTTAGTAGAGACGGGGTTTTACCATGTTGGCCAGGCTGGTCTCAAACTCCTGACCTCAAGGGTTCTGGCCGTCTTGGCCTCCCAAAGTGCTGGGCTTACAGGCCTGAGCCAACGTGCCTGGCCAAATGACAATCCAGAAGAGATTCAAATGACAAGTCAAGAACTAAAAAATGAAAGGTTTAACATGAAGAGCTCAATAAATGAGTTTAACTATTTTTTAAATAGAGTATACAATTATTAAACTGCAATACAGGATAATAGATTGATGCATAATAATAGCATGAGAAAAATGAAAAAGAAATGAGTATAATAGCTATACACAACTTAATGAAAAATCTAACATTTTGTTCTGAAGTCCAAGAAGAAGCACTGAATAAGGATAGGGTAGAAGCAAAATTTTAAGGGATAATGGCTTGGAATTTTTCTTTTTCTTTTTTTCTTTTTTCTTTTTCTTTTTTTTTTTTTTTTTTTTTTGAGATGGAGACTCACTCTGTCGCCCAGGCCGGAGTGCAGTGGCGTGATCTCGGCTCACTGCAAGCTCTGCCTTCAGGGTTCACACCATTCTCCTGCCTCAGCCTCCCGAGTAGCTGGGACTACAGGCGCCCACCACCATGCCCTGCTAATTTTTTTTTTGTACTTTTTAGTAGAGACGGGGTTTCACCATGTTAGCCAGGATGGTCTCGATCTCCTGACCTCGTGATCCACTCGCCTCGGCCTCCCAAAGTGCTGGGATTACAGGCGTGAGACAGTGCGCCCGGCCATGGCTTGGAATTTTTCAAAACTGACATAAGACATTGAGTAAAAGATTCAAGAGCTCTAAATAAAGGCTCACTAAAGAACTCTTGCACGTGGTGCATGTACTCTTTGCAGAGACTTTACGTGAGGTTTTATATCATCACGTATACAACTCCATTTTAGAAAATGTCCCTGAACCTGCTTTCCAATAACATTTATTGCATCAATGTATAGACAGTGTGCACAGTCCTTAACATGAGAATCACTATAACAATCTGACCAACAATACAGTTAGCTGTTTCTTACTGTGAACAAGAATAAATGTCCTGATATCAGGCCTAAAAATCTCCTTTATGTAGACTACTGCAGCAGAGGAAAGAAGAAAATTGATTCTTAACCTATGATAGTAATTAGCTTTTATGCCTGAGAATAAGGATTTATAGTAGCTCTTAACAGCTGTCTGAAGCCAGTGGGAAAGAATCATTAGACCATCTATTGTACTGGAGATTTACCTGGGCCAATCAGAAACTGGATTCTGTTCATGCATGCATGTGTGACATGTATTAGTTTTGTGCATATCTCCTTGTCCTGCGTAAATGTACATCTTTATTAAGGATTTGCATGCTTAAAAATAAGGATAATACATATATATAAAATAAGGAGATATATATATAATATGTATATAAATATATAAATATATAAATATACATAAAATATATGTTTATATATAAATATATAAATATACATAAAATATATGTTTATATATAAATATACATAAAATGTATGTTTATATGTAAATATATAAATATACATAAAATGTATGTTTATATGTAAATATGTAAATATACATAAAATGTATGTTTATATGTAAATATGTAAATATACATAAAATGTATGTTTATATGTAAATATGTAAATATACATAAAATGTATATATGTAAATATGTAAATATACATAAAATGTATGTTTATATGTAAATATGTAAATATACATAAAATGTATGTTTATATGTAAATATGTAAATATACATAAAATGTATGTTTATATGTAAATATGTAAATATACATAAAATGTATGTGTATATGTAAATATGTAAATATACATAAAATGTATGTGTATATGTAAATATGTAAATATACATAAAATGTATGTGTATATGTAAATATGTAAATATACATAAAATGTATGTGTATATGTAAATATGTAAATATACATAAAATGTATGTGTATATGTTAATATGTAAATATACATAAAATGTATGTGTATATGTTAATATGTAAATATACATAAAATGTATGTGTATATGTTAATATGTAAATATACATAAAATGTATGTGTATATGTTAATATGTAAATATACATAAAATGTATGTGTATATGTTAATATGTAAATATACATAAAATGTATGTGTATATGTTAATATATAAATATACATAAAATGTATGTTTATATATAAATATACATAAAATGTATGTTTATATATAAATATACATAAAATGTATATATAAATATACATAAAATATATATTTATATATAAATATATATTTATATTTAATAAAATATATTTATATTTAATAATATATATATAATATATATTTTTATATATAATATATATATAAAAATAAGGAGAATATATATATAAAAAAATAAGGTGAATATATATATATATAAAATAAGGAGAATATATCTATATCTCCACTAGAGGATTTTGATGACTTTATACAAAAACATCTTTAAACATATATTTAAACATGTTTTGTAATAATAGAGTAACCTCAGGTAATGCATTGTTTCATAATAATTCTCTAATTATCAGATATATGTTTTTTCCAACACTATTATTATAAGTTACTTGAAGACTCTCTTTACACTTACCAGAGTTGTCAATACTTTTTCACCTTGCCTTAGAAACTCAATATATGCCTCTTTTTCATATGTACAGTTCACCACATCTTACCTAGAAGTCAAATCCGAAAGTATATGACCTGATTTGGGCAGAGTTTTGGCTTTGTTTCATTTGCCTTCTGTGGATCAATAGGTGTTAATAAGCAAATGCATTTCCTTGATAGTGCTGAAGAAAATAAACAGACCTGTTCTTGGGCACCCTGTGTAACTCAGAGCTGTGTACCCTTAGCCAATTTCTCCAAATCATGTGCTCCAGTCCTTGGTAATCTCTTGCTGAGTCACAGGTTTGAAATGTGTTCCCTGCAGGACTTCCTTGGCACCAGCTGTTTTCAGGTAGAAATCTCCATCTGTGGCTCAGAAAAGCTATGAATCCCCACCAACAAAAGGTATGAGATCAAGTGTAATTAAAGCTCTTTCAGAAACTACATAAAATATTCAACTAAGAGTGTAAACTTGTAAACTAGGTCAGTCATTTTACACATTCTGAATTGTGTTTGGTGTTTAATGTTCACTCTGACACAGAAGAATGAATTATGCAGCTCCAATAAGTATATCAAACACAAATAAACACAAAACCTTCAAAGCAGTGCCACGCTCCTGGAGTTTCTGTCCAAACTTAGCATTAGATTTTTGAAATAATATTAAAATATTTTTGGAGATAATTAAAATATTTTTGTAGAGAAGATAAAAAGAATCTAACGCTTCTTAACATTTTTGGTTTCCCTTTTCAATATTGCATTTAAGGAAAATACAAAAATAAATGCATTTCCCTTTCAAGGAACTTAGAATCTGACAGAGACACAATGCAAACAGGTAAGTGCAATGTAGTTTAATATGGTGCTATAGTAGAGCTACTTTGAGAACAGAGTGGATACCTTGAGGATCCAGGGATGTGATAGGTATACTGAGTTTTATAAAATTAGTTGGAGACACATAGATGAAGATTAGTATGTTGTTTGGTGACAAGCAAATAGGCAGGCAGATAGAGTACAAGATTTGACAGACGGAGCTGTAGAAATGGACAGGACTCATAACAAAGTGTTATCCTAACATACTAATTAATATGGGTTTTATCTTAAAGGGATGTAGGAAAGGTATGCTTACATTTGCATTTGATAGAGAACATTAAGTTGACAACACAAAAAAATATGGCCATATTCACACATACACACACACACACACACACGTGTCACTTTTACACAATTAGGCTAAAGCAATTAAAAAGTGGCAAAACCAGTATTGAAACCAAGGCATCTATGTTCCTACATTTTATTTTGAAACATGTTTTTACTTTTTGGAAGCACTGTAAACTATTTTCATCAACTTCATCAGAAGTCTATGGAATAGGTACCTCTATTGTAGATATATTATAATGGTCATAAGGAGATAAAAAGAAGGAAATGGGGTTTTGTAGAGGTTGAATGATTTATCTCAGGCCACAGAGGAAGAAGAAGAGAGTGCAGAATCTCAAGTCTCATGCTTCTCAGCCCAGGCTTTTTTTTTTTGTACCAAATTTCATTACCCAAAGTGAATGTTATCCGCATATTTACAGAAATACGCATGCATCACGTAATCCTAAAGGAAAACTGTTCAGTCATTTCCCAATATTGTACATTATTCAAAGTTATTATTTTCTAATACTTATTAACTAACCCAGGCCTTTCTAATCATGTATTAACATTTCTTATAACTGCACTTATTTCAAGTTTTTGTCCCATAAAATAAAATTAAAGTAGAAGTGTATTGGTAAGTATTACAGTATCTTGAGGAAGTTAATATGTCATTGTTTCTAAGCATTTAGTAAAATTTTAAGACAAAACTAATTTTTAAGATATTCCTCCTCAAAATTTCAAAATTACTTTTTAGTTCTTTTTATTACAGCACAGTAATTTCTTTAAATAATCTGCCCTATGATTTTAACCAGTCGAGCAAAGTTATGCTCTCTTTTCGGTAATAACACAATAATATAACAACTTTGTTTCCATTGGAAAAATACATGAACAAATCAATCCTATAATATACTTTGCAGGCTGCTTTCATTTACTTAGATTATGGATCTCATGGCTATGTAGCAGAATTTTGACCTACTCTACCTTGAATGGAATTATAAATTTAATACATCTCATTTGAGTGTTGTGAATCCTGGAGGCCTCTTACCTGTAAGCTTTATTCTTTGAAAATATTGTTTTCACACACTACCCCAGCCACAGTAAACTTATCATTACCTGATGATAGAATGACACATTGTAAGTTAGAGCACTAATCATGATTTTTGCTAAGGAGATATATTATGCATAGAAGAATGCACAGTATTAAAAGTGGAAGATCTGAACCAAAAGTAGAATACATGATAGTATATCTTGGAAAGAAACTAATGATACTTACATGTCCACGATGATAAGGACTCTAGGGGCATAAATTTACCCCAGGAAGAATGTCAGAATGCCATTGTAGACACAATGGCAGTTCCTAGTCCCCATGAAATATTCACGGTGCTTTACAAAACAATGTGGTAGTATGAAAATATATCATTGATAATTAAGAAATGACAAAGGTGCTAGAAGTCTCAACAACAATGTGTGTAACATGATATTCTTCGCTCACGTAACATACATATGTATGTGCAAATAACTGTAATTTACAAACCAAAATGAAAACTGTGGGTTGCATTATGATTTACTAACTACACCTTCAGCTTAAATATTCATGTTGAGAAGAGGGAGACCTCTCCTTTTCCCCTGAAATATGGTTTCAATAATAAAAAGTGATTTTCTCTCCATGCACCAGTTTAAATGTTACCTGAGGCAGCTTCTCAGAGTGGCCCATAGCAAGTAATGAGCCGTGAGACAACTGCCAGATGGTTTACGGGTTTATTCATTACAAGACACAATCACAGTTTATTAACAAAGAAGAGAAAAAAAATAAAGCCAAGTTGGCTTTAAAGCACAAGATGAGATATATTAACACTGTAGAACACCAGAAAATTTTGATTTAATTGTCACTTCGCTATACATTGATTTTGGACTCAAATGCTCAGCAGTTAATTAGGAAGTTAAATGGCAATGCTAACGTTTCTTCTGATTAGATATTTTAAGTGGTGGGCTATGACGTTTTAATATATGCTGCTTTTCAGCCAATCATTATTAATCTTCCACATGGATAAACATATGCTATTATCCTCTGAGGTATTATGCACTGTATAAAATTAGAGCAGTGTGAGAATTCTCAGGGAGAATACAAGTGAAGACCTTTTTTTTTTAATCTCGAAAGTCTGCTGTGTTATAGTAGTACAATAAGATGACTATAGTTAGAATGATTTAGTTTATGTTTTGAAATGACTAAAAGATTGAAATTAAAATGTTCCTAACACAAATATATGATAAATGCTTGATGTGATGGATACCCAATTACCTTGATTTAATCGTTGTACATTGTTGGCCTGTATCAAAATATCATGTGTCCTACAAATATGTATGACTAATGTAGCCATAATAATTGAAATTAAATTTAAAGTCTGTTGTGTCAAAGACTAATTTCTCCTGAATTACAAGAGTTTGGGATCATTGGTAGTTAATAATTTTCTTAGCCTTTCTTAACAGTGGGAAATTGATCTCAGGAACTGGATTCTCCACTATTGAATAAAGAAAGAGTCTTGTCTGTCTTCTGCAGTTTTCTCAGCATACAGAATGTTTCTATTTCTTGTATTTCTTTTTCATGTTTCCCTTCACACCTTCCCCAAATGATCTAGTGGTTTTCATTGCTTCAAGAGTAATTATTTACTCCAAGAATGGGAGAGCAAGAAGGAACACATGTTGTTAAGGATTTCATAGTAGACTGAATGCTCAGGTTGTTCCAAACTCAGTGGAAACGCTTAATAAATGTTAAACATGAAAGTGAGTAGAACTTCTAAAACAGACTTCTTTAAATGCTTGTGAGTCTTGAGTTTTGAAAACTAAGATGTCTTTGATTTGCAAGAGCTTTGTCAACATTTTTAGAAAAAAAATGGTTTTGATAGTGATGATTTCATAAACATAGTTTTGAAAATCAAGAGGCAAAGGTTGTATTCTATTCCCTCAACAAATATTTGTTAAGAAATAACAGTGTGCCTGTTCTATTGTGGGGTGATGGAGCAGTCAGCAAACAGACAAAAACCCTCTTCTATGGGAACTTTCATGATGAAAGAGGACAATGAATAAGTAAGAAGACATATCATATAACATGTCTTGAGAACATTATGAAGAAAAATAAAGCAGGATAAATGGATAAAGAGTAAGGTGACAGTAAGAAGCTATCTTATAAAGGAAACTAAAGAAAACCATTGCCTTTCTTACTAAAAATTAAAGGAAAGCCATTGCCACCTTGTTAGGTGGCATTTGATGTGGCACCTAAAAGAAATTTTGTGTGAAACTTGCAGATATTTGGTAGTATAACCTTCCAGCAGCAAGTGCAGAAACTGGCGGTGGGAGCTTCCTTTGCATTTTCAAGGAGCAGCAAAAAAGCCAATGTGACTTGAGTAAGAAAGGGGAAGAGAGTGCAAGGGTAGCCAGGATGAGAACATTGGTAACATAAGGATTCTAAATTTTATTCTTAGTTAAATATTAATCCACTGAATGAGTCTCAGCCCAAAAGTCACTTGATCTGACTTTTGCTTTAAAAGGGATAACTGAAACTGCAGGGTAGGAAATTGACCAAATACGGGGCAAGAGAGGAAGCAGGTTAATAGTTCAGATAATATTGTGGTGGTTCTGGAAGGGGATGGATCTGAATATGGGAGACGAAAGTTGAGAACTGGTCAGATTCTGGATATATTCAGAAGGGAAAGGTAAAAAAAATGTGCTGATGAATTGGACACAAGAGGTAAAAAAATGGAAGGGAGTTGTGTTAGCCTTTTTGCATTACAATATAGCAATACCTGAGACTGGGTAATTTACAAAGAAATAAAAGAGGTTTAATTTGCTCATGATTCTGCAGGCTAGTTCTGCAGGCTGTGCAGGAAGCATGGTGCCCACATCTGCTTGGCTTCTGGTAAGGCTTCAGGGAGCTTACAATTATGATGGAAGGCAAAGCAGGAGCAAGTGTGTCACATGGTGAGAGAACAAGAGAGATAGAAGAAGGAGCCATCCTCCTTTAAACAACCAGAACTCACATGAACTAACAGATTGGGAACTCACTTATAACCATGGGACAGGCACCAAGTCATTTGTAGGGATTTGCTCCTGTGACCCAGACACCTCCCACCAGGCCCCACGTTGAACATTGTGGGTCACATTTCAACAGGAGATTTGGAGCGGGACAAACATTCAAACCACATCAAGAATATAAGATGAATTCAAAAGTTTTGGCTTCAACAATTGGAAAACTGAAGGTACAATTTACTGAGAAGGGAAGACTGGAGACACGCACATTTTACTCATTGCAATATTTTTCATAAATATTAAAAGAGGAGTGGAGGAACATCTTCCAGATTTTGTGTGGAAGAGAAGATTTTGTGAGAAGAGAAAGAAAAAATTATCTTTGCTTGAAAAAGAGAGACTTTTTACTCTAGAGACAGAGACCCAAGTAATAGGTTAGGCATGGATGGTTCTAAGAAGGATCCCTGTATTTGTTCCACATGGAATAAAACATTTAGGTAATTATAGGGCAGAGAAGACTTGTATCTCAATTTCCGTGATATAACCTGGAGGGATTCAAAAATTTTTAGAGAAGCCATGAGTCATGATATTATGGTAGGAGAAGAGCTATGGTTAGATGTGGTTTTAAGATACAATCAGACTGGCACTGTAAGGGCATAAGTACAGAATGACTGATGAAGGCCAATAAGCCTGGAGGGGTCTCAAGATTTTGGTAAGGAAATTACAAACTTTAGTAAATGGATGAAAATGGGAATGGTGGGGGAAGCATGAAGACTTTTTTTTTTTTTAAAGTAGAGAAACTCAGAGTGAATTACCTCAATAGCACTCTCCAGCATAAGAAGAAGGCAAATTTTAAATATTCAAGACTCGTCCCTACTGCAGTTTTTCAGTTTACAAACAACAGCCATGATTAATTTTAGTCTGCTCCTCAACAGGCAAAAACTCAAGAATAAAAAAAGTTAAGGTATAGAAAGTGGAGGAAATAACATCTCCATGTGTTGGGTCTGAAAATTAGTACATGCTCCAATAGCTAACATTTATTGAGTGCTTTCTTGGGTTATGTCCCCAACTAATTTTATTACAAAGATTTTCACATTGGATCCTTATGAGCCAATGAAAGACACAGAGTTATTTCCTTTTCACTACTAAGGAAACTGAAGCAAAGACAGGTTAGGCAACTTTCTCAAAGTCACACATATGGTAAGAAATGGATTCAAGTTTCAGAACCCAGGATGCCTAATGACATTTGCGAATATATTATGTGACTTCCAATTACAACACTGTGAAGTAAGAGCCAAGGTTAACGACAAATTACAGATGAAGAGGCCGAATAACAGAGATTCAGTAACTCTCCCAATGTCGTAAGTAGTGGATCCAGGAATTGAACTTGGGGTGAACTAACTTAAAGTATTCAATTTTAATCCCTGGCTTTACTGATTGTATGGAATTCAGAGCAACTTCTCTTTCAAGGATATGTTCAAGTTTCTTAGCTCTTTTTCAGAGCATTCACAAAGTATTAGGAGAGAAAAATGAGAAAAATTCTCAATGCCATTATTTCTGTTCTACATGTAACAGCTCATCCAGTAGATTTATATGAGTGCCTGGCACGTAGTACATGCTATATAAATGTTACTATTGTTGATATTATATTAATATGAAAATTGGCTTCACTCTAATTAGAGTATGAGCTTCTTTTGTTTGTTCCTCAGAAAACTCACTGAAATTCTGGTATTTTTTAAATGTCACAATTGAGACAAAGTTTCTATCTAGAGTATCCAAATACAATATTGATTACCAGCTGCAGTTTCTCTTCGGGGAGAAAACACTGGCTTCGTAAACAAAATAACACCTTACTTTCCTCCATTTCCTTTATATACTATCCCTAGCCTCTGGCAATGTCAACTTTATTCATTTCTACTACTATTTAAATTTAGAAAATGTTTCTTTTTAAAGGTGCTTAACAGAACATGTAAAAGGACATGATGACACTCATTTTTATTATGTTTAAAAGTGATTGTAGCAAGCTCCATAAATCTATCCTATTAGTATAACGTTTAATAGTTTCAGAGAAAGCATGACTCAGGAACCAGTAGCTCTTCCTGTGTCCAGCCTGATTATTTGCTTGGTCATCCAGATACGAAATAACTGTCCACTCTACGGACTCCATTTGTTTCTGCAGTTGGGCCAAGGGATACAAACAGAGAAACTTGAATGCTGAGATGAAGTAGTAGCCGTAATTTTGAAATAGCAGCCTAAGGATTCCCTGCCTGTGTTTTGTTTGTTTGTTTGTTTTTGTTTTTGTTTTTTTAGCACACACAGTCATATTCAAAGTGATTTAGGAGGTTATTTCTTGAAAATTAGTTCCATATATTTTTGCTTCCAAACTAGAACAACTTATCATTTTTCAATGACATATAAAGCCTACTGTGTCTAGTAAAGTTGTCTTTCTCTTTGATATTCTGTTCTTCTTTCCCCTTGTATCCAGTCAGTCACCAAATGCTGTCATAGTTGTATCTCTAGTATTCCATAATTCCTCTGTAACTACATATATTTCCTCATCCCATTGCTTTATATATTCGAGAGAGTATTGTTTCCCAAATGCCACATTCATCATAACTTTTCCCTTGTTTAAATACTGAAACTTGTTCTCTATAATTTTAATTCACATTTGTTCATTCAATCCCTGTCCCTGTTTTCTGAGCATCAATGATGTATGAACATAATATGGAGTCCTGATGATATAAAGATGAGGACACATTGCTCCAGCCTACACACACACACACACACACATACACACACACATGCACACACACACATCCCTCTCAATCCCTTGTTTGCTTTTTGAAGGTATTTTATCAACTAACCCTTAATATGAGTGATAATGTTCAGAAGCAGCCCACATGCCATCAGTGATAAATGTAATTAAAGTTGCCTATAGATTTTGTCTATAAACATAATTTTTTTTTCTGAATACCTCCATTAATGCAGAGCTGTTCTTGTCAATATATTATAGGTGCATAGTAGTCTTCCACATAGAATCAATTACATCTTAGTTACACCATTTAAAAGCAAGAACCCTGCATGTGTCCCAGACTTAGTATTTGGGGAGTTATCTCACTTTATTTATTTTCTGTTCAACTATATATGGAGGGGAGCAGATAGGGAATGGCGATGACTCTGCTGCCTCATTTCCACATTGTTTCACAGATCTAGGAGTCTTTCATCTGGTTGGTGACTGCAAGTTCTTCTTGCTAACTCTGTCTCTGCCTAGAGATCTCTCTCTTTGTTTTAGATATGACAGCAATTTAGTGCAATCAGAACCACCTCCTTCCTAAAGCTGCCTTGTCAATATGAGGAAACCTCAGGTTTTTTACCTCCAGATTTCAGGAACCAATGTTGTGCTGCATTAGTCTGTGTTTTAAGGGAGCTTTTAAGAATTTATGAGCATTTTTTCTCATTTTGTTACAACTTTTTTCATTTGTTACAGAGCATCGACTCTTGGGAAAGCAGGGCAACAACCTCAATTTCTAAACCAGTGGATTCTACGTGTGTAGGATAGCCTAGGAAACAATAAAATATAGATTGGAAGTCATTAATAGTTTGTCAATAACAATATTTTGTGCTTTTTACTACTATCAGTACATTTTTTTCACAGTCTGTTATTGTAGCACTTTTATACACCTAAATAGAACAAACCCTCGACATCTCAATTTTCCCATTTTCTTCCTGCCATTCTGATAAATATTTACCTGGAGTAAACATTGGAAATAATTATAACTATAATGAAAATGAGAAATAGCTGATTGACTCTTCAGATATCTTTTGATCTCTGATTAAGTTCTGTGGTTGCTGAAGTGAATAAAACATAGAATTTCTTCTCAGGGGTTTATAGCCCAGTTGGGAAATACATAAGAAAACAAACAAATACAAAACATAGGACTATCATTTGGGTTTATACAAAGTGTTCTGGAAATACAACAGGGTTTCTATTAGCGTAAAAGAGTTGGTTATAGTATGTGAGTGCAGATGGATATAATAATGTAGTTGGGGGACAAATCTATGGAAGTAAAAATGACTTGTGCTATTAAATATGTAAATATTTAATTCCTTAAAACATTCTTCTATCAAAATGCCATCTTATTGGGTTACCATTTTCTAGATTTTTCTTGAGATCCAATGTGCTGGATAGAATGGTATACTTTTATTGATTTCTGTAACTTTTTAGTAATTGGATTATTAAGAATATTCAGCTAGTCTCGTATCTCCAATATTCCTCTGATATTATTACCTGAAAACATTACCAGTAACCATCTTGTCAGCAAATCAGATAACATCTTTAATCACTCAACCTTTACATATTTTATAGCACAAGACTCTCAATTACTCCTTGTGTCTGGTACTCCCATGACTCAGATTTGGTTATACTGTATGCTTATTTGATGATGGAGTTTCTTCTATTTTCATCAAAACTTCCCATTTGTTGCCCAAGTTTCTGAATTTGTTACCATTTTGTTCTACATTTTAAAACATTACTGTCCTACAGATGACTCTCCTATCACTATATGCAGTTTTGATACCTCTCTTTGGTTCAAGCCATAAAGGTATCCTATTAGAAATTTCTATTCTCTGCAACTAACTTCTAAGATTTTCCAGATTTCACCTGACCACCTGAAATAGTCAATATTTAGCTTCATTTTTGTTAACCAAACTACTCTGTACTGTCTTTCTTATTTGCTTTTATCTTTATTACTCTCCTCTCCCACTATTTTACTGTAATGTAACAAGAAATATATATTTTGTCTCTGCTCTCCAGTTATTGGCATAGAGCTTTTAAAACCATTGTAATTCCTTGAGTGACAGAGGTGAGAATGGCATCTTTTGTAATTAGAAGTTTAGAACTTTCAGCCTCACCCCCAGTCTCCAGGGAAGAGGGGATTGAGTTCAATCATCAATTACCAATGTAAATAACTTCCATGAAGATCCTGAACAATGGCAATCAGGAGCCTCTGGGTTGATGAACACATTGAGGCACTGGGAAGATAACATGCCTGGAGAGGGCAAGGAAGCTCTCTGACACCCCTTCACCCACCACCACCACCACCACCATACCTTGTTCTATACATCTCTTTCACCTGACTATTTCTGAATGGTACCCTTTATAGTAAACTGGTAAAACTATGCAAAGTGTTTAACTGAGTTCGGTGAGCATTCTAGCCAATTGTTAAACCTGACAAGAGGGTTATGGGACCCTTGACCTATGTACAACTGGTCAGTCAGAAGTTAGAAGGGAGGCCTAGACTTGGATTGGCTTGTGAAGTGGGAACAGGCTTGTGGAACTGAGTGCTTAACCTGTAGGGTTTAATGCTAACTCCAGGCAGACAGTGTCAAAATTAGATTGAATTGTAGGACCCTCAGTGGTGTCTGCAGAGAACTGGTTAATTATTTAGTGTGTGAAAAACCCAAAAATTTGGTGCTGGGTGTGTTGAGAATGTAAGAAAAACACTTTTATTTTAATTACCAATATACTATCTTACTATACCATAAAACTTCCTATGAAACAGCAAAATAATAGCTCTTGCTCAGGTATTAAAACATTTTTTATGTTTTCTTGAAGTTTATTGCTTTTTACCTTGTACTATAGGCATCTCTGTCCTTTTGCTCTCTTTTTTACTGTAAGGGGCAGAGGGGCAGAATACATCTAAAGCTAGACAGACTTGCATTGAAACTTATGGTCTACATTCCCAGTTATTGGATATAAGTTGTTAATTTTCATCCTTCTTCCCTTGGCTCAGGGTTCTCAAATTCAGTTCAACATTAGTATCACTTGGATGCTTTAAAAATACAGACCACAGAATTACAACTCCTGATGTTTCAGTTTAATTGGTCTAGAAAACGGACTGGACATGGGGACTTTTAAATTTTAC
Source organism: Homo sapiens (assembly GCF_000001405.40). Classification (NCBI taxonomy): domain Eukaryota; kingdom Metazoa; phylum Chordata; class Mammalia; order Primates; family Hominidae; genus Homo; species Homo sapiens. Next base: position 43,746,557 of record NC_000004.12, on the reverse strand, counting down.
AAGGTTTTTGTAATGTTCCTTTGAGGTTAAGTACACTTATTTAAAGTGAAGTGCAACTTTCTTTTCCCAATTATTTTGCAGTATTTAGTATAATAATTCTCACGTGCTATTTGCTTAATAATTATTTCTTGAAGGAAAGACTGTGTTGCTGCAAGTTGGTAATTCACAGATGTGCCTGAAAGAAGGAAAAATAAAGCCTAAAATAAAGCAACTACTAGGTAGCCATGAGGAAAAAGTGCATACAGAGTTGTTGCTCACTTTAGAAAAGCTTATTTAGGGCCAGCAAGCAAAACTATAAAATAAACAAGGTTTATTTAGCTCTAATTTCAAAGATTTTCAAAGCAAAGATAAAAAGTATAAAGTTTATCTGGTGGGAAATTTTTGTTTAGTTTATAGGGACTTTCTTCTATTTTTTGTTTTTGTTTTTTCTTTTTTTTATTATACTTTAAGTTCTAGAGTACATGTACACAACGTGCAGGTTTGTTACATATGTATACATGTGCCATGTTGATGTGCTGCACCCATTAACTCATCATTTACATTAGGTATATCTCCTAATACTATCCCTCCTCCCTCCCCCCACCCCATGACAGGCCCTGGTGTGTAATGTTCCCCTTCCTGTGTCCAACTGTTCTCATTGTTTGATTACCACCTATGAGTGAGAACATGCGGTGTTTGGTTTTTTGTCCTTGTGATAGTTTGCTGAGAATGATGGTTTCCAGCTTCATCCATGTCCCTACAAAGGACATGAACTCATGCTTTTTTGTGGCTGCATAGTATTCCATGGTGTATATGTGCCACATTTTCTTAATCCAGTCTATCATTGATGGATATTTGGGTTGGTTCCAAGTCTTTGCTATTGTGAATAGTGCTGCAATAAACATACGTGTGCATGTGTCTTTATAGCAGCATGATTTACAATCCTTTGGGTATATACCCAGTAATGGGATGGCTGGGTCAAATGGTATTTCTAGTTCTAGATCTCTGAGGAATCACCACACTGACTTCCACAATGGTTGAACTAGTTTACAGTCCCACCAACAGTGTAAAAGTGTTCCTATTTCTCCACATCCTCTCCAGCACCTGTTGTTTCCTGACTTTTTAATGATTGCCATTGTAACTGGTGTGAGATGGTATCTCAGTGTGGTTTTGATTTGCATTTCTCTGACAGCCAGTGATGATGAGCATTTTATCATGTGTCTGTTGGCTGCATAAATGTCTTCTTTTGAGAAGTGTCTGTTCATATCGTTCACCCACTTGTTGATGGGGGTGTTTGTTTTTTTCTTGTAGATTTGTTTGAGTTCATTGTAGATTCTGGATATCAGCCCTTTGTCAGATGAGTAGATTGCAAAAATTTTCTCCCATTCTGTAGGTTGCTTGTTCACTCTGATGGTAGTTTCTTTTGCTGTGCAGAAGCTCTCTAGTTTAATTAGATCCCATTTGTCCATTCTGGCTTTTGTTGCCATTGCTTTTGGTGTTTTAGACATGAAGTCTTTGCCCATGCCTATGTCTGGAATGGTATTGCCTAGGTTTTCTTCTAGGGTTTTTATGGTTTTGAGTCTAACATTTAAGTCTTTAATCCATCTTGAATTAATTTTTGTATAAGGTGTAAGGAAGGGATCCAGTTTCAGCTTTCTACATATGGCTAGCCAGTTTTCCCAGCACCATTTATTAAATAGGGAATCCTTTCCCCATTTCTTGTTTTTGTCAGGTTTGCCCACAAGACAAAGCAGGAAAGACCTGACATTGGCACCCTAACATCACAATTAAAAGAACTAGAGAAGCAATAGCAAACACATTCAAAAGGTAGCAGAAGGCAAAAAATAACTAAGATCAGAACAGAACTGAAGGAGATAAAGACACAAAAAACCCTTCAAAAAATCAGTGAATCCAGGAGCTGGTTTTTTGAAAAGATCAACAAAATTGATAGACCACTAGCAAGACTAATAAAGAAAAAAAGAGCAAAGAATCAAACAGACACAATGAAAAATGGTAAAGGGGATATCACCACTGATCCCACAGAAATACAAACTACTGTCAGAGAATACTATAAACACCTCTATGCAAATAAACTAGAAAATCTAGAAGAAAAGGATAAATTCCTGGACACATACACCCTCCCAAGACTAAACCAGGAAGAAGTTGAATCTCTGAATAGACCAATAACAGGCTCTGAAATTGAGGCAATAATTAGTAGCCTACCAACCAAAAAAAGTCCAGGACCAGACAGATTCACAGCCGAATTCTACCAGAGGTACAAGGAGGAGGTATCATTCCTTCTGAAACTATTCCAATCAATAGAAAAAGCGGGAATCCTCCCTAACTCATTTTATAAGGCCAGCATCATCCTGATACCAAAGCCTGGCAGAGACACAACAAACAAAGAGAATTTTAGACCAATATCCCTGATGAACATTGATGCAAAAATCCTCAAAAAATACTGGCAAACCGAATCCAGCAGCACATCAAAAAGCTTATCCACCATCATCAGGTGGGCTTCATCCCTGGGATGCAAGGCTGGTTCAATATACGCAAATCAATAAATGTAATCCAGCATATAAACAGAACCAAACACAAAAACCACATGATTATCTCAATAGACGCAGAAAAGGCCTTTGACAAAATTCAACAGCCATTCATGCTAAAAACTCTCAATAAATTAGGTATTGATGGGATGTATCTCAAAATAATAAGAGCTATTTATGACAAACTCACAGCCAATATCATACTGAATGGACAAAAACTGGAAGCATTCCCTTTGAAAACTGGCACAAGACAGGGATGTCCTCTCTCACCACTCCTATTCAACATAATGTTGGAAGTTCTGGCCAGGGCAATCAGGCAGGAAAAAGAAATAAAGGGTATTCAATTAGGAAAAGAGGAAGTCAAATTCTCCCTATTTGCAGATGACATGATCGTATATTTAGAAAACCCCATCGTCTCAGCCCAAAATCTCCTTAAGCTGGTAAGCAACTTCAGCAAAGTCTCAGGATACAAAATCAGTGTGCAAAAATCACAAGCATTCTTATACACCAATAACAGACAAACAGAGAGCCAAATCATGAGTGAACTCCCACTCACAATTGCTTCAAAGAGAATAAAATACTTAGGAATGCAACTTACAAGGGATGTGAAGGACCTCTTCAAGGAGAACTACAAACCACTGCTCAATGAAATAAAAGAGGATACAAACAAATGGAAGAATATTCCATGCTCATGGATAGGAAGAATCAATATCGTGAAAATGGCCATACTGCCCAATGTAATTTATAGATTCAATGCTATCCCCATCAAGCTACCAATGACTTTCTTCACAGAATTGGAAAAAACTACTTTAAAGTTCATATGGAACAAAAAAAGAGTGCACATTGCCAAGTCAATCCTAAGCCAAAAGAACAAAGCTGGAGGCATTATGCTACCTGACTTCAAACTATGCTTCAAGGCTGCAGTAACCAAAACAGCATAGTACTGGTACCAAAACAGAGATATAGACCAATGGAACAGAACACAGCCCTCAGAAATAATACCACACATCCATCTGATTTTTGATAAACCTGACAAAAACAAGACATAGGGACTTTCAAAGTGAAGGCAATACTTGTCTTTTGCCCAATATCTGGCTGCTGAAGTCATATTCATGTGCTTAACGTGCATTTTCTCAGGTTCTTGCTATGGTAGGTAAAGCCGAATATAGCCAAAGAAAGTTTCAGGAAATAAAAGTCTCCAAAATATGCAAAAATTGTCTTGGCTCTGAAATTGGATAATCCATACCAACTCTCTGAATTTTACTTTTATCAATGCATCATTTGTTTATGGAGTCTTTGAATACTTATGAAATTTTGTCTATATTCCAGACTCTGTACTATGATGTGGAAGATATAATCTATGTACTCAAAATACCTATACTCTAGTGGAGAAGGCAAGTGAATAAAGAAGGAAATTCAAGCACAAAAATTCAATGTGATGAATATTGTGCATTGAGTATGCACAGAAAGCAATGAGTTCAGCCAGAGAAGAGTCAGGAAAGATCTTTTGCTAAAAGAAAAGGCTAAAATTATCATCTCCATTTTCTCTTACCCTTTGTGGTTCTCAAAGTTTAATTTTTAATTGTCTACAAATTGAGTTCTATGAAATTACAAAAATTTTCACAAGAAGCAGGAAATATGATGTTTCCATGAGGCTAGTAATATTAGCATGCAGCCATGTTATAGTTGAGACTGGATATGAGGTTGCATTATTAAAGAAGAAGAAAAATAGCTGGTGCAGTGACTCACAACTGTAATCCCAGCACTTTGGGAGGCCGAGATGGGTGGATCACTTGAGGTCAGGAGTTCAGTACCAGCTTGACCAACATGGTGAAACCCTGTCTCTACTAAAAAAAAAAAAAAATACAGAATTAGATGGGCGTGGTGGTGCATGCCTGTAATCACAGCTACTTGGGAGGATAGGCAGGAGAAGTGCTTGAACCCAGGAGGCAGAGGTTGCAGTGAGCTGAGATCGTGCCACTGCACTCCAGCCTGGGAGACAGAGCAAGACTCTGTCTCAAAAAAAAAAAAAAAAAAAAAAAAAAAGTTGATTAAGTTATGGAAATACAGAAGGTAGACTTGAGTAAACCTGAGAAGCATTAAAAAACTCCTTGTCAAAAAACAAAGAATAAAATGAGTTTAATTAAAATAATGAGCAAACACAAGAATATTCCACTAGTTTTTTTCCCCAAAGAGCCAATTTAAAGTTTGCAATTTGTGATGATAGAACAAAATGTCTGCCTGTTCTGTTACATTTACTACAAAGTGAAATTTATTCTAGAGCAGAAGTTCTCAAAGTTTTGGCCATAGAAACACTTTTACAATTAAAAATGAATGGGCACCTCAAAAAACTTTTGTTTTGGGGGCTTATATATAATAACATTTACTATATTAGATTACTAATAAAATTACTAATTTTATTACCAAAATTAGTAAAACAAATTTGTCAGTTTTTGCTTTTGTTGCAGCTGCTGTTGGTGCCATCATTGTAAGATCATTGCCCTTGCCTATGTCTTGAATGGTATTGCCTATGTTGTCTTCCAGGGTTTTCATAGTTTTGGGTTTTACATTTAAGTCTTGACTCCATCTCCAGTTAATGCCTGTCTATGATGTAAGGAAGAGGTTCAGTTTCAACAAACCTGTACTTGTACCTCTGAATTTAAATGTTAAAAAATTAAGAACGAGAAATTAAAACTATGTTAATTTACTTAAATATAACAATAATAAACTCATTACATGTTAACATAGGTAAAATATTTTTATAAAAATGTCTTTTCCAACCAAAATATGTATTAATGTGAAGAGCAGTATTATACAATATTTTTGTGAATCTCTTTAAGGCCTGGATTAATAGAAGGCAGCAAAATTCTTACATTTGCTTACATTGAATATATTCAATGTATTTCAATATGTATTGGTTAGTGTCTGTAAATCAAATGTGGCCCCCAGTGGTATATAGTTATAAAAGAAAGCAATATTTTAATAGTGTTAGATCATTTTCAGTATCTTTCCTTGATACTACACCAAAACTCAACATGTGGTTGTATTTTATAGGTTAATTCCAATGGGGAATTTCAAAATATTTTAATAAAATTTTCATATTCTATTACAATTAAAAATGTATTGTCCTTTTTGTACTTTAATTGTATCTCTTACCAATACATATTTTTGTGACATCACTTATGATCATTGTAAAAATCTTGGTTCATAGTCACTCAGGTGTTCTCAATGTTGACATATTTTATTACACAACAGGAAAATATGGCATTTGTTAATGTAATAACCTAACTCTTCAGAAAATCTTGAAGTTGTCAGGCTCTCGATGTGAGCAAGTTTTCCAAAATTTTGGCTTACTGCTTGAAAGCTTAAATTTTGTTGTTGACAACATATCCTGTCAGTTATTCCCTTAAAATGGCAGGCTTACCCCACTCTTCTTGAGAAAATATCTGGTCTGTCTGTATTCAATTCTGATTAACCAGTTTGTGTATCAGTCATTCTTTCAAGTAAAAATTGGCATCCTATAGGAGAAAAAATGTTTATTCAATTCACAACTCATACAATTGCATAAAGTGCATTTCCCATTCTGTCTACAGTCTTTATTTATGTTAAGTCATCAGCAGTTTTACAAATAATTGTTTTGTACCATCCATGCAAATATTAAGGAAGTGAAAAAAGAAAATGTCTTATCATTGTCATGAAAATAATTTTAACCTAGAAGACTTCTTGAATCTGTCCCAGAGTCCTCATTGGGTTCACAGACCATGCTTTTCTCTAGACAGAACAGGAATACAACTTCAAATCATAAAGACAGGAAAAAATTATGTGTGTATGTGTACATGTGTATGTGTACAGGTATGCTGTAGACTGAAATATCTATAAATTCCTATGTTGAAGCCCTAACCCCTAATGTAATGGTATTTGATCATGGGAACTTTGGGAGGTGATTAGGTTATGAGATTAAAGGCTCCATTATAGAATTAGTGCTGTTATAAGGGAAGGCACGAGAGCTCTCTCTCCTCCATCCTCATCCGAGGATACAACAAGAAAGCAGACATCAGCAAGTCAGAAAAAGTTTCTCATCAAAACCTTGATCTCCCACTTCCCAGCCTAAAGAATTGTGAGAAATAAATGTGTGTTGTTCAAGAAGCCATCCAGTTTAAGGTATTTTGTTATGGAAACCTAAGCTGACTAATATAATATACAGGATCAAAGTTGTGTTATTCTCATTTATAAATAATCATGAATCTTATTGAAACCCAGAGATGTGCATGCCTATAGAACGTAAATATTACTCTGAATTATTCCATGGGTAATTATTAAAAATAATTAATTGGCATCTAATCAAATCCTCTCTAATGCATGAGAGAGAGAAATTGGTCAATATGTATCAAGATATGAAAAACAAACAAGAGTTTGGAAAGAATCTCACAGCACTAACTGCACACCTCAGTTAAAGCAAAATTTAAGTAATGAGACATAAACATTTAGTAGGCTAACTGTCCAGACTAGTGTGGAAACAGTAGAAACTAGTATAAAGATGGAACATATGTATTTTATTAATGGGAAGGATATTAAGTTGAATCTATTGGAGAGATAAACGTAGACAAGCATTCTTTTCCAAAAGAGTTTTGAAAGTTCACTATGTGCTGGACATCGTTAAAGAGAACACGATTACAACTGTGAACAAGACTTATTTGCTCTTTATCTTCCTAGAGTATACAGTTTAGTAAGCGCTATCAGTAAGCAACAAGGATTACTATAAAATGAGAGAGGTGGGCTGTTGGTAACAGAAAAGCCAGTGAGTTGTTATTGAAGACTGTGGTGAGTAGTGAAGTTTAATTGATGAAATGCTATGCCAAGACAGTGATTTGGTCAAAAGGAAAGAGTAGAAGCTGCAGAGTAGGAGTTAGGGAGAAAAAATTTATCACACTTTAAAGAGGAATTACTAGAACTCTCTATACATACATGCAGAATTGAAATAATAGAGAAATCAATATATCAAAAATACAACTTGGATTTCCTAATTAAATATTTAGGGAATATTTAACCCTGGGAGAAATACAAGGCTAGGTTCATTGTCAATGTCCTGCTTAATCTTTTCTACTCCAGATTGATTTCCTTCCCTAGCAACCCACGTTCTTTTGCATGCCTGCTGGACTGCCTTCTTCAGGGTCCACTCCTAAAAGTAACTTCCTATCTCACTCCTTTAATAAAAATCTAATCCTATCATCCACCATGTACTCATGCCACATGGTATCTGCCTTAATCTTCACAGTTCTTATGAAACATCATATTTATTTGTTTATCTCTCTGTCTTAAAGTTTGCAAAATAAGCTTCGATTATGACAATGTTTTTATTAGCAACTGAGCTGTTAGGCTTGACATCTTGACCTTCGAAACTTACATGGTGAGTTCTCTAATCACTCTTATACTAGGGAAGATAAATAAGTTGGAAGAATAGTTAGCATAATCCTGAATCGATTTGCTCTATACACACTATAGCTTTATAGAAACAGGTTTTAAATGACTGTTGCAAATCACCAAGATTTTTCAGTAAATGTAAACATTCACATTTTTTCTGGGTTGAAAACATTTCAAAAATTCAGTTTTATGTATATAACAGATGGTTCAGTTTGGTTTACAAAGTTCAGTGTATCTAGGGATAACTGTTGGTGAAAAGCGAGGTAATGTGACTGAACTGTGATTGAGTATAAAACATAAATAAAACATACCTGTAAAACCATTCAAAGCAATAACTAATTGTTCCACCTAGGATAGCAAAACAGTTGAAAATGTCCTGATAGTATGATTTGTCTGCTAATTCACTTAACAACAGCTTTTTGCAACTTCAGATCATATTTCTACAAACCAAACCAAGTTCCTGAACTAACTCAATTCTTCAACAACTTTCTAGTAAGCAAATGACATAAGCCAATGCACAGCCAGACAAGTTGAAGATAGATGCAGAAAGTCAATTACCTGGGCTATTGTCTTCCTACCTTCATTATAAGAAATAACAATGAGAGACTACTTTGTGCTTATAGTGCCCTTAATCATTTTACATACTCTGATGCAATACCTACTTAAAAATCCTTATTTTCAGATGGGGGATTTTTGACAAATTTTAGGACAGATTAATATCAAATAAAGCACCTAACAAAGAGAAATTATAGCAGGATAACAGTACCAATAAATAACTCTAAAATTTATGAGTCTTTTAGTATGTTTTTTATGTACTCTAGTGATTTTAAAACTTATAGCAGACCTGCAAGGTAGCGTAAGTATTTTCTGTACTTTGCAGATGGACAGCTGAATCTCAAAGAAGTCGTTTACCTAATGTCACACAGTACTTGGTGGAAGACTCAACTTTAAAACCCATGGATTTTCACTTCAAATACAATGTTTTAATCTCCAGACCTCGCTGTCTTCTCAAAATAATAATAAAAGTAATATTAAAACATATGATAGAATCACCTTACCTTTCTCAATAGTTTTAACTAACAGACTTTATTGGACTAAAGAGTCTAGAAATGAAATTATGTATTAGTGGATAGAAAATAAGAAAAGAAGAAGTGGTACAATAAGCAGATTATAGTGGAAATAGTTACGGTCAAGTGCTTTTTAGAAAATATATATTTTAAATTTTATATTTAATTTTTGTGAGGCCAGGGACGGTGGCTCACACCTTTAATTCCAGCACTTTGGGAGGCTGAGGCGGGTGGATCACTTGAGGTTAGGAGTTCAAGACCAGCCTGGACAACATGGCAAAACTCCATCTCTACTAAAAATACAAAAAATTAGCTGTGGGCATGGAGGTTGGTGCCTGTAATCCCAGCTACTCAGAAGGCTGAAGCAGGAGAATCCCTTGAACCCAGAAGGCAGAGCCTGCAGTGAGCCAAGATTGTGCCATTGCACTCCAGCCTGGGCGACAAGAGCGAAACTCCACCTCAAAAAAAAAAAAAAAAAAAAAAGGCGGGGGCGGAGGTACATAGTAGGTCTATATATTTATGGGTTATATGGGATATTTTGATATAAGCATGCAATAAGTAATACTCACATCAGGGTAAATGGGGTATCCATCACCTCAAGAATTTATCCTTTGTGTTACAAACAATCCAATTATACTCTTATAGTTATTTTTAAATGTACTATATATTGTTTTTTACTACAGTCACCCTGTTGTGCTGCCAGTTACTAGGTATTATTTATTCTTTCTGTTTTTTTGGTAATGATTAACCCTCCCCATTTTTCCTTCATCCCCCAATAGCCTCTGGTAACCATTGTTCTACTCCATCTCCATGAGTTCAATCATTTTAATTTATAGCTCCAAAAACTGAGTAAGAACATGCAAAGTTTGTCTTTCTATGCCTGGCTTATGTCACTTAACATAATAACCTCCAGCTCCTTCTATGTTATTGCAAATGACAGTATCTCATACTTTTAATAGCTGAATAGTACTCCATTGTGTATATATACCACATTTTCTTTATCCACTTATTTGTTGATGGACACTTAGGTTGCTTCCAGGTCTTGGTTATTGTGAAGAGTACTGCAGCAAAGATGGGAGTGCAGATATCTCTTCAATATACTGATTTTCTTTCTTTTGAGCATATACCCAGAAGTTGGATTGCTGGATCATATGGTAGCTCAATTTTTAGTTTCTTGAGGTATCTCCAAACTGTTCCCCATAGTTGTAGTGCTAATTTACATTCCTTCCAACAGTGTATGAGGGTCCCCTTTTCTCCAAATACTCATCAGCATTTGTTATTGCCTGTCTTTTGGATATAAGCTATTTACCTGGAGTGAGATATCTCATTATAGTTTTGATATGCATTTCTCTGATGATCAATGCTGTTGAGCACCTTTTTATATGCCTCTTGGCCTTTTCTAAGTCTACTTATGAAAAATGTCTATTCAAATCATTTGCCCAGTTTTTGATCGTATTATTAATTTTTTCCATAGAGTTGTTGGAGCCCTTTATGTATTCTGGGTGTTAATCCCTTGTTAGATGGTAATATGGTTTGGCTCGGTGTCCACACCCAAATCTCACGTTGAGTGGTAATCCCCAATGTTGGAGGTAGGGCCTGGTGGGAGGTGATTGGATTATAGGGGTGATTTCTAATGGTTTAGCGCCTCCCCGCTAGGGCTGCCTCATAATTGAGTTCTCATGAGATCTAGTTGTTTAAAAGTGTGCAGCACCTTCCCCTTCACTCTGTCTTTTTCCTACCACCATGTGAAAATGTGCTTGCTTCTCCTTCACCCATCTGCCATAATTGTAAGTTTCCTGAGGCTTCCCCAGCCATGCCTCCTTTACAGCTGGTGGAACTGTGAGTCAATTAATCCTCTTTTCTTATAAATTGCCCAGTCTCAGATAGTTCTGTATAATAATGTGAGAACTGACTACCACAGGCAGGTAGTTTGCTAATATTTTCTCTTATTCTGTGGTTTGTCTCTCACTTTGCTGCATGTTTCCTTTGCTGAGCAGTAGCTTTTTAACTTGAGGTGATTCAATTTGTCCATTTTTTTTTGTTACCTGTATCTGTGGGTTGTTACTCAAGAAATGTTTGCCCAAACCAATGTCCTGTATATTTTCCCCAATGATTTTTTTGTAGTGGTTTCAGAGTTTCAGATCTAAAAGTCTTAATTCACCTTGATTAGATTTTTACATATGACAAGAGATAGAGGTATAGTTTTATTCTTTGGCATATGGATATCCAGTTTTTCCAGCACCATTTATTGAAGAGACTGCACCTTTCCCAATGTACATTCTATGAAACTCTGTCAGTAATAGGCTTACTGTAGATGTCTGGGTACATCACTGGGTTCTCTATTTTGTTCCACTGATCTATTGTCTGTTTTTATGACTTGCTGTTTTTGGTTGCTATAGGCCTGTACTATAATTTAAAGTCAGATAATGTGAGTCTTCCAGTGTTGTTCTTTTGGCTCAGAAGAACTTTGGCTACTCTGGGTTTTTTGTGGTTCCTTATAAATTTTAGGATTGTTTTATACATTGCTGTAAAAAATGTCATTTGTATTTTGGTATAGATTACATTACATCTGTAGATTTGTTTGGGTAGTATGAACATTTTAACAATGTTGATTCTTGCAATCCATGAACATGAAATATCTTTTAATTTTTTGTAGCCTCTTCAATTCCAATCATCAATGTTTTATAATTTTCATTGTAGAGATCTTTCACTTCTTTGGTTAAGTTTATTCATAAGTATTTTATTTGTGGCTGTTTGAAATAGGATTACTTTCTTGATTTATTTTTCAGATTGATTACTGTTGGCATGAAGAAATGCTAATGAACTTTGTACGTGGATTTTGAATTCTTCAGCTTTTCTGAATTTGTTTATCAGTTCTAATAGATTTTTGGTGCAGTCTTTAGGTTTTTCAAAATATAAGACCATACCAATCTGAAAACAAGGAGAATTTGACTTCTCCCTTTTCAATTTGTATACTCTTTGTTTCTTCCTATTGTCTAATTGCACTAGCTAGGAATTCCAGTACTGTCTTGAATAACATTCATGACAACAGGCATCCTTGCCCTATTCCAAATCTTAGAGGAAAGGCTATCAGTTTTTCTCTATTCAGTATGATACTAGCTGTGGGCCTGTCATATATGGCTTTTATTATGTTGAGTTATATTTTTTCTATACCCAGGTTTTTGAGGCTTTTTATCATGAAGGGATATTGAATTATATTAAATGCTTTTTCAGCATCAATTGAAATAATTATATGGTTTTCACCTTGCATTCTGTTGAAATGCTGTATCACTTTAATTGATTTGCATATGTTGAACTATCTTTGCATCTCTTCTTAGTCATGATGAATAATCTTTCTAATGTATTGTTGAATTTGGTTTGCTAGTATCTTACTGAGGATTTTTACATGAATATTCATTATATACATTGGTCATAGTTTACTTTTTCTTTTACTTGAAGTGTCTGTTTATTATGTTTTGTTTTGTTTTGTTTTTGATATCTGGGTAACACTGGCCTCATAGAATAAGCTTGGAAGAATTCCTTCTTTCTCTATTTCTTAGAATACTTTTAGTATAATTGATATTAGTTCTTTTTTTAAATGTTTGGTTCAAAATTCGGCAGTGAAGTCATTGGATCCCAGGCTTTTATTTACTGGGAGACATTTTATTGTGGATTCAATGTAGTTATTTGTTATTAATCTTTTCAGGTTTTGGATTTCTTCCTAGTTCAGTCTTTGTAGGTTGTATTTGTCAAGTTATTTATCCATTTCTTCTAGATTTTCCAATTTGTTGCATACAGTTGCTCATAGTAGCTACTAATGAGTATTTGAATATACGTGGTATCAGTCTCCTTTTTTATCTCTGATATCATTTACTTGGGACGTCTCTTTTTTTCTTAATCTAGCTATTGGTTTGTCAATTTTACTTATCTTTTCAAAAAATAAACTTTTTCTTCATTAAATGAAACTTTTATCTTCTTTTTTAATGTTTTCTTCATTTTAAATTCATTTATTTCTTCTCTAATCTTTATATATATTTTCTTCTACTACTTTTGAGTGTGTAATCGCTTATTTTGCTAGTTATGTAAGATACATCAATAGGTTGTTTATTTGAAGTTTTTCATCGTTTTTGATGTAGGCATTTTTATCTATAAATTTTCCACTTAGTACTGTTTTTGCTGTATCCCATAGATTTTGGTATGTTGTGTTTCTATTATCATTTGTTTCAAGCAATTTTTACATTTCTGCTGAGTGTGTCCCACAGACTCTGGCCAAGCGACGGATGAAAGGAGTATGATGACACAGGCATTTTGACTGAGAGCATGGCTGGGGGACTGCACAGCTTAGCACCACTGACAAGAGTGCAGCCCCCATAAGCCGGTGACCCTCGGATTTATTTAGTACAGATTTAATGACAGCGGCTTGGAGCAAATACAACTTGTCAGTAATTAATATTGTTGATCCCCTGAGTAGAGAGCAGTCCTGTATGCAAATGATCAAGGGTTGGTTTCCGGAGACATAAGTAAACCAATTTATCTAGATAAGTTTCTTTACATTCCCTTGTTATCTGCCCTTTGCTCTCAGCCTCTGGATGAGGGAATTTGGCTTCTTTCAGCCAGAATTCTCTCCCGAAGCTTTTGCAAAACCTCCAGGCCTTCCAAGAAGGTTTTCATCTTTCCTATAATTTTTCCCACCACCCTGACCGATCTACACATTTCTTTCTTAATTTCATTATTGACCTTAATTTCATTACTAATCATTCAGAAGCATGCTGTTTAATTTCCATGTGTTTCTAAAGTTTCTCTCATTGTTAATTTCTAGTTTTATTCCATTTTGGTCATAAGAGATGCTTGATACTGTTTCAATTTTTTTGAATATTTTAACATTTGTTTTGTAACTTAACATATGGTCTATTCTTTAGAATGATTTGTGTGCTGAGGAGAAGAATGTCTATTCTGTAGCCTTTTGATAAAATGTTCTCTAAATATCTACTAGTACTGTTTGTTTTAGAGTGCAAATTAAGTCCAGTGTTCCTTTGTTAACATTCTGACTGTATAATCTGTTCAGTGCTAAAAGTGGGGTGTTGATGTCTCCAGCTATTTTTGTATGGAAGTCTATCTTCCTTTTTAGCTCTAATAATATTTACTTTATATATCTGCATGCTCTAGTGTTAGATGCATATATATTATAATTGCTCCCTTCTCTTGCTGAATTAACCCCTTTATCTTTATGTAATAACTTCCTTTGTTCTACAGTTTTTGCCTTGAAATATTTTTGACCTGATATAAGCATAGCTACTCCTGCCCTTTTTTGGTTTCCATTGGCAATGCATAACTTTTTCCTTCCCTTTATTTTTAGTGTTTGTGTGTCTTTATAGGTGATATGTGTTTCCTGTAGGCAACAGATCATTTGGTCTTGTTTGTTTATATTCATTTAACAAGTCTATGTCTTTTGATTGGAGAGTTTAGTCCATTAACATTCAATATTATTATGAATAAGAAAATACTCCTGCCATTTTCTTATTTGTTTTCTGGTTGCTTTTTGGTCTTCAGTTTCTTTTTTCCTTCTTTCCTATCTTCTTTTTAGTAAAGGTGATTTTCTCTGGTGTATAACTTAATTTCTTCCTTTTTACTTTTGTGTATCCATTGTACGTTTTTTCAATTTGAGGTTACCATGAGGCTTACAAATGCTATCTTATAACCCCTTAATTTAAACTGATCACAACTTAATACTGATTGAACAAATAATCAAATAAGTAAAAAGAAAACTAATGAAAATTCTATACTTAAACTTTGTCTCCCACTTTTTATCTTTTTGTTGTTTCTATTTATGTCTTACTGCCTAGACCTTGGAAAATTGTTTTAGTTATTATTTTTATTGCTTCATTGTTTAGTCTTTCTACTTAACATAAGAAAATTTTACACACCAAGATTCTAGTGTTATAATATTCTGGCTTTTTCCTGTGTGCTATTACCAATGAATTTTTAACTTTCAGATTATTGCTTATCAATATTATTTTCTGTCAAATTAAAGAACTCCTTTTAGGATTTTTTGTAGAACACGTCTGGTGTTGAGGAAATCCCTCAGCTTTTATTTGTCTAAAAACATCTTTATTTCTCCTTCATGCTTAAACTATATTTTCCCAGATGTACTATTCTATGGTAAAAGTTTTTTCCCTCCTCACATTAAATATGTTATGGCACTCTCTCCTGGACTGTAAGGTATCCACTGAAAAGTCTGCTGTCAGACATATTGGAGCTCCATTATGTGTTATTTGCCTTTAGCACAGTTTCTTTACACTTGATGGTTGGTAGTTTTAGTAAGTGCCTTGAGGTAGTGTTTTTTGGTGGGGATAAATCTGCTTGGTGCTCCACAACTCTCTTGTAGTTGAATTTTGATACATTTCTCTAGGTTTTGTAAGCTCTCTGATATTATCCTTTTGGATAAACTTTCTACCCCTATCTCTTTCTCTAGCTCTTTTTTTTTCCTCTCTTATTTCAAGTTCGGGGTACTTGTGCAAGTTTGTCATATAGGTAAACATGTCATGGAAGTTTGTTACACAGTATCTTTCATCACCCTGGTGTTAAGGCTAGTCCCCATTAGTTATTTTTCCTGAACCACTCCCTCATCCCACCCTGTGCCCTCTGGTAGACCCAAGTATCTGTTGTTCACTTCTATATGTTTGTGTGTTCTTAACTTTCAGCTTCCACTTGCAAGGGAGAACATACAGTATTTGGTTTTCTGTTTCTGCATTAGCTTGCTAAGTATAATGGCCTCCTGAATTTATTCATATTCCTGCAAAAGACATTATCTCATTCTTTTTTATGACTGTATAGTATTCCATGGTGTATATGTACCACATTTTCAAATTCAGTCTGTATTTGATGGACATGTAGGTTTATTTCGTGTCTTTGTTATTTTGAATAGTGCTGAGATAACCATACCCATGCATGTGTCTTTATGATAGAACAATTTCTATTCCTTTGGGGGTTTACCCAGTAATGGGATTGCTGGGTTGAATATTAGTTCTGTTTTTAGCTCTCTGAGGAATCACCATATTGTTTTCCACAATGGTTGAACTAATTTACACTCTCACCAACAGTATATAGGCATTCCTTTTTCTCTGCAACCTTGCCAGCATCTGTTACTGACTTTTTCATAATAGCCAATTTGACTTGTGTTAGATGGTATTTCATGGTGGTTTTGATTTACATTTTTCTAATATCAGTGATGTTAAGCTTTGTAAAATATGTTTGTTGGCTACATGTATGTCTTTTTATGAAAAGTGTTTGTTCATGTCCTTTGCCCACTTGTTAATAGGGTTGGTTTTTTTCTTGTAAATTTGTTTAAGTTCCTTATAGATGCTGGATATTAGACCTTAGTCAGATTCATAGTCGGCAATTTTTTTTCTCTTACTCTGTAGGTTGTCTGTGTACTCTGTGGATAGTTTCTTTGGATGTGCGGAAATCCTCTAGTTTAATTATATCCCATTTGTCCATTTTTGCTTTTGTTATAATTGCTTTTGGTGTCTTTGTCATGAAATCTTTGCCTGTTCCTAAGTCCAGAATGGTATTTGTCTACGTCCTTTTTAAGCCAATAACTTACATTTTACTTCTTGAAGGTATTTTCTAGATCTTGTAGGTGTGCTTCATTTTTTTTTATTCTTTTTGCTTTTGTATCCTCTGACTGTATTTTCTTTTTCTTTCTTTCTTTTTTTAATTATTATTATACTTTAAGTTCTAGGGTACATGTGCACAACGTGCAGGTTTGTTACATATGTATACATGTGTCATGTTGGTGTGCTGCACCTGTTAACTCGTCATTTACATTAGGTATATCTCCTAATGCTATCCCTCTCCCCTCCCTCCCGACCCCATGACAGGCCCCGGTGTGTGATGTCCCCACCCTGTGTCCAAGTGTTCTCATTGTTCAATTCTCACCTATGAGTGAGAACATGTGGTGTTTGGTTTTCTGTCATTGAGATAGTGTGCTCAGAATGATGGTTTCTAGCTTCATCCATGTCCCTACAAAGGACATGAACTCATCCTGTTTTATGGCTGCATAGTATTCCATGGTGTATATGTGCCAAATTTTCTTAATCCACCTCTGACTATATTTTCAAACAGCCTGTCTTCAAGCTCACTAATTCTTTCTTCTGCTTGTTTAAATGTGCTATTAAGAGACTCTGATGTATTCTTCAGTATGTCAATTGCATCTGAACTCCAGAATATCTGCTTCATTCATTTAAATAACTTCAATCTCTTTGTTAAATTTATAAGACCAAATTCTGAATTCTTTTTATTTGTTATCTCGAATGTCTTTGAATTTCCTCAACAAAGGTACTTTGAATTCTCTGTCTGAAAAGTTACATATCTCTGTTTCCCCAGCATTTGTCCCAATTGCATTATTTAGTTCATATGGTGAGGTCATGTTCTCCTGTATAGTCTTGATGCTTGCAAATTTTGGTCAGAGTCTGGGCACCGGAGCGTTCAGCATTTATTGTAGTCTTCATAATTTGGGACTGTTTGTGCCCATCCTTCTCATGAAGGCTTTTCAGGTATTTAAGGAGACTTGGGCCCCAAACCCAATAATGCTGTGATTCTTTCAGACTCATTAGATGTACCATCTTGGTGGTCTTGCATAAGATCTGGAAAAATTCTCTGGATTACTAGACAGTGACTATTGTTCTTTTCTCTTACATTTTTTCAAACAAATGGAGTTTTTCTCTATGGTCTAGGTCTTCTAGAACTGGGGGTGGAGAAACACAAGCATTCCTGTGTCCACCACTACTGGAATTGTGCTGGTTTAGACTTGAAACCGGCACAGCACTGGGCCTCCCCCAAGGCCTGCTGTCACCACTACCTAGATACCACCTAAGTTTACTCAAGGCCCTTGGGCTCTACAATCAGCAGGTGGCAAAGCCAACTGGGTTTATGTGTTTCCCTTCAGGGAAGCAAGTTCTTTCAGGCCCCAGGTGGGTTCAGAGATGCTGCCTAGCAGCCAGGGACTGAAGTCAATATAACAGGAATTTACCTGGTGTTCTATTCTACCTTGGCTAAGCTTACACTCTCACCAAGAGATGTAATCCTTCCCACTCTTCCCTCCCCTTTGCATAGGCACAGGAGTCTCATCCTGTGGCCACTGCCACCACAGGCCCGCAGTGAGTACTGCCAGACTACCACCAAAGTTTTCTTAAAGCTGAAGAAGGCTTCAATCAGTTTGGGGTTTAAGTTGCCTGTCTGGGGTCTCACCCTTTGGGGCAGTGGGCTGGGAATGTGCTGAGTCTCACATGTCTCAGATCCCACCCAAGGCCCACAGCATACTACCTGGGTATCACTGATGGTTATTCAGGGTCAAAAGGCTCATTAGTCAGCAAGTGATGGGTTCTTCCATGACTAGATTCTTCCTTTCAAGGCAGTGGGTTTCCTAATGGCCACGGTATTTCCAGAAATGTCATCCAAAAGCTAGGGCCTGGAAAGTGGCCTATGACTAACTGGTGTCTTATCTTGCTGTAGCTGAGCTGGTATCCAAGATGTAAGGCAAAGTCCTCTTTATTCTTCCTTTTTCCCTCTTCAGGTGGAAGGGAGGGGTCTCTTTTGGAGCAATGAGCTCTGCAGCTTGGGGTTGAAAGAAGGGTGGTACTCCTTTATCCACCCTGGCTTGTGTCTCAGTAGGTCACATGCCTCTCTAGTTCACTGGCTCTGGGCTCAGTTCAGCACTAAAACTTGCCTTGGAGTTGCAGTCCTTATTCCCTATACTGCCTTTCAAGTTTATTTAGTGCCCCATAGTACTTTAGCTCACTATGGCAAGGCATGTCAGAAGTTCTGACCACTGGGATTAGCAATTCCCCTGTGGCTAGGGCTGGTCTAAATGCTTCCACTGTTGGTGGTCATCAGCTGAGTTACATCTGCTATGACAGGGAAGCAGAGAGTTTATTGCAACGTTGTTCAATTGCTGGGCTCTTCCTCTATCAATTACACAGAGTCTCTGTCCACACCACATGGCCACTGCTGCGGGGAGGCGGCGCAGGGTGACAATAGACAGAAGCAAGACATTTATCTTTCTTATGTTTTCAATGCTTCTTTCAGCAATATGAAGTTAAAACCAGGCACTGGGAGTGCTTACCTGATTTTTGGTTCTTACAAAAGTGCTTCTTTTGTGTAGATAGTCGTTAAATTGGTGTTCTTGGAGTGGTGACAATCAGTGGAGCCTTCTATTAGGCCATCTTGCTCTGCCTTACTCTAGATGAGAATTGAGTGTAACTTCTGAAAGTATTACGCTAAATGTGTCAGCACAATGGTTTAGATGTGAATGTGGGAATTAACTCTTTTCCAGGTTCAAAGCTAGAACTCATGGCCAATCATTTGCTAAGTTTGAACTTTTAATCTTTCTATTGAAATTATGTTTGCAGTGTGCTCAAAGGAAGTAGTCTGAAGTCTAGTGTGCGGTGGAATAAACAGAAGCAGGGAATTAAGCTTTGCCTTGGTTCCAATTCTGGCTCCAACACTTACTGGCTAAGTAATTTTGGTCCACTTAATTAAACAGCATTGCATCTCAGTTTTGTCAGCTGTGAATTAAAAATAATAGTAGTACCTACATAAGATAATTGCTGTGGATATGTAGACAATACATGTAAAGATAAAGAACAATGTCTGGCACAGAGCACATAGTTAATCAATGATATCAGTTATTGATTTTGAACAAGAAATAGAAATAGCAGTCTACAGTAGAGTAGCTGGTATATTCAGGTTGTAAGAATGTAGAGATTTGTTAGCGCAAAAAAAGGAAGCAAAGATATGTAGATGCGGATACTGCCAGCCCTAGGTAATTGTAGGAATAAAGGAATGAGGTAATATTTGCATATTGTAAAATTTAAAAGCAGTGAGAAAAAATGTGTAGGGAAGCAGAATTCCTGGCTGGTAGGCATGTACGAAGTTGGGCTGATGTTAAAAGATACTTTTAGGGCCATATTATTCCTTGCCAGTTTAGAAAACACTCTATGGAAGGAATTCTTAATGATAAAATGTACATGGTGCAGGTACACACACATACACATGCACGTGAGCGCACACACACACACACACGTTGATAGTGTCTACCTGAATAGCTTTCTCCCTACAACTTCTTTTTTTCGAATTCTAGCTATTGTAAATGTTTTTTAATATTAAAACGTATCATTGTAATTACTAACGTAGTAAAAATAATAAAATGAGATCAATTTAAAGGAAATTAATGCAAAGATCAACTTGTGAAGTATTTCCAATATTATTTTTAATGTGACACTATGAATTAATTAATGCATCTATTACAGATCCATGTCTGAAAATTGAAGTTTCATCCTTCTTTTTATATCGACTCATGTTACAGATGATACTAAAAAAAGCCTTGAAATACAGTAGTTTTAAAAAATATGCACTTGATAATTAATGTGAAGGATTGCAATCAATGTCAGTGGTACTTATTCTTTTGTAAGGATTAAAATTTCAATTAACTAACACTGCTATTCAGAGGATCATCTCATCATTGGAAATGGCTACTTTGGGGTCACATTAAAGAAATAAAATCTTTATTCAGGTTAAAATGCAACTTTGTTCAGTTAAAATGACCCATAGAAAGGAGCTCTTCCAACTAATGTATATTCTCATCACATACAAAGTAAAATACAATTAAATTTAGTCCCTCATCCACAGCATCTACATTTAATGGCTAAACTCTGAATCAAGCTCTTTTTCATTTTTCTCCACTTCATTCCTCCTCTTTCTGGATTTTGACCTCTGGGTCTTAGAAGCATGCAAAATATATTGAGAACTTTGATCTCATTAACATGTTTTGCAATTCATTTTTTCTGTTCCTATCTAGTTAAAATAGATTAATACTCACAGATATTGAGATACACAGCCTAGGTCAGTGCACTAAGATATTGCAAGTCATAGCAGACATTTAATTCTTGATTTCTTTTAAAATAATTATTTAAATATTAGAACAAAAGGACATTGAGAGGTTATTTAGTCTACTTCTTGTACCTTAGCCAAAATCATTCCTAAACTACAAGCATAACCATCTTCTTCCTTTACTCCTAGGAAACTCCCACAAAGAAACTTTAGGCTCTATCTTAGCATCTTATTCTAGTCCATAAAAGCACTCAATATTGTCTTAATCACAGATTTAAATATTTGATTTCAATTTATTAAATTTTTATTCTTAGAATGAATAAATAAATGGCTTTCTCCACCATAATCTCTTATTTTTAAATTTCTTGTGTAAATGATTTTTTCTTCTATCTCCTCATTGACATTCTCAATTTCCCAGCAAAAGAGTAACAGATCGTTTACAAATCCTGTACAACAGGATAATAGATTCTTGTAGAGATCCTGTGGTAAATGTCAACAGCATTCAAGTACCACAGATAAAAAATAGTCTGACAGATGAATATTTATTTACTCCCAAATTGCCCCTGATTTTTCAGTTTTAAAAATATTCATGATATTTCTTACAAACTCAAGACAGCTGAGGTGGATTGGATGGTGATAATTAAGATACATACTTTACAAAATATTAATTAATTTATTTGACTCCTTCGGTTTAGCATTTGTTTCCTTTCTGATATCTCTAAACGTTAAAAATTTTGTGGCAAAGTTAAATTTTAAGGTAACTATTATTATTATTATTATTTTACTATGCTCTAAGTTTTAGGGTACATGTGCACAACATGCAGGTTTGTTACCTATGTATGTGCCATGTTGGTGTGCTGCACCTATTAACTCATCATTTAACATGAGGTATATTTCCTATTGCTATCCCTCCCCTCTCTCCCCATCCCACAACAGTCCCCGGTGTGTAATGTTTCCCTTCCTGTGTCCAAGTGTTCTCATTGTTCAATTCCCACCTATGGGTGAGAACATGCAGTGTTTGGTTTTTTGTCCTTGTGATAGTTTGCTGAGAATGATGGTTTCCAGCTTCATCCATGTCCCTGCAAAGGACATGAACTCATCATTTTTTATGGCTGCATAGTACTCCATGGTGTATATGTGCCACATTTTCTTAATCCAGTCTATCATTGTTGGACATTTGGGTTGGTTCCAAGTCTTTGCTACTGTGAATAGTGCCACAATAAACATACATGTGCAGGTGTCCTTATAGCAGCATGATTTATAACCCTTTGAGTATATACCCAGTAATGGGATTGCTGGATCAAATGGTATTTCTAGTTCTAGATCCCTGAGGAATTGCCACACTGACTTCCACAATGGTTGAACTAGTTTACAGTCCCACCAACAGTGTAAAACTGTTCCTATTTCTCCACATCCTCTCTAGCACCTGTTGTTTCCTGACTTTTTAATGATCGCCATTCTAACTGGTGTGAGATGGTGTCTCATTGTGGTTTTCATTTGCCTTTCTCTGATGGCTCTGCACCAAGTGGACCTAATAGACATCTAAAGAAATCTCCACCCCAAGTCAACAGAATATACATTCTTTTCAGCACCACACCACACCTATTCCAAAATTGACCACATAGTCGGAAGTAAAGCACTCCTCAGCAAATGTAAAAGAACAGAAATTATAACAAACTGTCTCTCAGACCACAGTGCAATGAAACTAGAACTCAGGATTAAGAAACTCACTCAAAACCGCTGAACTACATGGAAACTGAACAACCTGCTCCTGAATGACTACTGGGTACATAATGAAATGAAGGCAGAAATAAAGATGTTCTTTGAAACCAATGAGAACAAAGACACAACATACCAGAATCTCTGGGACACATTCAAAGTGGTGTGTAGAGGGAAATTTATAGCACTAAATGCCCACAAGAGAAAGCAGGAAAGATCCAAAATTGACACCCTAACATCACAATTAAAAGAACTAGAGAAGCAAGAGCAAACACATTCAAAAGCTAGCAGAAGGCAAGAAATAACTAAGATCAGAGCAGAACTGAAGGAAATAGAGACACAAAAAACCCTTCAAAAAATCAATGAATCCAGGAGCTGGTTTTTTGAAAAGATCAACAAAATTGATAGACCACTAGCAAGACTAATAAAGAAGAAAAGAGACAAGAATCAAAGAGATGCAATAAAAAATGATAAAAGGGATATCACCACCGATCCCACAAAAATACAAACTAACATCAGAGAATACTATAAACACTCTACACAAATAAACTAGAAAATCTAGAAGAAATGGATAAATTCCTCGACTCATACACCCTCCCAAGACTAAACCAGGAAGAATTTGAACCTCTGAATAGACCAATAACAGGCTCTGAAATTGAGGCAATAATTATAGCTTACCAACCAATAAAAGTCCAGGACCAGATGGATTCACAGCCGAATTCTACCAGAGGTACAAGGAGGAGCTGGTACCGTTCCTTCTGAAACTATTCCAATCAATAGAAAAAGAGGGAATCCTCCCTAACTCATTTTATGAGGCCAGCATCATCCTAATACCAAAGCCTGGCAGAGACACAACAAAAAAAGAGAATTTTAGACCAATATGCCTGATGAACATCGATGCAAAAATCCTCAATAAAATACTGGCAAACCGAATCCAGCAGCACATCAAAAAGCTTATCCACCACGATCAAGTGGGTTTCATCCCTGGGATGCAAGGATGGTTCAACATACACAAATAAATAAACATAATCCAGTATATAAACAGAACCAAAGACAAAAATCACATGATTATCTCAATAGATGCAGAAAAGGCCTTTGACAAAATTCAACAATGCTTCATGCTAAAAACTCTCAGTAAATTAGGTATTGATGGGACGTATCTCAAAATAATAAGAGCTATTTATGACAAACCCACAGCCAATATCATACTGAATGGACAAAAACTGGAAGCATTCCCTTTGAAAACTGGCACAAGACAGGGATGCCCTCTCTCACCACTCCTATTCAACATAATGTTGGAAGTTCTGGCCAGGGCAATAAGGCAGGAGAAGGAAATAAAGGGCATTCAATTAGGACAAGAGGAAGTCAAATTGTCCCTGTTTGCAGATGACATGATTGTATATCTAGAAAACCCCATCGTCTCAGCCCAAAATCTCCTTAAGCTGATAAGCAACTTCAGCAAAGTCTCAGGATACAAAATTAATGTGCAAAAATCACAAGCATTTTTACACACCAATAACAGACAGAGGGCCAAATCATGAGTGAACTCCCATTCACAATTGCTTCACAGACAATAAAATACCTAGGAATCCAACTTACAAGGGATGTGAAGGACCTCTTCAAGGAGAACTACAAACCACTGCTCAATGAAATAAAAGAGGATACAAACAAATGGAAGAACATTCCATGCTCATGGATAGGAAGAATCAACATCGTGAAAATGGCCATACTGCCCAAGGTAATTTATAGATTCAATGCCATCCCCATCAAGCTACCAATGACTTTCTTCACAGAATTGGAAAAAACTACTTTAAAGTTCATATGGAACCAAAAAAGAGCCCGCATCACCAAGTCAGTACTAAGCCAAAAGAACAAAGCTGGAGGCATCACACTACCTGACTTCAAACTATACTACAAGGCTACAGTAACCAAAACAGCATGGTACTGGTACCAAAACAGAGATATAGACCAATGGAACAGAACAGAGCCCTCAGAAATAATGCCACATATCTACAACTATCTGATCTTTGACAAACCTGAGAAAAACAAGCAATGGGGAAAGGATTCCCTATTTAATAAATGGTGCTGGGAAAACTGGCTAGCCATATGTAGAAAGCTGAAACTGGTTCCCTTCCTTACACCTTATACAAAAATTAATTCAAGATGGATTAAAGACTTAAATGTTAGACCTAAAACCATAAAAACCCTAGAAGAAAACCTAGGCAATACCATTCAGGACATAGGCATGGGCAAAGATTTCACAACTTAAACACCAAAAGCAATGGCAACAAAAGCCAGAATTGACAGATGGGATCTAATTACACTGAAGAGCTTCTGCACAGCAAAAGAAACTACCATCAGAGTGAACAGGCAACCTACAGAAGGAGAGAAAATTTTTGCAATCTACCCATCTGAAAAAGGGCTAATATCCAGAATCTACAATGAACTCAAACAAATTTACAAGAAAAAAACAAACAACCCCATCAAAAAGTGGGCGAAGGACATGAACAGACACTTCTCAAAAGAATACATTTATGCAGCCAACAGACACATGAAAAAATGTTCATCATCACTGGTCATCAGAGAAATAAAGTAATTGTTAAGGAAATATTTCTGTGGCAGTTAGCCTCAGCCTAGTGTTGAAGAGGTCAACATAGAAAAAAGATGACACTGAAAAGTTTTTATATTTAAATATGAGAGAGACTTTCTTTTACACTATTTCTCTGTATTTCAATGTTTTTTAAAATTTCCATATTCATGTACATTCAAACTTACTTGTTTCTGAATAAATCTCTGTCTAGCCTAGTTTCCACCCAAAGTTGTCGTTGTTCCTTGTGAGATGGAGTTCATTAGGATACCATTGTTAATTTTGAAATTCATAGTATGATCTAAAAGTTGCCAATTACAATTTTTAATAAAAATAATATTACCCCAAGACTCAGCATTGGCAGTGATGAGAATAATCAGTTTTTAGAATTTATGGAAGTTTAATCGTCTTCATAGAATTTTCCACACAATAGAAGCCAGGCCATGTTTAGGCAAATCCTGACTGAGGGAAACTTACACAGTATTGTGATGGGTTTTAAGCATAATAACTTTAATATTTTATCTATCCACTATACATCCTGATACAACTTTATAATTAACAAAAAAGAAAGAAAGAGAAAGATTAAAAACAAGAGGAAAAGCATACACTGAGGACATCTTACCAAGAGGGTCAGATTGTCATGCCCACCTCTGCCCTTTGTCTAGATTTATCTCAGATTCTATTTTAATCTCATTACTTTTGGCATTTTGTGCTTTTAAGGTTGCAGGAAGAAAAGAGGACGATATTAAGCTATATTAGACACCTTGATGTCCTATGGCAAGCCTAGAAAACCCCTCTAAATGTATATGATTTTCATGTATTTATTAAGTAGTCCAAGGTTTGAAAGTGTGTTATTTTAACAGAGGTGTTCTACTTAATTGGCCAGGAAGGCAAATAACTATGGTGGGCATTTCAGTCATGCAGCACTATAAGTCAGCAAGGAGGAAAGGAAGAAAGTTTGCCTCCGTTTCCAGGTATAATTAACAATACCATAACTCAACAGCCTGAGACTCCTAGTTGGTTGTTTTTCTCAATCTTAAACTAAACTTGGCAGCTAACTCACTCAGGACAAGAAAAGTACAATTATTAAAAGATAAAAGCATCCATATGCAAATTATTCAGCTACTTGATCTCTTGAAGCATTTACTAGATATTTGTCCAAATACATTTTTAAATATTTCACATTGCCCTAAAATTTTTCTCAGAAGCATTCATGTATTTGTAAAATGTTTGGAATCAAGTATGCTAATATATATTTAATTCAAGAATGAATGTTTTAAAGGATGAATGTCTACTGAAATTGCTTTTATAAATAATGTATTTCAAAATAAATTTTAGTTTTCATAAGGGCTTATATTTTAAAATGAACAATAAAACATAAAAGCACCCAGTTTTTAAAATTAGTTATCAGAGAAAGACTTGTAAGTATTAAGTTTTATGATCTACATAGTAGGTATTTAAGACACATTTTAAAGTAATTTTTATGACAAGCATACATTTATGTTTGCAGAGAATTTAATAAAATCTTCACATCTATACATATAGCTTAAATACAATTTATGAATGCATTTTTTACTCTTAATACATTTTCTCCCTTAAATTTATTTCTTTAGAACTTTCTTTTATAAAATAAATTACAGTTTAAATGTTTAAAATGTAGTCAGACACAAAGACTATGGCATTTTGGTGAACTTGTTTCCTTAATGTGAATAATGATAACATCTTTGCATGCATAAAATTTCTTGAAGAGTAGTCAAACATCTTTTAGATTAAAATAAAATTTAGTTGTCAAGTAAAGGAAAATCTAATTGCTTTACAAACTCTGAATTTACAGTAAACTGGAAAGCAGCTCATATATGAATTTCTTATACAGCTTCTTGAAGTTGTAAATTGAAGAAAACGTATGCAAATTGCTTGAGGAAAATATGTTACTCTGTTTATGTTAAAAGCTGTAAGCAAGACAAGTTAATTGAAATTGGGTGCATTGCTATATGTTGCTTCAAGCTCCTTTAGTTATGAAGCTGAAGAGATATTTAATTATAAGTTCTTATAAGAATATCCACATGACAGAGGGAAAATGTAACTTAAAAACATTCAGAGACAAATTCGGGGAATAAAAGGAAATAGAAAACAAAAGCAAAGGAAGTAGATATGTTTCTAGATTCTTCAAAGATATACCTGTTTATAATTTACAAAATTATGGATGTGAAGTGTTTGTCATAAAACTATGTTTGCATTGGCAAGGGAATTAACCAATCAATTAACATCCTTATGCTATATTTGCTATGGGATTATAATGTTCCACATGATGCGAGCTGGCCTTAAGGATGAATTGAAATTCTCCTGTTAGAGATAAAGAGGGAAGGAGTGCTGGTCAGGGGCGATAATCTGATGAAAAAGCACTACTATATGACCCAAGGGGAGGGTCTAAAAGGGATGTCTCGGAAGAGAGTTGCCTCTCCAGAACCTACAACCCGAGCTCAGTCAGGCCCTCTGGCCTGCTTAAAATAGCCTCTGACTCTCTAGAGTTCATCACCTGCTACGCCATAGAAGTCAATGAAGAGACACAAAAATGTCCTGATTGATGCTGTTTTTTTTTTAAATATTGCTATTCCCAATACCATATGTAACACTAACATTTAAAAAGTCTTGCATTTTTATTACTGTAGGACTTAGTCATAGCCATTGACGGTCTGGCACAACAAGAGCATCCCTTATAAATGAGAGCATTTTGGACACTGTAACCAGAGGTGGTAATGCAAGGAAGTATTGTTAATACCCACAGTGCATTGCATCCTGGCAGAAAACAGTGGGTCAGACTGTGAAAGCCACAAAACAAACACGCATGAACAACTAACAGCAATAAAACAAAGGTCCATAAAACCCCAAAATCTCCAGATACAGAAATTGTGCAACTAACCATGTAATCCCCCAGGCCTCCTTAGAAGACCTCTGTGTTGTAAGAGATGGAAGGTTTAAAAACAAAATAAAGTGACTGCACATGAAGCTTGCACTGCCAAAAACTAAAGTGCTGTTTAACCATGGCTACTTGGGTGTAACTAAATGGCTGCATTTTCATTAATCCATAACTTACCTCAGAGCAATTGCTTTTTTTTAGGGTTCCTTGATGTGTTAAATATTATTAGTTATGTTATTATCCAAGTAACTTTCAATGTAATTCAATTGCTCCTCTCCTTCTACTAAGAAAATTCTGAATACACCTCTGTTCAAGCAGATAATCTTAGGGAGTGTCATTCTTCTCTCTGCCCTCTCCATGTTTATATGGCCCAGTCATTCCTTTAAGATTTTGTGCAAAGATGTGTCTTCCCAGTCTTGAGGTTTACCTGCCTTTCTGCATCATGGGTTCCCATGCTGACTAACGCTACATTAACATGCAAATTTCTTTCTTTCTTTTTTTTTTTTTTTTAGATAAAGTCTAACCCTGTCGCTCAGGCTGGAGTGCAGTGGCGTGATCTCAGCTCACTGCAACCACCGCCTCCCGGGTTCAAGCGATTCTCCTGTCTCAGCCTCCTGAGTAGCTGGGATTACAGGCACCCACCATCATGCCTGGCTAATTTTTGTATTTTTAGTAGAGACAGGGTTTCACCAGGTTGGCCAGGCTGGTCTCCAACTCCTGACCTCGTGATCCTCCCACCTCAGCCTCCCAAAGTGCTGGGATTACAGGCATGAGCCACCGCACCCAGCTGCAAATTTCAAATTTTAATGTGCTCATTATTTTTAACTTAAAAAAATATAAATTTGTATGAAGTGTACTGCATTCATAAGGAACAGTTTATAATACTCTATGCTTTTAAAATACAGCTAACTTTCGTCATTTAGCATTAGGGTTAATGGGTGCAGCACACCAGCATGGCACATGTATGCATATGTAACTAACCTGCACATTGTGCACATGTACCCTAAAACTTAAAGTATAATAATTAAAAAAAAAAAGAAAAGCAGTAAAAAAAAATAAAAAAATAATAAAATATAGCTAACTTTCAGAAAAGAGTTTTATCTAATGAAGACTTTTATAAAATTACAACTGATTTTAGTGGATTTTATTAATCCCCAGCTTGAAGAAAAGTGCTGAAAAACCCTGTATTAGGTTGACCTGCTTTCCTCTTTTTGTGCTATTTCCTACAGCACCACCCACGTCGTGTCTGCAAATTAGCCACCTGTACACAAAGAGAGAGCATGCCAGAATCTTACAACTATATAATTTTGGTAAGTGAGCTAAAATGTATATTCTCTGCTTGACACTTCAGATTCTGTAAGAATGTCAACATTCTTTGTACTACTGGAAGATCCTATTTTAACACTGAAAAAAAAAGTTTGATGACAAAAAAAGAATCTGCACTTCTTAAGCCATGAAAGAATAGCCAGATGGTAAATGACGCTGAGTGTTTTATCAGCAGACTATGATTCTCCGACTGGAGGCCAATATAATGCACTTGGAGTATTCTAGGTAAAAAGGCAGAGAGGGGAGGGGAAAGGCAGCCGGCCAGTGAGTAAACCAACAGGGGATTTTTTACAAAGAACTTCTCATCAATAAAGGACTTTTTGATGATCCTCTCAGAAAAGCCAAACATTGTTTTAAATATTAGAAATGTACTGAACATAAAGATCAATAGATTAAAAATTCAATAGCATAAAATACTTTCTAAAAGCATTTAGAAGAAGCTATCCTATTGCAGATCATACACTGAAAGTTTTAGTTGAAAATATAAAAATTCCTCAAGGTTGTTTCAGTTTGATGTTTTTATCATCAAGCATGCTATTTTCCAGTCTGCATTTTAAAAATTAATAGAGAATAAATTTATTTTCATGATGTTATGGGCACAGTTTCTTGTCACTTGTTAGCTGTGTAAAAGTTTCAAACCACGGAAACTTATCAGATTCTCTGAATTTATTTGAACACATTTTCTTATATATAAAGATGAAGGTTCCTGAGTTCCTAGGACATAGGAACCATAGAATGGTTCTTACAACATAGTTGATCTTTAAACAATGTTATCTCTCCTTCTTTCTTTATTTCCTTTCTATGAATTTAAGCATATTAAAACCTTGTTTGGGAAAATGCATTTTCTTATTTTTGCAACATTTTATTTGGAAAAATTTATTTCTTAAAAAATAGAATAGAATAAGTGAAAGTGTATAAAACTACTAATAGTGGACTATTTCTAACTTACAAAACCATCAGTGTACTTGGTGAAGAGTGTTTGCATTTAAATTGAACTACACGAGACGGTTATTTTTATAGATAAAAATGTTCAAATAGCAGCAGCTTTATGAAATATATGGTTCAATATAAATACAACAAACACTTCTATACCCTTCCACTTAGGTTTAACAATTGTCAATGTTTTGCACATTTATTCACTCTTTTTCTAGATTAAAAAAAATACAGGTGCACAGACATACAGATATAGCTATCCCTGAATCTATCATTTTACCTATCTACCTGCCTATCTCTCAATCTATCCATCCATCTATCATCATATTTTTTGATTGAGCTAAAACCAAACTCTCTCTACACACAGATGAACACACACAGACACAGACACACACACATACACACACACACACAAACACAGACGATACTCACAGTATTTCTTGTTTTTTTTTAAAGATACTACTCCATTGGGTGGAGTGTATTATAGATTTATCAGCCTCTTGATGAGAATTAAGGACACTTCCAATATTTTGCTCTTATAAATAATTTTATAATGATTAACATTATAATCTGACTGAATTAATTTCCTGGAAGCAGAATTGTTGAGTGAATGGGTAAATGCATACATAATTACGTTATATACTGCCAAATGGCCCTCCAAAGAGGAGTACCATTTAAAATCCTAGTAATGTAAGAGAGTGCCTGTTTCCTCACAGGGCCACACACATAATATGCTGTCAATCTGTGAACAGTCTAACAGGTGAGAAAGAGTATCATCGTATAATTTTGTTCCATGTTTCCATTATTATAAGAGAGACTGAGTGTATTTTTGTTTGGTTAGTTGGTTTTATGAGGGGCATTTTTACAAAATAATTTACAGCTTTTAAAACTGTATTTGAAGCATTAGATCTTTATCTTTGACACATTACAAATATACTCCCAAATTGTCATTTATTATTTTGACTTTTCATGTGACATATTTTCCAGGCCATTTTTGGTAGTAAATTTATCATTTTTCTTTGTTGCAGACCCAGGTTATAAAGAAAACTACTCATGTTTTTTTCAATGATTGTATGGTTTCATTTTTATATTTTAATCTCTTATCCATTTTGAGTCTATTCATTATTTCTACTTTATTTAAGATATAGCTACAATTTGATCCTTTTCTAAAAAGCTATCCAGGTTATTGATAACCATTTACCTCAAAGTCCGTGCTTTATCTAGTGATTTAAATGCTATCTTTCACATGTACCAAATTTCCGTATGAATTAGTTCTGGGTCTGAAATTTATTTTCTGTTCCACAGGTCTATCACTATACTTACATCTCCATACTACTACACTCTTATTTTTTTAATTGAGGCTTTGTAATATGTTTAAAATCTAGTAGTGCCTTTGGCAGAGCTCCTTCATATCTCTTTCCTTCAGTTTCTTCTGTGCTATAGTAGCATGCTATTTTTATTTTTTAAATTTAAACTTTAGAATCAATATGTCTAGTTCGAGGTGAAAAAAATTCAAATAAACAAACATTTCTTCATTTGACATTTTGTGATTTAAAAAATTAACATGCTTACATTAAAAGTATATCTTCATTTGTTTAAGTATACCTGTTTGTCCTTTTGTAGTGTTTACTATTTCTTGTCTGGATAAAGCTTCTCCCTTACCCAATGCCATGGGAATGTCTCTTTTTTTTTTTCCCTAGGAGACAGGGTCTTGCTCTGTTGTCAAGGCTGGAGTACAGTGGTACAGTCATGGCTCACTACAGCCTTAACCTCCTGGGCTCAAGCTATCCTCCTACCTCAGTGTCCTGAGTAGCTAGGACTACAGGCACTCATCACCACACCTGGCTAAATTTTTTCAAAAAAGTTTCTGCATGTTGCCTAGGCTGGTCTTGAACTACTGGGCTCAAGAGATCCTCTAACCTTGGCTTCGTAAAGTGCTGGGATTACAAGCGTGAGCCGCTGAGCCACCATGCCTGGCTGGAAATGCCTCTTGAGTACAGTATTTTCTGAATACTTACAGATTTACTATTGTTCTCCTATAAGCTTGATACTTTAAGAACCACATAGCTTGTTCTTAAAGACCTAAAATCTTTTGCTCATAGTTTACTTGCAAAAGGCATAATTGAAAAACTGAGAAACACTAAGTTTTCTTGTATGTGTTTATTGGCCTATATTTTTCTTTATATAAAAAGTCTAATAATTGTATGAAGCTCTGTCTCAGAGTTCACTGTTTCAGGACATTTGTTCCAGGTACATAATGGGCTTTTATCATATGTAAACTGTGTCATTTATTTCCAGGAAGTTTTTGTTCACTGAAGTTTTAAATATTAGTTTACTCCATTATTTTTCCTTTTTAAAAAATGCTCAAATTTTATTTATGGTGATGCATACATGTAGGTAACAGAACCATCTTTAAGAATGTTATCTACATCATTTGCTTTATCTGATTCCTTTTACTTTTTTAGTGATTTTATTTTGTTCTCACAGATGTTTTCATGTGTATTTTTAAATGATGTTCATTATGTTTTCAGTAACTCCTATTTTGTCTTCACATCTTATATTGTCATTTTTCTTTCCAAGGTAACTTTTTCTTCCATTTCTTCAATGAGTTACATCAACTTTCATTTCACATTTTGTATGACTTTTACCTCTTGTGTTATCATATTTTGGATCATGAATTCAAAATTTTTAATCTATAAATGTCTGATTAAACACAGTTAATTATATTGAAGAGTTGTGTCACAGTTTCCTTTTGCTTGTTGTTGTTGGGTGGAGATAATTTTCATCAGTTAAAATATTTTGATCCTTCTTGTTATTTTATCTGTTTGCTACTTTTTGTTCATTTTAAGTGCATCAACAAGCTTTGTGTAGAGAATGATAAGGGATGTCAGTTGCTGCAGCAACATTGTTGGTGTCCTGCTCAGATATTCTAAGATCTTTTTGCTGATTAGATATGGCATTCCCTAAATGCTGTGGCTATTGCTGCTAGTGCTTCACACTTTCACATTCCTCTAGAAGTTGACACTTGGACAACTCAAACTGCGTCACCTGGATATGCCTGGGAATTTAAGTTTCCCTATGACAACTCTGTGATTATCTCTGCAGACCTACAGGAACCCAGCTCCCTGCTTGAAGGTGCAGAAAAGTCTAGGGTTCAATTTGTGCTACAGGGTTTCCTGTAAGATAGAATGAATCTGAACTTCCCCTGAAACCACAAGCTTGCTTATCGGTCTTCCCTTCCTATTTTGCCTCCCTCCCTGTTTTCTTCTTTTTTCCTAATTTTTTTTCCCTCCAGTTTATCCAGAGCCTATTCATTTAATACCTTTCTTGTACATGGAATCCTATTTCAGCCATGTGTTTGAATGAACCCAACCTAAGACAGCCATTTACTAGCTTTTGTTGTAGCTGTTCTTTATTCAAGGGCATTTTGTTGGAAAGGCACTTTGTATGTCTTCTGACTTTATGATTTAATTTTCCTTCATCAAGACTCTCAAATTCAACTTTTTAATTACTTTTTATTTACATACCCAAGGGTATCTTACCTAGCCAAGTCACCTGCTCTTAATCAAAACAACACACTACATCTGTCCTTGTGCATGTTCAAGTCTTGCCTTTGGATTCCCCAAAGGCAGTGTTTTGGTTTATCAATTTTTAATCCTATTTTTTTCTATTTCCCAATTCCTGGTAAGACTTTCTCTTTCTGAGGCTGATTCATTGGTTATATTCTTATGAACTTCCTCTCTTCTTTCTTTCACCAAGTCTTCACCCCACTCTCTACTCACTGTGGGCTCTGGAGTTGATTCTGTTAATTTTGGTTATTAATTTTTTTCCTATCTATATGTGATATTAAGTTATTTGGAGTGTGTGCTTGTCTTACTGATGTTTTGTGAGTTGTTTAGAAGGACATATAACAGTTGGATTTATTCCTTTTTTAATTTCTTTATTCATAAATTTCAGTTTCAATAAGTATACCCCCAAGCCCAAGGGATTGAGTACACTCAGGTGACATAGAAACTACCAATGAGTCTCCTTAGTAATTTTCTAAGCAAGAATGCAAAAAAAAAGATTAAAAAATGACCTTCTTTAGACTTTAACTGTACTACTTCTATAAACTGAATTATACCTTATACATCTATAAGGAAACCATGAGACCCTGCCAATTTGAAATGAAGTACACATATGCTTTTTATTCATGAAAGAACTACCAAGGTTTTCTTTACTGCAAAGAGTTTGCTGGAAACAAAACAACTCGACTACATAAAGGAAAATTCTTCAACTGAAATTTCTTAATCTGGTTAAAATGGGTAAAATTTCTGCCTCATTATAAAATAGCTATTTGTTTTCTTAATTTGTTATATTTTTAGAGTAATTATTTAAGTACCTTATTTGTTTATATTATTTTTATTACAAAATAAATTAAATGATAAAAGAAAACTTACAAAGATTCTGTGGCACTATCTGTTTTGCTCAAGCAAAATGAGATACCAAATTGACAATAAATCAAACAATGTTCATATGTTTTTAATATGCAAAATATATCACCTTAATAAATAACATGATTTTTAGAGCCAGCTGGAGAATTAAAAAAAATTTGTCTGTAGTTTCATTATTTTTAATTGTTTTGACTATTTAAAGTCATTGTAATAAGAATGTGTCATTGTGATAAGAAGCAATATAAGGAAATCCTGTTTACTGAAAATCACTATTGGTTGGGAGAGGTGACTGTGGCCTGTAATCCCAGCACTTTGGGAGGCTGAGGTGGGAGGGTCATTCAGGTCCGAAGTTTGAGACAAGCCTGGTCAACATGGGGAAACCCCGTCCCTACTAAAAATACAAAAATTAGCCTGGTGTGGTAGCGCACACCTGTAATCCCAGCTACTGGGGAGGTTGAGGCAGGAGAATCACTTGAACTCCGGAGGCACAGGTTGCAGTGAACCGCGATAGCATCAGGGCACTCCAGCCTGGGTGGCAAAGTGAAACTGTGAGAAAGCAGGCAAGCAAGCAAGCAAGCAAGCAAGCAAGCAAGCAAGCAAGACAGACAGACAGACAGAAGTGAGGGAGGGAGGGAGGAAGAGAAGGAGTCAGGGAGGGAGGAAAGGAAGGAAGGGAAGGGAAGGAAGGAACTCACTACTTTAAAAATATTTTATTTCTACATAATTGGGACTACAGATATTTAACAATAACAGGTGTAGTTTTTTCATTTATCCTCATTAATAGAATACAACAGTATTTTAATAGCTTGATCACAATACCTTTTTTCGTAGTGTATAAACTGCATGTTTATTTCTAAATCTTCAGATCCTGTAAGAGTACGTAAGATAGAGGATGCATATTTATTAAGTCATGAAATAGTGCATTTTTAAAAAAAAACATATTTTACTTCTAGTTGGACTGCAGTCCTCATTCTCTTCATATTTCTATAGATAACTTCTTTGGTTCTCACTTTAAAAAACACTTTCTCAAAAAGGTGTTCTCTGATCTCCGTGACTAGTACAACTCATCTGGATATCAATACACTTTGAAGCTCTCATCAATAATCTTTTTTCATAGTTGCAATTTTACATGTATTTATCAATATTTCATTAATATCTGTTTCTCTGTATTAGTTTCTTAGGGCTGTCAGTGTCATAAAACAAACAAAATTTATTCTGTCACGGTTTGGGAGACCAGAAGTCTGAAATGTAGGTGTTGGCTGGGTTGATTCCTTCTGAAAGGTCTAAGGGAAAATTTATCCTATACCGCTTTTCTAACTTCTAGTGGTTGCCAGCAATCTTTGGCATTCCTTGGCTTTTAGCTGCACCATTCCAGTCATTGCCTTCATTATCAGATAGGCTTTTTCCCTTTGTGCCTTCACATGGCTTTCTTATAAGGATACCAGTCATTGGATTTAGAACACATCTTAATTCAGTATGACTCCATCTTAACTAACTGCATCTGCAAACATCCAGTTTCCAAGGGGACATTCTGAGGTTCTGGGGGAATACTGTTCAACTCATAATCCCCCTTCTCTAGATTTTGAGTTCTAAAGGACAGAAATAGAGAAGGTTTTGGACACCATTGTCTTCCTATCACTCATCAATGTAGATAATAAATATACAGTAACAACCCCCATTCCAACCTTGCCTGATTACAAATATTTTGTGGTACTTGTAGAAATAGTAATTATCAGAATTTGAGACTTTCAGTGCAATAGTTTCTTATTGATAAAAACTACTGAACAACATCAGTCTAAATCCCTGTCATTTTGCAACTGGAATTATAAATGGAGAGTAGATGGGAAGGAATATATATTTTAAGAGGCAAAAGGTAATGTTATGATAAAGCTTCAAGAATCACAATTTTCTTAACTGAAAAATTTAGCCAGCTTGAGAAATTATTACAATTACTGGCTATGAGGTAGACAGTATAGATATTTCAGAATTCATTACTTTCTTTCTTTCTTCTTTTTTTGTTTTGTTTTGTTTTGTTTTGTTTTTGCTTTATGCCTCTGGTGGCAATTTAATTGTTCTACTGTCATGGCAATGCCTATGATACTGCCTCATAGTGGCAAAAGTCTGGCACAGACCTGAGATTATTGCAATAAACACTTGAAATTAGATGAAACCACTTCACATTATTTTGAGGACTCTGTTATCAAAATAATGAAAAAAGAATCATAAAATTCTTGTTTAAAATAACCAAGGAAATTTAAAATAATATCCTAAATTTTCTCTGCTTCTTTTCATGAACCAGTTTCTTAAATGTGAATGAGTTATACCAACTATTCTGATATGAGCTGGAGATCTCTTATGGATTTTTGAATATTGGATTCATTTTCACATCACAAGAAAAATGTTTTATCCAAGGCATTAATATGGATAGCTCTTGGGTATTTCTATAAAGTAACTAAAATAATGTATCCATTATCAATTCTTTTTGTGTTTGGGGGGGCCGTTACTGCCAAGAGCATGAGGAGATTTTCTGAAGTGATAGAAATGGATTATGATGGTAGAGGTGGCTATATGACTGTATACATTTTTATAAACTTATCAAGTTGTACACTTAAAGCCAATTAATTATATTACATAAAACAATACCTTAATAAGCTAATTGGTAAAATGTTTGGTTCTTCTGTTTTGCTGATGACCTAAGGATATGTTTAATTTGCCTAATATCTGATATTAACTCAAGAGGGTTTTATTATTTATGTTTTGCTCTGTGTATAAAGCTGTTTGTAATTAGAGTAGGGAGTCATTTTCTCAATAACATCTGTCATTTCATGAATAAGCACAGTGAAAACAAACTAAAGTGAAGAGCACCATCTGTGGGGAACAGCATCCTTGAGGAAGTTTGCAAGATGGACCTGGATTCAAATAGCTGCCTGACATTTTGGACAGCTTTCATATGCTGAAAAATCTATTCCTAAAAGAAATGTTCTTTGGCTGATGATGAAGGATCTTAGTTCTAAACAAGTTTTTAAACAAGTTCATGTGTGTTGAAAAATATTTATTATATTAAAGTGTCTCTAATAGAGACTTGAATGTATTGCTTACTTTTAAATAAGAGCAGTGATGTCTTTTTAAATAGCACAACACTTCAATGGATCTTCTTGCTACCAATTCAGAAACAAAGGAAAAGCTTAAAACCATAATTGATAAATTTAATCATTCAGAAGTGTATTTTTTTTCCTGAGATTAAGTTCATTTTTCTCCCTTGAGTTAAACAGTCTAGGAAGAAAATGTAATACAACAATGTTCCCAGTTATCCATATATTACGAACACAGATGATTTTCACAGTTAACGTAACACTTATCACCTAGGAGTCTGCAGAACCTCCCTGCCATGCTCACGTGGTTAAAGAGTGCCTGGGCTGAAGGGACATCCAGGAAAAATGAGAGACCCCAGGCCAAGAAGACTTGTGAGGGATCTAGGGATACTAGGTCCTCTGGGAGTAAAAGAAAGGAAGCCCAATTTATCAGAAAGATTCAGCCATATACTTAGGAAAATTGATAGCACCTGTCCTATATCCGAGTGGCATTGCTCTTGGTCATGTCACTCTTTCCCACAGATACCATTAGCACCTTCTTTCTCCCACCTGCTCTTCCCTCCCTACCCTCCCCTTCTTCCTTATGTCCTCTTCCCTCCCCTCCCCTTCTTCCTTCTGTCCTCTTCCCTCCCCTCCCCTCCTCTTCAATTTTTGGAAGTGTTTCCTCCTCTCCAATTTTGTGGATAAGTTTGAGAAAATTGTTAAATCTTTTTTGTTTACCAGCGACACCATCTGGTCCCAGGTTTTTCTTTGTTTGGAAGTTTGTATTACTGATTCAACCTCTTGTTATTGGTCTGTTCAGATTTTCTAAATCTTTATTATTTAGTCTTCGCACGTTTACTCTTTCTAGGGATTTGTCCATTTTCTAGATATCCAATTTGTTGGTGCATAATCATTTACAGTAGTCAGTCATAATCTTTTGTATTTCAGTGCTATCAGCTGTGATGTCTCTTTTGTCATTTATAATTTTATTTATTTGAATCTTCCTTTTTCTTAGTCTAGCTTAAAGTTCATTGATTCTGTTTTTTCCCCAAAAAACTGACTCAGTTTTATTGATTTGTTCTATTGTTTTTCTAGTCTCTTTTTCATTTATTTCTACTCTGATCATTGTTTTCTCCCTCTGCTAACTTTTGGCTTCGTTTTTCCTTTTTCTAGTTCCGTGAGGTACAAAATTAGGTTGTTTATTTCTTTTTCTTAGTATAAGCATTTATTGTTAAATTAAGAAATAATAAATGGTATAAAGGTAGTTAGTTGGGCTCTTTATTTCTTTGTCCTAATGTAAGCATTTATTGTTATAAAATTTACTCCTTTTGCTATTGATTTCTAGTTTCATGCCATTGTAATTAGTAAAATGTAACTGACATAATTTCAATCTTCTTCAACTTTTAAAGACTGGTTTACTGGGCTAACATAGTGTCTATTCAGGAGTGTTCCATGTGCTCTTGAAAAGAAAGCATATTATGCTGTTGGATGGAATGTTCTGTATATGTCTATTAGATACTTTTGTTCCAGAGTTTTGTTCAAGTCTTCTGTTTCTTTATTGACTTTCTTTCAAGATGACTTATTAATATTGAAAGTGGGGTACTGATGGTGTTGATGTCCCCCACTACAATTATATTGTTGTTTATTTCTCCCTTCACTTCTGCAATATTTATTTTACATATTTAGGTGATCTGATGTTGGGTGAATACATACTTATAGTTGATGCATCTTCTTGATGATGACACCCTTATTATTATGAAAGACCTTCTTTGCCTCTTGCAATAGTTTTTAACAGGGAGTCTATTTGTTTTCACATAATTATAGGCATCCTTGCTCTCTTCTAGTTACCATTTGCATGGATTATCTTTTTCCATATCTTTGTTTTCAGCCTATGTATATCTTTAAAGCTAAAATTAGTTTCTTGTAGGTAGCTGATATGGTTTCGCTGTGTGTCCCCACCAAAACCTCATATTGAACTGTGATTCCAAGTTTTGGAGGTGGGGCCTGGTAGGAGGTGATTGAATCATGTGGGTGGTTTCTAATAGTTTAACACCATCCCTCTAGTGCTGTCTCTTGATAGAGTTCTCATGAGATCAGATTGTTTAAAAGTGTGTAGTATTTCCCCGTATCTTGCTCTCTTCTGCTCCAGGATGGTAAGATACATTTGCTTCCCTTTTGCCTTCTGCCATCATTGCAATTTTCCATAGACCTTTCAGCCATGCTTCCTGTACAGGCTGTGGAACTATGAGTCAATTAAACCTCTTTTCTTCATAAACTACCCAGTCTCTCTCAGGTGGTTCTTTATAGCAGTGTGAGAATGGACTAATGCAGTAGAATAGAGTTGGAAATTGTTTTTTTGCGTCTTTTCGTTACAGAATGTAATGCCTTTATATTTAAAGTGATTATTGATAGGTAAGGGCTTATTGTTGCCAATTTGTTTTCTTCTGACTTGTTTTAGTTTCTTTCTCTTTTGCCATCTCATTTTTGTTTCAATAATTTTATAGTGTTATGTTTTGTTTCTTTTTTCTCTATCTTTTCTGTATCTGATTACCATGAAGTTTAGATGAAACATCTTACAGCTATAAAACTTCATTTTAAGCTGATCGCAACTTATCTTTGATCACACACCAAAAAACTACTCTTTACAAATTCTCTCTTCACTGACATGTTAATAATGTCACTATTGATATATTTTTAGAAAGTGTATATGTATTGGTTTGTTCTTACACTGTTATAAAGAACTACCTGTGACTGGGTAATTTACAAAGAAAAGAGGTTTAATTGACTCACAATTCTGCATGGCTGCGGAGGCCTCAGGAAACTTACAATCAAGGTAGAAGGTGAAGGGGAAGCAAGGCATGTCTTACATGGGGCAGGAGAGAGAGAGAGAATGAGGTGGTGCCACACATTTATCAAACAACCAAATCTCATGAGTACTCCATCACAAGAACAGCAATGGGGAAGTCCATTCTCATGAGTCAATCACCTCCCACCAGGTCCTTCCTCCAACAATGGGAATTACAATTCACCATGAGATTTGTGTGGGGACAGAGCCAAATGATATCAATATTCACTAATGAATTATTGTAACTATATTTTTTAATAATTTGTCTTCTTATGTTTATACCATGTTAATAGTGATTTATGTATCACCATTTATAAGTGTATTCTGAATTTGGCTATATTCTTATCTTTATCAGTAAGTTTTGTACTTTCACGTTTTCATGTTGCTATTTACCATTACTTTGTTTTAACTTTAGGAATTCCCTTGTTGGAGAGGTTTAGTGGTGAATTTCTTAAGCTTTTGTTTTTCTAGAAAATTCTTTATCTCTCCTTCATTTCTGAAAGACAGCTTTGCCAATTAAAGTATTTTTGGTTGACAGATATTTTTTCTTTGTTTTGACACTTTGAATACGTCAACCTACTTTCTCTGACCTGCAAAGATTTTGCTGAGAAATCTGCCATTAGTCTCATGATAATTCCCTTGTATGAAATCAGTTTCTTTTTCTTACTGCTTTCAAAATTCTTTTTTTCTTTAACTTTGTTTTTTAATTATTTGACTTTTGACAATTTAATTATAATGTTTCTCAGTGAAGATCTCTTGATGTTCACTTATTGTGGTTCTTTAGCCATTATGTATCTGGATGTTCATTTCTCTTTGAGATATGAGAAGTATTTGTCATTATTTTTTAAATAAGCTTTTGTTCCTTTCTCTTTCTCTGTTCCTTCTGAAACAGCAATAATGCACACTGTATTTTGCTTGATGATGTTCATTAGTTCCTATAGGCTTTCTTCATCCTTTGTAATACTTTCTGTTCCTCTTACTGCATAATTACAAATGATATGTCTTTGATTTCACAGATTCTTTCTTCTGCTTGACTTCATCTGCTGTTGAAATTCTCTTGACTCTGTCAGTTCAGTCCTTGTATTCTTCAGCTCCAGAATTTCTGTTTCTCTAAATGATTTCTATACTTTTTTGAACTTCCATATTGTTCATGTATTACTTTCCTTACTTTGTTCAGCTGTGTTTCTGTTGTCTCTTGTAGCTCACTGAGCTTTTAAAATATTATTTTGAATTATTTGTCAGATCTTTCATGTATTTCAGCATAAGTAATAAAGTAGCATGGTAGCTTAAATTTTTTATACCTTTTTCTTTATTACTCAATTACATTACTAAGCTAGAGCATATCAACCATCTTGGATTTATTACAGTTTCCAGGGGGACAACATATGAAATTGTACATGATTAGTTGCAATTATTTTTCAATGAAGTAATATAACTTGTGCATTTGCAGTAGCATGAAAATTCATCTGAGAATTAGCTCAGTTAATTCTAAGTTGTACAGAGGAATTGCCCTTAGCCAGCACATCAATAAGATAAGTAACTAGGCCCTGGATCTTAGTGCTACTTTATTTTTCACACGGTTCTAGTAGTTTTCATAAATATTAGATTTTTATGTCAGTAGCACATGTATAGCCAATTGACTTTTCAAATATTTATTTAAAAGAAGACATATTGGGGAACAAGGTGGCCAAATAAAACCCTCCAGCAAAACCAGGTGGACACCTGAGTTTCCCAATTTCAGGCCTTGGTTCCTGAGTGGCATTTCTGGACCTGCTCTGGGCCATAAGGAGGCCCACTGCCCTGAAGGGAGAGACCACACCTGGAAGCATTAACTCCAAGCTGATTGAAGATCTCTTGGGCTATGAGTGAATATTAGCAATAGCCAGGCAGTACACAACATGAGCCTAGGATGATGTTAACCATGGGGAGAGATTTCTACTGCTTAAGAAAAGGGGATGGATTAGGGAGAAGGACTTTACCTTGTGGTTTTGGTGCCAGCTCAGCAGCAGTAGAATAGAGAGTGAAGTAGATTGCTCAGATTCCTGACACCAGACCCAGTTCCTTGAATGGCATTTCTGGACCCTTCACTGGCTGCGGGGAGCTCACCACCCTGAAGGGAAGGGAATAAGCATGGCTGGATTCAGTACTGCCTGACTGAAAAGCCCCTGGGCCTTTAGTGAACATTGGTGGTAGCCAAGCAGTGGTCATGACAGGCCTTGGGCAAGACCCAGTGCTGTGCTGGCTTTGGGTCTAACCCAGCATAGTTCCAGTAGTGATGGCCATAGGGGTGCTTATGTCACCCCTAATCTAGCTCCAGGCAGCTCAGCACACAGAGTAAGAGACTCCATTTGTTTGAAAGAAAGCAAAGGAAGGGAACAAGAGCCTCTGCTTGGTAATCCAGGGAATTCTCCTGGATGTTACCCAAGACTACCAAGGCAGTACCTCTGTAACTGTGTACAATTTACAGCATTATTAGCCTTGGGGTGTCCCCTAATGCAGATGAAGATGCAGTGACCAAAGAGTTAGATCACAACACTCAATTCCCTATGAATTCTCAGAAAACTTTGCAAGGAAGGATAGATATAAATAAACCCAGAATGTGAAGACTATAAGAAATACCCAATTCTTCAATGCCTAGACATAGATGAACATCCACAACCATCAAGACCACCCAGGGAAGAATGACCTTACTGAATGAACTAAGTAAGGCACCAGGGACCAATCCTGGAGAGGGAGAGGCATATGCAATGTTTCATACAGATAATTCAAAAAAGCAGTTTTGAGAATGCACAACAAAATTAAAGATAACATGAGAAGGAATTCAGAATTCTATCAAAGAATATCAAAGAGGTTAAAGTAATTTTTAAAAAATTAAGCAGAAAAATGTAATTGACAGACTGAAGAACACATCACAGTCTCTCAGCAGCAGAATGAACCAGACAGAAGAAAAAATTATTGAGCTTGAAGACAAGCTATTAGAAAATACACAATCAGAGAAGACAAAAGAGAAAAGAACAAAAAAAAATGATATATGCCTACAAGATCTAGAAAATAGCTTCAAAAAGGTAAATCTAAGAGTTACTGGCCTTAAAGAGGAGCTACAGCGAGAGATATCAGGGTGGAAAATTATTTCAAAGGGATAATAATGAAGAACTTTCTAAACCTAGAGAAAGATATCAATATTCAATACAAGAAAGTTGTAGAACATGAAGCAGATTTTACCAACTATCTGAAGACATTTAATAATTGAACTGCCAAAGGTCAATAATTTAAAAAAGGGATTCTAAAAGAAGCAAGAGAAAAGAAGCAAGTAACATACAAAGGACCTCCAAAACATC
The DNA here is from genome assembly GCF_000001405.40 of Homo sapiens. Classification (NCBI taxonomy): domain Eukaryota; kingdom Metazoa; phylum Chordata; class Mammalia; order Primates; family Hominidae; genus Homo; species Homo sapiens. The sequence continues at coordinate 43,702,483 of NC_000004.12, read as the reverse complement.
TGGCAGCAGAGAACTTTTACAGGCCAGGAGAAGGTGGGATGACATATTTAAAGTGCTGAAGGATAAAAATTTTATCCTAGAATAGTATATCCAGTGAAAATATCCTTTAAATATGAATGAGAAATAAAGACTTTTCTGGAAAAACAAAAGCTAAGGAATTTCATCAACATTAGACCTGTCCTATAAGAAATACTAAAGGGGGTTTTTGCTCTGAAAGAAAAATATGTTAATGAGCAATAAGAAAACATCTGAAAATACAAATCTCACAATAGTAAGTACACAGACAAACACTAAATATTGTAACACTGTAACTGCAGTGCATAAATTACTCATATCTTGATAAAAAAGACTAAAAGATGAATCTATGAAAAATAAAAACCACACCATTTCAAAACATAGACAGTATAAGACATAAATAAAACCAACAAAAAGTTATATGCAGGGTGGCTGAAGTTATAGTGAAGAGTTTTTACTAACTTTGTCTTTGTTTGCTTGTTTGTTCTTGCTCTCAATGTTGTCATCACTTTACAATAATGGGTTAAAAAATATTATTTGCAAGCCTTGTGGAAACCTCAAATCAAATAACCTACAACAGAAACACAAATGAAACAGAAAGCAAGAAAGTAAAGCGTATCACCAGAGAAAATTCCTTTCACACAAAGGAAGACAGGAAGAAAGAATAAAAGGAAGAGAAGACCACAAAACAAACAAACAAACAATAACAAAATGGTAGGAGTAAGTTCTTACTTATCAACAGTAACATTGAATGTACATGGACTAAAGTCTTAAATTAAAAAATACAAGTGGAGTTGGTAGGCAGAGGAAGATGGCAGAATGGAAGGCCCCACCAGTTGTTCCACTCACAAGGATTCCAATTTAACAACTATCTACACAGAAAAAAACATCTTCACGGGAACCAAAAATCAGAGGAACACTCATAGTACCTGGTTTTAATTTCATATCGCTGAAAGAGGCACTGATGAAATGGAAAAAATAGTCCTCACTTGCCAATGCCCCCCAACCCTCCCCCACACACACCCTAGCAGTGGCAGTATGGTATGAGAACATCTCTGGCCATTGGAGGAGGAAGGACACAGCAATTATGAGGCATGAACTTAATGCTGTCCTGTTAGAGAAGAAAGGAAAAACTGACGAAACTCAACTAATGCCTGCCCTTGGAGGGAACATTTAAAGCAGTCCTAGCCAGAGAGAAATTGCTGATTCCAGCAGTCCAAACTTGAGTTCTTGTAAACCTCACTACTGAGGGCTGTAGCACATTGCATCCTCAAGTAAACTTGAAAGGCAGTCTAGGCCATAAGGACTACAGCTCTTAGGTGAGTCCTAGTGCTGAACTAGGCCCAGAGATAGTGGACTGGTGGGGCATGTGGCGTACTAAGATACCAGCTGGGGCAGTCAAGGAAGGGCTGGTATTACCCCTTCTGAGCCCCAGGCTACAGAGTTCATGGCTGCAAAAGTTACCCCGTATTTTCCCTTGAGGAGAGGAGAGGGAAGAGTGGGGAGGAACTTGTCTTGCATCTTGGATATTAGCTGTACCATAGCAAGACAGCACCGGTTGGAGTCATGAGGCTGCTGTTCCAGACCTCAGCTCCCAGACAACATTTCTTGATACACCCTGGGCTGGAAGGGAATCTGCTATGCTGAAGGAAAGAACCCAGTGCTGGCAGCATTTATTACCTGCTTAGTGAAGAACCCTTGGTCCTGGATAACCAGCAGTGATACCCAGGTGCTACATCAAGGGCCTTGAGTTAGCCTCTGAGACTTGTGGTCTTCAGATGAGACTCAGCACATTACCAGCTGTGGTGTCTCTCGGCAAAACACCTTCTGCTTGAGAAAAGCAGAGGGAAGAGTAAAGAGGACTTTGTCTTGGACCTTAGGTACCAACATGGCCACAGTGGGGCAGAGCACCAAGTGGGCTCTCAGAGGACCTGAATCTATGATGTGACTCTTGGACATCATTTCTGGATGTGCCCTGGGCCAGAGGAGAGCCCACTGCCCTGAAGGATGACTGCCAGGTCAGACAGCATTTACCACAAACTGTCATAAGAGCCATTGGGCCTTAAGGGAATATTGGCAGTAGTCTAGCAGTATTTCCTGTGGCCAGGAGTGGTAGTGGCTACAGGTTGAGGCTCCTCTGCCTTTGGAAAGAGGAGAGAATAGTGGGAAGGACTGCATCGCGTGGTTTTACTACCAGCTAAGCTGCAGTAGAATAGAACACCGGGTAGATTTTATGACTCTAGTCCCTGATTCCTGGATGGCATCTCTGGACCCACCTGGGGCCTGAGAGACCTCACTGGCCTGAAAGAAGTTCATAGGCCTGGCTGGCTTTGCCAACTGGCTGATTGCAGAGCCCAGGGCCTTGAGAGAATATAGGCAGTACCCAGGGAATGGTAAAGGCAGGGCCTTGAGAGAATATGGGCAGTACCCAGGGGATGGTTAAGGCAGGCCTTGTGTGAGACCCAGTGCTATGTTTGATTCAGATCTAATCCTGCACAGTCATAGTGGCGGTGGCCACAGGAATGCTTGTGGCAGTCTACCCTCAGCTTGAGGTGGCTCCAAACAGACAGAGAGAGAGAGAGACTCTTTTTGTTTTGGGGAAAGTAGGGAAAGAGAAGAGTCTCTTCCTGGTAATCCAGATAATTCTTTCAGATCTTGTCCAAGGCCATCAAGGCTATACCTCTACGAGTCTGCTAGAACCACAGCATTACAGTGCTTGGGGTACCCCCTAAAGCAAACACACCTAAGATCACAGCACCGAAGTCCTTTTAAATATCTGAAAATCCTTACCAAAAAGGACAGGTACAAATAAGCCCAGACATTGAACATTATAATAAATACCTAACTCTTCAATGCCCAGATGCTGAAGAGCATCAACACCATCCAGGTAAACATGACCTCATCAAATGAACTAAATAAGCCAACACAGACCAATCCTGGAGAAACAGAGATATGTGACCTTTCAGACAGAGAATTCAAAATAGCTGTGTTGAGGAAACTAATAAAAATTCAAGATAACACAGAGAAGGAATTCAAGATTCGGTCTGATAAATTTAACAAAGCGATTGAAATAATTAAAGAGCATCAAGCAGAAATGTTGGAGCTGAAAATGCAATTGGCATACTAAAGAATGCATCAGAGTCCTTTAATAGAAGACTGGATTAGGCAGAAGAATTAATAAGCCTGAAGACAGTCTATTTGAAAAATACACAGTCAAAAGTGACAAAAGAAGAAATAATAATTAAAAAAAGAAAACAATGAAGCACATCTACAGGATCTAAAAAATACCCTTAAAAAGGCAAATCTAAGAGTTATTAGACTTAAAGAGAAGGTAGAGAAAGAGATAGTGGTAGAAAGTTTATAGGGGATAATAACAGAGGGATAGGGATAATAACAGAGAACTTTCCAAACCTAGAAAAAGATATCAATATCCAAGAAAAAGAAGGTTATAGAACATCAAGCAGTTTTAACCCAAAGAAGACCACCTCAAAGCATTTAATAATCAAACTCCCAAAGGTCAAGGTTAAAGAAAGAATCCTGAGAGCAGCAACAGAAAATAAACCAATAACATGTAAATGAGCTCCAATATGACTGGCAGCTCCAATATGACTGGCACCCTGTTGGTGAGAGTGTAAGTTAGTTCAGCCATAGTGGAAGACATTGTGGTGATTCCTTAAAGACCTAAAGATAGAAATACCATTCAACTCAGCAATCCCATTACTGGGTATATACCCAAAGGAATATAAATTGTTATATCATAAAGACACATGAATGTGTATATTCATTGCAGCACTATTCACAATAGTAAAGACATGGAATCAACCTAAATCTTCATCAGTGATAGACTGAATAAAGAAAATATGGTATATATATACCATGGAATACTATGCAGCTATAAAAATCAACAAGATCATGTCTTTTGCAGGGACATGGATGAACCTGGAGTATGTTATCTTTAGCAAACTAATACAGGAATAGAAAACCAAAAACTGCATGTTCTCTCTTATAAGTGGAAGCTAAATGACTAGAACAACACACACTGGGGCTTTTGGAAGGTGGAGAGTGGGAGATGTGAGAGGATCAGGAAAAATAACTAGTACTAGGCTTAACACATAAGTGATAAAATATTCTGTGTAACAAACCCCCATGACACAAGTTTACCTATACTACATATGTATTGACGAACTTTAAATACAAGTTAAAAAAAAAGAAAGAAATCATCTGAAAGCACAAAACTCCCTGGTAATAGTAAGTACACAGAAAAACACAGACTATGTTATGACTGTAATTGTGGTACGCAAGAGACTAAATGATGAACCAATTGAAAATAACTACAAAAGTTTTTAAGACAGAGTACAACAAGATATATACAGAAACAACTAAAAGTTAAAAAGTGGTGAGTTGAATTTAAGGAGTAGAATTTTTATTAGTTTTCTTTTTTTGTTTGTTTATGTAAACAGTGTTATCAGGTTAAAATAATGGTTTATAAGATAGTATTTGCTAACCTTATGGTAATTTCAAACCAAAAACCAAAAAAAGAATAAAATAAAAAAAAATAAAAAGGCAGAAACTAAATCTATCGCCAGAAAAAATCACCTTCAATAAAGGAAGACAGGAAGGAAAGAAAGAAGGAAGAGAAGACAACAAAACAACCAGAAAACAAATAGCAAAATGACAGAAGTAAGTCTTTACAGATTCATAATAACATTAGATTTAAATGGACTTAACTCTTCAAACATAAAACGACCCACTGACTTGTTTCTTAACAACAACAACAAAAAAAAAACCACAAATGTTACCTGTAAAGACACAGGGCTGGGCACTGTGGCTCACTCCTGTAATCCCAGCCCTTTGGGAGGCCGAGGCAGGTGGATCCCTTGAAGCCAGGAGTTCGAGACCAGCCTGGCCAACGTGGTGAAACTGATCTCTACCAAAAATACAAAAATTAGCCCAGTATGGTGGTGCATGCCTGTAGTCACAGCTACTAGGGACTGACACACCAGAATGGTTTGAAAGTGGGAGGCAGAGGTTGCAGTGAGCTGCAATTCTGCCACTGCACTCCAGACTGGGCAATAGAGGGAGACACTGTCTCAAAACAAAACAAAACAAAACAAAACAGGCACACTATATACTGCAAATGAAGAGATCGACAATAATATTCCATGCCAATGGATACCTAAAAGGAGCAGGAGTCTCAGTACTTATATCAGACAAAATAGATTCCAAGGCAAAAACTATAAGAAGAAACAAAGAATATTATCACGTAATGATAAAGGGGTCAATTCAGCAAAATGATATAACAATTTTAAATACATATCAACCCAACACTGGAGCACCCAGATATATAAAAAATATTTTTAGACCTAAATAGATACATAGGCCCCAATACAATAATAATTGGACACTTCAACATCCTGATCTTACAGGCAGAAAATCAACAAAGGAACATGGAACTTAAACTGCATTGTAGAAAAAATGTACCTAATAGATATTTACAGAAAAATTCATCCAAGAGGTGTAGCATACACATTCTTTCCCTCAGCCCAGCACATGGATCATTCTCAAAGGTAGACCTTATGTTAGGTCACAAAACAAGTCTTGAAACATTCAAAAAAATCGAAATAATATCAAGCATCTCCTCTGACCACAAGGAAATAAATCTAGAAATGAATAACAAGAGGAATTTTGTTTTTTTAAATTTTATTTTATTATTATTATACTTTAAGTTTTAGGGTACATATGCACAATGTGCAGGTTAGTTACATATGTATACATGTGCCATGCTGGTGTGCTGCACCCATTAACTCGTCATTTAGCATTAGGTATATCTCCTAATGCTATCCCTCCCCCCTCCCCCCACCCCTCAACAGTCCCCAGAGTGTGATGTTCCCCTTCCTGTGTCCATGTGTTCTCATTGTTCAATTCCCACCTGTGAGTGAGAATATGCGGTGTTTGGTTTTTTGTTCTTGCGATAGTTTACTGAGAATGAGAATGATTTCCAATTTCATCCATGTCCCTACAGAGGACATTAACTCATCATTTTTTATGGCTGCATAGTATTCCATGGTGTATATGTGCCACATTTTCTTAATCCAGTCTATCATTGTTGGACATTTGGGTTGTTTCCAAGTCTTTGCTATTGTGAATGGTACCGCAATAAACATATGTGTGCATGTGTCTTTATAGCAGCATGATTTATAGTCCTTTGGGTATATACCCAGTAATGGGATGGCTGGGTCAAATGGTATTTCTACTTCTAGATCCCTGAGGAATCACCACACTGCCTTCCACAATGGTTGAACTAGTTTACAGTCCCACCAACAGTGTAAAAGTGTTCCTATTTCTCCACATCCTCTCCAGCACCTGTTGTTTCCTGACTTTTTAATGATTGCCATTCTAACTGGTGTGAGATGATATCTCATTGTGGTTTGGATTTGCATTTCTCTGATGGCCAGTGATGATGAGCATTTTTTCATGTGTTTTTTGGCTGCATAAATGTCTTCTTTTGAGAAGTGTCTGTTCATGTCCTTCGCCCACTTTTTGATGGTGTTGTTTGTTTTTTTCTTGTAAATTTGTTTGAGTTCATTGTAGATTCTGGATATTAGCCCTTTGTCAGATGAGTAGGTTGCGAAAATTTTCTCCCATTTTGTAGGTTGCCTGTTCACTCTGATGGTAGTTTCTTTTGCTGTGCAGAAGCTCTTTAGTTTAATTAGATCCCATTTGTCAATTTTGGCTTTTGTTGCCATTTGCTTTTGGTGTTTTAGTCATGAAGTCCTTGCCCATGCCTATGTCCTGAATGGTAATGCCTAGGTTTTCTTCTAGGGTTTTTATGGTTTTAGGTCTAATGTTTAAGTCTTTAATCCATCTTGAATTAATTTTTGTATAAAGTGTAAGGAAGGGATCCAGTTTCAGCTTTCTACATATGGCTAGCCAGTTTTCCCAGCACTATTTATTAAATAGGGAATCCTTTCCCCATTGCTTGTTTTTCTCAGGTTTGTCAAAGATCAGATAGTTGTAGATATTTGGCATTATTTCTGAGGGCTCTGTTCTGTTCCATTGGTCTATATCTGTTTTGGTACCAGTACCATGCTGTTTTGGTTACTGTAGCCTTGTAGTATAGTTTGAAGTCAGGTAGCGTGATGCCTCCAGCTTTGTTCTTTTGGCTTAGGATTGACTTGGCGATGCGGGCTCTTTTTTGGTTCCATATGAACTTTAAAGTAGTTTTTTCCAATTCTGTGAAGAAAGTCATTGGTAGCTTGATGGGGATGGCATTGAATCTATAAATTACCTTGGGCAGTATGGCCATTTTCACGATATTGATTCTTCCTACCCATGAGCATGGAATGTTCTAGGACCTCTTCAAGGAGAACTACAAACCACTGCTCAATGAAATAAAAGAGGATACAAACAAATGGAAGAACAAGAGGAATTTTGGAAACTATACAGATACATGGAAATTAAGCAGTACACTCCTGAATCACTAGTGGGTAAATGAAGAAAATAAAAATGAAATTGAAAAATTTGTTAAACAATCGATAATGGAAACACAGTATTCCAAAACCATTGTGATGCAGCAAAAGTGGTACTAAGAGGGAATTTTACAGCTATAAGTGCCTATATCAAAACATAGAAAAACAAAATAAACCACCTAATTAAGCATCTTAAAGAATTGGAAAACCAAGAGCAAACATGAGCCAGAAAAAAAGTAAACAAGAGCCAGTGAAAGAAAAATAATAATAAAGATCAAGGCAGAAATAAGTGAAATTGAAATAAGGAAAAAATACAAAATATCAGTGAAGCCAAAGTGAATATTTGGAGAAGTTAAACAAAATTGATAAGCTTTCAACCAGACTAAGAATAAAAGAGAAAAGACCCAAATAAATAAGCTCAGAGATTTTAAAAAAGAGACATTACAGCTGATACTCCGGAAATTTAAAGGATCAGTAGTGGCTACTGTGAGCAATTACAAGCTAATGAACTTGAAAATCTAGAAGAAATGGACAAATTCCTAGACATATACAACCTACCAAGATTGAGCCATGAAGAAATCCATAACCTGAATAGACCAGTAACAAGTAATGGGATTGAAGATACATTAAAAACTCTCTAAGCAAAGACAAGCCAAGGACCCAATGGCTTTATTGTTAAATTTTACCAAATATTTGAAGAAAGTTTAATTCAATTTTAGTCAAACTGTTCCAAAAAATAGAGACACAAGAAATACTTTCAAACAGATTATTTATGGCCAGTGTTACCCTGATATCAAAACCAGACAAGGCACATAAAAAAATAGGCCAATATCTCTGATGAATATGAATGCAAAATTCCTCAACAAAATACTAGCATACCAAAGTCAATGATGCATTAAAAAGATCATTCATCATGATCAAGTGAGATTTATTCCAGTGATGCAAGGATGATTCAACATATGCAATTAATCAATATGCTTCATCATATCAACAAAATGAAGGGAAAAAATTACATCATCATTTCAATTCATGCTGAAAAAGTATTTGATGAAATTCAACATCCCTTAAAGATAAAAAATCCGTCAAAGAAGTGGGTATAGAAGCAACATGCCTCAACACAATAAAACCCACATATGAAAGACCCAAAGCTCGTACTGTACTGAATGGACAAAAACTGAAATGCTTTCCTCTAAGATCTGGAAGAAGACAAGGATGCCCACTGTCACTACCTTTATTCAACATAGTATTGGAAGTCCTAGCCAGGGCAATCAGACAAGATAAATATATAAAGAGTATCTAATTAGAAAGGAAAAAGTCAAATTATCCTTTTTTGCAGAAGATATAATCTTATACGTGGTAAAACCTAATACCCCACCAAAAACCTATTAGAACTGATAAAGAAATTCCGTAAAATTGCAGGATACAAAATCAAATGCACCAATATCAGTAGCATTTCTACGTGCCAACAGTAGAATGAATATGAAAAATATTCAAAATAATGAAAAATCCAGAAAGTAAACTCATTTCTAATGGCTACAAACGAAACAAAATACCTAGCAATGAACTTAATCCAAGAAGAGAAACATTTCTAAAAGGAAAACTATAAAATTTTGATATAATAAACTGAAAAGGACACCCCAAAATTGAATAATATTCCATAATCATGGATTGGAAGAATGAACATTGTTAAAATGTTCATATTACCCAAAGCAATTGACAGATTCAATGCAATCCCTACTAAAGCACCAATGACATTCTTAACAGAAATAGAAAAAATAATCCTAAAATTTATACCAAACCACAAAAGACCCAGAATAGCCAAAGCTATCCTAAGCAAAATAAACAAAGCTGCAGGAATTGCATTACCTGACTTCAAATTATACTACAGAGCTTTAGTAACCAAAACAGCATGGTGCTGGCAGAAAAACTGACACATAGACTAATGGCATAGAATAATGAAACCAGAAAAAAATCCATGCATCTACAGTGAACTCATTTTCCACAAATGTGCCAAGAATATACAATGGATAAAGGACAGTCAATAAATGGTAATTAGAAAACAATACCCATGTACAATAGAATGAAACTATACCTGTATCTCTTGCCATATATAAAAGTCAAATCAAAATAAATTGAGAACTTAAATATAAGACCTCCAAATTTAAAACTACTACAAGAAAATATTGGGTAAACTTCCAAGGACCTTGATCTGGGCAAAGATTTCATGAGTAATACCCCACAAGCACAAGCAACCAAAGCAAAAATAGACAAATGGGATACAGTCAAGTTAAAAAGCTTCTGCTCAGCAAAGGAAACAATCAACAGAGTGAAGAGACAACCCACAGAATGAGAGAAAGTATTTGCAAACTATCTACTTGATAAGGGGTTAATAACCAGAATATATGTGGAACTCAACTCATTAGGACAAAAATCTAATAATCTGATTTTAAAATGGGCAAAATATATGAATAGACATTAATCAAAAGAGGACATCCAAATGGCAAACAGGTGTATGAAAAGGTGCTCATCATCATTGACTATCGGAGAAATGCAAATCAAAACTACTATAAGATACCATCAGAGTGAACAGGCAACCGACAAAATGGGAGAAAATTTTCACAACCTACTCATCTGACAAAGGGCTAATATCCAGAATCTACAATGAACTCAAACAAATTTACAAGAAAAAAACAAACAACACCATCAAAGAGTGGGCAAAGGATGTGAACAGACACTTCTCCAAAGAAGACATTTATGCAGCCAAAAAACACATGAAAAAATGCTCATGATCACTGGCCATCAGAGAAATGCAAATCCAAACCACAATGAGATACCATCTCACACCAGTTAGAATGGCGATCATTAAAAAGTCAGGAAACAACAGGTGCTGGAGAGGATGTGGAGAAATAGGAACACTTTTACACTGTTGGTGGGACTGTAAACTAGTTCAACCATTGTGGAAGTCAGTGTGGTGATTCCTCAGGGATCTAGAAGTAGAAATACCATTTGACCCAGCCATCCCATTACTGGGTATACACCCAAAGGACTATAAATCATGCTGCTATAAAGACACATGCACACGTATGTTTATTGCGGCACTATTCACAATAGCAAAGACTTGGAACCAACCCAAATGTCCAACAATGATAGACTGGATTAAGAAAATGTGGCACATATACACCATGGAATACTATGCAACCATAAAAAATGATGAGTTCATGTCCTTTATAGGGATATGGATGAAGCTGGAAACCATCATTCTCAGTAAACTATCCCAAGGACAAAAACGAAACACCGCATGTTCTCACTCATAGATGGGAATTGAACAATGAGAACACATGGACACAGGAAGGGGAACATCATACTCCGGTGACTGTTGTGGGGTGGGGGGAGGGGGGAGGGATAGCATTAGGAGATATACCTAATGCTAAATGACGAGTTAATGGGTGCAGCACACCAACATGGCACATGTATACACATGTAACAAACCTGCATGTTGTGCACTTGTACACTAAAACTTAAAGTATAATAATAATAAAATAAAATAAAATAAAGATATTATCTCACCTCAGTTAAAATGGCTTTTATACGAAACATAGGCAATAACAAATGCTGACAAGGATGTGGGGAAAAGGGAACCTTCATACACTGTTGGCAGAAATGTAAATTAGTACAGCCAATATGAGGAACAGTATGGAAGTTCCTGAAGAAAACAAAAATAGAGCTACCATATGATCCAGCAATCCTGCTGCGAGGTATATGCCCAAATGACAGGAAATCAGTATACTGAAGGCATTTCTGCACTTCCATGTTTATTGCAGTGCTATTCTTAATAGCCAAGATCTGGAAGCAACCTAAGTGTTCCTCAACAGATAAGTGAATATTGAAAATATGCCACGTATACACAATGGGGTACTATTCCGCCATAAAAATAATGAGATACTGTTGTTTGCAACAACATGGATGGAATGGGAGGAGATTATTTTAAGTGAAGTAAGCCAGGCACAGAGAGACAGAGTTTGCATGTTCTCACTCATTTTGTGGGAGCTAAAAATTAAAACAATTGAGCTCACAGAGGCAGAGAATAAAAATGATGGTTACCAGTGGCTAGGAAGGGTAATGGGGGAGAGGGGACAATGTTGGGATGGTGAATAACAAATATACAGTTAGGAAGATTGAATAAGATCTAGCATTTGATAGCACTAGGTCAAACAGGGTGACTATAGTCAACAATAATTTATTGTACATTTTAAAATAACTAAGAATATAATTGGAATGTTTGTAACGAAAAGAAACGATACATACCTGAGGTAATGGATAACCCAGTTAATCTGATATGCTTGTTACTTATTGCATGCCTGTACTGAAATATTTAATGTACCACATGAGTATTTACACCTATTACACAAAAATTAAAAATAAAAATTAATTTTAAAAAGACATTGTTTACCTAGATTCATAATCTCTTATTAAACTTTTACAGTATAAGGTTAATTTCCTGGTTGTAATTGTTTTGGATCAATAACTCAATTCTATTTAAATTGAATCTGTAACTAATGATTTTTCTAAAGAAACCTTGGTAAGTCTGAAACAACTTCCTATAGTCTGCTCTAGTTAAACTGTGCTTATAAAGTAAGCAGAGTGATGCAACCCAATTCTTTTCAAAGTGGTCATTAGATTTAAAGTGGAAGATTCTGGATTATGAAATCATACTGCAGTGACATCACATTGCTTCTGGTCTATCCACTGTTTTAATAAACAGTTGTTCTAAGAGCCTGTGACACACATTAAATTCTAACTCAAAGCTGTAATTTTGTATTAACTCATTATTATTGTCACAGTTTTTGAATGGACGCATAGTACATTAATGTTGGTTGTCATAAAAATGTATGTAAATTTTCAAATGGGAGAAAAGAGTCTACTATTTTAACTGGCCTGGTAGTACATGGTTGATTGAAAATTAATTAAATTCTGATAAATATACCAAAATAGTATCATTGGATAATGTATTTTTTGTGTCAAAGCCAATTTCATGTGGTGCTGAATTCAATTGAAAGTTTATTAATTGCAAATTAGATTATGTCACTAAAAACCCCTTGTGTATAGTGGTGGTGACACAACTCTGGGATATTAAGATTTGTACTTAATTTTATTTCAAATTGACAAGAAGAGGGCCAACTTTTGGTTATTCAATTGAAGATATTTTATCGTAAAACATAGAGAAGTTAAAAATAAAAAAATAAATAATGGCTTTAGCAGATTCATGAAGAAGTTTAGAATCTCTTATAGGTATTCATATTGAATGAGAAATTCCAGTGACCCAAGCCAAAATATGTGAGCTTGTGGCAGACAGTCACATCATACACTCATTCATATATTCATTCTTATTCTGGTGACACATCTACACTTGTAAATATGTTTGTCTCAGACTTTCTCTACCTCTCCTTTCTTGTTCTTTTTTGTAGCTTCTACTTCTCTGCTGCCAATATTATTTCTATGTACATCTCTGTGACTTGCTTGGTCATGTCAGTACGCTTGCATAGACAACATCAATAAAGCTCCACAAAGGCAAGTATTTTCAGTAGCTGAGTCTTGTAGTAGGTGATTGGTAGATATGGAGAGAAATATTTTCAGTAAATAAAACAAACAACAGAATAATAGTTAAAATACACAAAATCACCTTTAAATCAACAACTAGAAGAAAAAGACAAAAGTATAAAAGGAGAAATACAATATAAAAATGTGATTTGTCGAAGGAGAAACACATTACCTGCCTTATTAGTAATTAGAGAAAATAAAACTAAAGTACTTAGGTAGGACCCATTATCCATCAGATTAGAAATAAATAAATAAATAAAGGTTGGTAATGCAAATTATTGGTGAGAATATGGGAAAATGGAAGCCATAATGCACTGCTAGCCTGATTATAAAATAGTGAGGTCAATATATAATGTAATCTAGCAGTATTTAGTGAAATAAAATATAAGTAAATTATACCATCTACTCCTCACTACAGGTGCCCAGAGGCCATTTGTCCAGGTCTATAAGGGAGCTCATGTTGGACTATCCATTAATGTAACATTTCAGCAGTTAAAATTTAAAGCCATCTAGGCATCCCTAAATTGGCAAGTGGATTAATTATATTTGGTAGATTGATAACATTGAGTGAACGACAAGGAAAACGCTCCAAAAAATCAAATATGAAACAAAACTGATTGAATAATTTCTCTTCTTTATTATTGTTTCCCCAAAATTTCTTAATTCTTAAAACATTGCTTAGCTTCTAAAATATTATTTAGTGTCATAAAGAACAAGTATATTATTTTTTAAGTTGAAACATATTCTCTTTTAGTGGATCAAATGTCCTCCAATATTCTGAAATTCAATATCCAGATGCATCAAAATGAAAATTTGCAAAGATACAATATATGTAATTCCCATGAAATTTGTGTTTTTATTGACTCTAAACATTATTTCACATGTGATCAACCCATTTTGATGGCTAATCTGCTGTGCTAACAGACACATTCAGAAACAGAACATATTTTTTTCATTGTGGTACTATTGAAAAATATAGATTTAAATGTTGCTATAATTTACCTGAAATACAAAATATCTAAGTGGTTTTTCTCAAATGCATTTATGCTACCCACTGAACAAAAATCCCCAAGTCATGTATCCCTTCAACCATGTAGGCTTAATAATTAACAGGCTATATAACTGTGAAATTTATGTTTACAAGGTGGTCAATTTCACACTTGCACAACTCCATTGTAAAGAAGCATTTGTCCACATTTGTTCAATACCTCATCTTTCTGTCATACTTGTCAGAAAAAGCTATTCAACAGATAAAGAGTTGTATGCCATAGTTTATTCCAATGTAGCTCTGGCATGACAGAAGACTAGGAATAATTATAAAGTAAGAAGTTGTCTCTTCTTTCAAGATTTGTCTGTTTTTTTCTACATTCTGAGGCCTATAACACCATCCCATTCACTTGCCCTATTATTCTCTATATCCCCCTTCTTTGAACCACCTGTCTTCTGTTTTGTTTGTTTGTTTAAACTTCAGGTTTAAAGTTTGAACTTTAGGTCTGAATAGGAAGTGGAAAAAGGTAGATTGGAGGGTTTCCACTTAGGTATGGATCCCAAAATGTAGAACTGGATTTAAGTCTTGAGAGAAGCTCAAGACATGGTGGTGGGTGGGCCTAATTTTCAGACAGTTTGATGAGCGAGTGGACAGTTACTCTCTGGAAAGCCCTGCAAAAAATGACTATGTCCTATCAGTTCAAGGACCATGATAATGGCAAATCTAGGAGTAAGCAATGTATAGAAGCCCAGGTTAGCAGTCAACTTTTAAAAAGTCTGAGAAACAGGGCCCAAGTCACAGGGATAGAGATCAGTGGGAAATTCTAGCTGAGAGTAGTTGACGGATTAAGCAAACATGAAGATTTTAGGGCAGGATTGGCCAAAGCAACACAGGACAATCATCTATAGGGCATATGTTTCAAGCAAGTATTCAGAAATATCAGGATTGAGTGCCATTACTGAAAACTAACTTTTTAATAAAGTGAACACTAGATATATGAAGTCTAGCATACGTGCTGTTGCTATGGGATTTACTTTGTTAATAAATGTATAAAATATTTTCTATAACACTTGACAGAGACAATGCCACTAGAGCTGCTGAAGTGCTTGGTATTAGTAACTAGAAATAAGTAAAAAAGTAGAAATAATATAAAAGGTTAACTATATGGTGAGACACCTAAAGTATTGATCAAAGTTTCCCTTTATATACTAAACCAAGGGCATGATTATTTTCAATGTGCTGATTATCTTTAATTTATAATTTAGAGTCAAGGAGGCCAGTTATGTGGACTACTAATCAGTCAGAACTTCAAAACCAATAACTGATAAGGTGTTACAAGAAAATGACTTCCAGATGTATTTGCATTTTAATAAGAAAAGTCTTCAGTACCCTAGAAAATCAATCTTTAATGTCAGAACTATCAGGAACTGATGAAGATATTTATGGACAGGAAGTCTTTATCAAGGGATTTCATACGTACATCACTTCTTGATTTCTTTCATCATATAGTATAAATAATTCCTTCTCTCAAGTCTAAAGTTAGGTTTGTCACATAAGTTAATATATGAATAAGAACAAGCTATTGAAGCCTTCCCTTATAGACATTTTATTACAAACACTCAGAAAATTTAATATCAGTTTTTTATCTCTATTTGAACTGGAGTCTAGCTCAGATGCCATGTCTCAGTTGCTTTTTTAAGAAAAAATTCTGGCATACTGAAGCTAAATTGTTTCATCAATTTTTTACTGATAATTTTAAATAATATTCTTATATTATCCTATATGACAGTTACCCTGAGATGTTGGTATCCCCAGATAGAATATGATTTTTGCCTATAACAGCTTTATGTAATTTTTCTCAACTTTCCTAACAAGTGGTATGCTAGTAAGTTGATTCCCCAAATGAAACAAAAATGCTGATTTATAGTGTTCGTAAATTTAATATTCCTACCAGGGAACATTTCAAGTAAGCAACCTGCCTTCACTGAACTGAATGTAGAGTAGGGAAAAGATGCACAGTTGGCTCTTGAAGAGCCCATGTGATCTGGCTCCAGCCCTCCACTACTTATTGAAATTATACATACTGAGTGCTTAACGTGTCCTAAGCATTGCCTTCCACATATAACTTATTCAATAAATATCCAAGCTACATATATTAAGCCTTGGTTAGTTTACCAATGAATGTAAATCCCAGGGAATAGTATACTTCAGAAAAAATCTGAGTAAGCAGGATAAGAAAAGAATCAGAGGAACAGTAGCATTACGACTACATGCAAAATCACCAGAATCCAACTTCCTGGATTTGAATTTTGGTTCAGATATTTAAGAATTATGTGATAGTGGTCAAAGTATTTATGATGAGAATAATTATAACTTTTATATCACAGAATTGCTGTATGGACCTAGTGTATTTATGTATTTGAAGTACCTAGAACAGTACCTAACACTAGCAAGCAATTCATAACTATTAACTAATGTTAATTTACTTTACTATTGTAATTGGGGTGACATCTAGGAGTCATACAAAATAACTATTCTCTGTTTTAATTACAAGAAGTTTGGAATCATTTGTTAAACAGGAATGAGGACTTCAAGGGAAGTTGCTTTCTAAAAGATGGGGAAATAAATATTCCAGAAAAGGGCTTAGCCAGAATCATGAGGTTTTTTTTTTTTTAATGTAGAATGTAGATTCTGTGGCTACATCAAAGATACCAAATAATGGAGATTTTAATGAGAGAAAAGTTTATGTCTTCCACACCCAGTAGCCTGAGTTTATGAAGCCCAGGGCAGATATGATGGCATAGTGAATGCCTTCTGTTTTCTGCAGGTCTTAAGGTATTACCTTTGTCTATGTGGTCTAAGGTGGCTTATAATCAAGTCCAGAACAAACAAGCACCAGGAAATCAAAGAGCAAAAATAAGGCAGGTATGAGAAGGTGCAGCAATTAGTTCCACTCACATCTCATTGGTGAGAACTTATTGATATGAACATGTCTATGGCTGCAAACTTGTCTAGACATATAAGCTTTATTCTAGAGCAGTCATTGTGCTCAGCTAAAATGTAAGGCTTCTACTACTTAGTAAAGAGAAGAGTGGATATGAGTGCAGATGTAGCCATCTTAGCCAGAAGTACTAACCATTAGTGAAGTTTTCCTTTTGCTCATGGGCAAATGGGTCTGGTGGGGGTCCAGGAGAGGTGAAAGAATATGTGATTCTCTGAAAGAGGCTCCAGCTATCCACTAAGAACCAAATTCCTTACAATTTCTTTCCAGGTGATCTTTAGAACTGTGGTAATCCCTGATTGCATTATTTTAGATACTGTAATTGTTTTGCCTTGATTGCTATTCTGACTTTAAATGCAATTTATACATCCTGGACTGATAATGTATCTGAATCCACTCAGAGGATGCCAGAGCTCTTGCCCCTCAGAAAGTAATAAACCTTATCATAAGCACAATCCAGCTGGTTCAAGTAGGTTAGCTATTAGCAGATGTTCCTCTTGGCTGAAAGATTGACAGCTCTCTC
Source organism: Homo sapiens (assembly GCF_000001405.40). Classification (NCBI taxonomy): domain Eukaryota; kingdom Metazoa; phylum Chordata; class Mammalia; order Primates; family Hominidae; genus Homo; species Homo sapiens. The sequence goes on along the minus strand of NC_000004.12, from coordinate 43,684,889 downwards.
TGATTCTCCTTATCCTGATTTTTTAAAATAATGCCAAAACTCAATATCCCCAAGGAGACATCACAAATAAGGAAACAAGACTGCCAGAAATACATCAATAAAATATAATATGTGTATTTTTTCAGTCATGCCATGAGAGGAATATTTTACATATTTCAGAATACAAGGTTGAGGGCAAGGTTTCATGGCACCCGAATAAAGCAAAACAAGGCAAAAACAAATGCTCAATTAAGGTACTGTGTTAAGAGAAAGAAAGAAGAAAAATCAATTGGTAATTTATATTTGCTTTGTTTTGTTTTATTCTGAAAGTTTCTAGAACTTGTTTTTCAACCCAGATTGTGTCAAAGAATACTTTTGAAAATAACTTTCCTCTCTTATTAAATATTTCCTTTGATCAGATACTTGTTTATAATCAACCAATCATTTCAAAAGCAAATTGTTAGCCATATGGATTGCATAGTGAAATAAAGAAAAATCTTCTGAGATAAGAAAGTCAGCAAACTATTTTTATTCATATTTCTGCAAATCTTATTACCCTTCATGTGCTTTAAGGATAATAATATTCTGTTCCCCATTTGGGGACTGTATATAAATAGAGTATGGAGGATGATCTAATCCATCTTCCACCTCCTACTCCTCATCTTTTTATATTTAATGACTGAGCAGTAGAGAGATATGTAGAAACAGCATGTGCCTTAGAGTCACAGATATTTGTCGTCTGACTCCTGACCCTGCTTTGGTGTAGCTATGTGAACTTGAATGACAAGCTTATTGTTTTGTTTTCTTTTCTCAACCTTGATTGTCATTCACCTTCTCCCTCGCTCCTTCAAATAGACCAACCTGAGAAACAAGTTTATGTTTGGTTTTAGCCAATGGTTGGCACCGTCAGAATCAGAGGCAGGCTAAGCACTATGGGGCATGAAACTGAGTAACCCCTTTTAGAAAAATGATATAAAATTATACATAAAAAATTAGGTAGAGTAATGAATATATATTCAAATTGATGATTCACAACAAATTACATATTTTAAGAATACATGACAATTTCTTAAAAGAAATGTTCAAGAAAAATAGCATGAACATAGCAAAATCCAGAAAAGAGCATATTTTTGTATTCATTGATTGCATCTCCAATACTTTTTCCCTATATGCTTTTTTCTGCATGCTTTTCATTTGAGAATGATTTTAATAGTAACATTCTCTCTACAGAGGATAGAAAGATAATTCTGCATTTATTCTTGTATGGTTGATCAATATTTGGTTTTGGTTTTTACTACAGACTTTAAAATGTCTCTTAAATTCACAACTTCTTTTTAATAATACTATGTAAATATTTAGGATTGTTGTCAAATATCAGAAAATCTCTAACAGGTGGTTTTTCTTTGCTTATGTCTTAAGTACAAGATTTGGAACATTTTTCCAAGGATGGATTCCAATATTTTAACCTGGTTGCTCCTTTTAAATCTTCTTCTCTACCTACATACTTTCCATTCCAGGTGGTCTAAACAAGCTCCTATAAAACATCACCTCTGGCCCTGCACTATCTAGTCATAATGACAGGTTAATTGACACAGAGGTGGTAAGAGGATTTCTGGAAGCTATTCCTACAGTTGCATAACCAGCAATTACTGAAATATACAACAAGGACTGTGATTCATAAAAACATAAAATAAAACTGAATTTTATTTCATATTTTCTTTCTTCTTATCTTTCTTATTCTTTTTTTGAATATTATTCTTTTTTTGAATCTCTAACTCAACTTCTCCTTAACTAGATCCCCAAAATGCCAGTGGGCTCCCTAATACACCCATCAAGGAGAGAAAAATATTAGGAAAGAAAAAGGGCTCTTAATGAATAGTGATTGAAAAAATATTACTATTTCAAATGACACAGAACCAATGATATGGATATTTTTATAGGTTCCATCCCAAGACCTTGGAAGAGACTTCTTCCAGAAAAAGACCTAAGGCTTAAACTTTATTAAGCCTTAATAAGGCCGCCCCACAGGCAAGCAGTGCACCAGTGGAAAAAGGAAGTTTAGCATCTTTCTTCCCTGCCTCCTCTCTTCCTCTGGGGTATGATATCTGGCGGTGGCTGAGTCACTTCCTGTTATGCTTTGCCTGTATCTTCATCCAAATCTCACCTTGAATTGTAGTTCCAATAATCCCCATGTGACGTGGGAGGGACCTGGTGGGAGGTAATTGAATCATAGTGGTGGTTACCCTCATGCTGTTCTCATAATAGTGAGTGAGTGAGTTCTCACAAGATTTGATGGTTTTATAAGGGGCAAACCCCTTTTGCTCTCATTCTTCTCTCTCCTGCTGCCATGTGAAGAAGGACGTGTTTGCTTCCTCCTCCACCATGATTGTAAGTTTCCTGAGGCTTCTCCAGCCATGCTGAACCATGAGACAATTATACCTCTTTCCTTTATAAATTACCCAGTCTTGGGTCTGTCTTTATTAGCAGCATGAGAATGGACTAATACACTTCCTATTGATCTTGTTAGGTGTCTCCTTTTCTGTGTCTCTCATTCTCACTGGAGAGAGACATTGAGTACTTTGTCCCATCCCTGCAAGGGCATGGGTTGGCAGTGGCTATGGTTGTCCACCTCACAGTGCCTATAGGACAGCCTTTCTCCTAAAGGTACATAGCCATTGCTCCATTAACAATTTTCTTTATGTGTCCCATCAGGCACACACTGGATAATAACTTCCTGCTTTTGCCAATTTCTGAGTACCTCAACATCCCTTCTGCATTATTTTTATTTTGTTAACAGCTCAAAGAGGGGTCTATTCATTAAGATATGTTAACTAACCTGAATTTGATCCTCTTTCCAGAATCCAGCAAACTCCTGGCTAATAGAGGCAAGTTATCTCCTAAAGCATCAGTTTCTTTGCATGGAAAATGGACAACATAAGATCTATTTTATGGGTGTTTTATAAAGATAAAATAAGACAATACATAAAAATATACACCACTATTTAATTTGTACCATTTGACTTTTTTTCTTTCAGAATAAACAAAAAATAAAATGAATTTATTCAAGCACGCAGAGGCAAAGGCAGAAGATCCCAATTACCCAGTGTAATCTGATGTCAACTACATAGTGCTTCTCATGCCATAATTTTTTTATTTGACATCAATTGCAACAATATAACACCTATTAAATCTAAGAAAAACAAAATACAAAATCAAAATCATTCAAAGTAGAAGCCCTATTTTATATTTTTGTGTATTTGTTTTGTTAACTTTTTCTTGTATATTTATGGAAAACAATGCAATATTTTCACCTATGTGTACATTGCAAAATGATTCAATCACATTAACATATCTATTTCTGTTATCAGACTCAATACATATACAATTACATTTTAATAAAGATAATCATAATAAACATAATGAAGAAGTCAAAAAAAAGAAAAACAAACTGAACACATTCATTGAAAGTGTGTGCACTGGCAACAAACACGGACTGAACTTTTCCTGTTGAGGACACATAATAAGCAGCTGGCAGATCAGCCTTAGTTGATAACCATACATTGAAAATCACTGTGTTGCAGTATTTAATTCTGTATCTACCATACTCTGGCTGATGACATTTGTAAAGACCAGTTTCTCTGTACATCAGCTACCTCCCCACCATACATTTTATGTCTTTCTTCTTTTTCTTGCTTTTTGTAACTTTGTAATAAACTCCCCCCACCCAAGGACATTCACCCAAGCCCAGATTTCTCCTGGGGAATTATTTATTAGAAGTGGTTTATACCTTTAATGAATGCCAGGTACTAATAGCAGAATCTGTGCCTGATCAATATTCAAATTACCTGGTGATAAATGGGCTGCCAATATGTGCAACACAGTCTGCTCTCAACACAGTCCCTGTATTCTGTATTATATTTTATCTTCAGGCAATAGAACAAGAGCCCCTAATATATTGTTGCATGTATGCAAAACTCAGGTTTCTAAGTCACAGTTAAATTTGGACATTTTCCTTAGTCAAAGATAGTTTTGAGTATTCTGCATGTGACATAATAAGGAAGAAAATCAACATCCAGTCAAATTTTAGTGTGCATATTTTCCTTCTAAATTTCATACCAGGAAAATGGAAAAGTGGAGTTCACCAGTAGGTTTTAGCCTTTTAAAGATCAAGGTTTTTATGTTTAATGAAAAATGTTAGGCTAGGGAGAAGAAAAGGGAAAGATTCTTGAAGGGAAAAAGAGAAGTTTCATTTGAATGCATACAGCAAGTGTTGCCATGGGAACCGTGCTCCAACTGTGAAAAAGAACATTCATCCTGCCTGTTATTGGGAAGTCCATCATGTGCTGGCAGCTGCAAAAATCCTTCTCTTATTAGTGCAAAATTTTAATTTTCCAAAGGGTTTGGGTGTGGATAAGTGGTTTAAATAGTGATAAGGTCTCCCCAAGTAAGCTATAACCATTACCTAAAATTTTGATTCTGATGACAGTGTTTTTTATTATTTTCACTAATTACTATCATTTTCTAAGCGTCTTCCATAACTGCTGTGGAGACAAGGAAATATTTGAGGGTACAGACTCTTTTTATAATTGCTTTTTTCATTGTTATTTGTCTTAGGCCAGCTAAACTATAGATATCATATATAATGTTATATATATATCATTCACATCAAATTCTTCTATTACTATTTACTGAGAACATATAAAAGATCTGTTTTATATTACAAATATGGAGAATTTTGCTATCAGAAATCAATGCAAACAATGCCAAGTGGCCAGAAGTTTAGTCTTAATCCCCAATCTACAATTGCAACAAATTTTATGCTTTGGGGGAAAACGATTAATGCCCAGCTAATTTTTAAAAAAATAAACTAATGTCTGTTGGAATAATTGCTCCTTTGTAGGTGAGAGACATAATGCTCCATGTGAGGTGCAGTTTGGCATAGTTGAGAATGGGGACTGGTGGAACCAGTTGCCTGAATAAATCCGTGTTCTTCCATTTAATGGAAGCATGAACTTGGACAAGTTACATACACCATTTTCTTCTTTAAAACAGAGATTATGGTGATAATAACACTTTGTAGGGTTGGTGAGGAGATCAAAATGCTAATATAGTGGTTAGCAAACTATTTCTATAAAGGATCATATAGTAAATATTTGATGCTTTATAGGACATACAGTCTTTGTGGTAACTAGTCAACTCTGCTGTGGTAGCATGAAAGCAGTGATAGGAAATACGAAAATTAATAGGTGTGGCCAACTTAAAAGAAAACTGTATCTATAAAAACAAACAGCAATGCTGAACCTGGCCTGTGAGATGTAGTTTGCCAACCCCATGAAGCACTTGCAATAATGCTTAATTCAGAATAAGTGTCAAATAGGTGTTAAATATTATGGGTTACACTGAATTTTTGTGGTTGATTTAAAAACAAAAACAAAAAACAAGGTCTTGTTCTGTTGCCCAGTGTGGAGTTCAGTGGTGTGATCATAGCTCACAGTAATCTCAAACAACTGGCCTCAAGTGATCCTCCCACCTTAGCCTCCCCAGTAGCCAGGACTACAAGCATATGTGACAATGTCTGGTTAATTTTTTAAATTGCTTTTGTAGAGATGAGCTCTTGCTATGTTGTCCAGGCTGTTCTCAAACTCCTGGCCTCAAGTGATCCTCCCACCTCAACCTCCCAAAACACTAGGATTACTGGCGTGAGCCACTGCACCCTGCTGTGGTTGATTTTAATTTAAACTGAATAAAGCACGTTGAAGTTACCAACATATTCTCAAAATTAGGAATTCAACTGAGACATAATTCATCCAGAAACACAATTTAAAGGCGTACAAATGATTCAGAGTTTTTAACTCATCTGTGTAATGGAAGACCATAGTACTAAGTAAATATTACTCTGGAGATTCCTCTACTACTAAGAGTAAACTACATAATTCATTAGTTATAAAACATAAGAAATAAAAATTTAAATGGAGTGATTAGAATAAGTTGCTCTGTAAAGATTTTTAATGTACCATTTTATTCAAGGAATAATTTAAAGAGCAAGAGTAATGTAAAACTACAATGGGAATGTCAGTTACATTGAGATAAAACTAAGACTTTAAAAAAATGATATTTACTGTGAGATAAAAGTATCATCAAATTATGATCACAATTTATGATATAAAATAAGCTTCTTATGTCACTGATAATAGTACTTGTGCTCACCTTTCATAATCAAAATATGAAAACCACTTGAAATTGTAACCATGAGTGGCAGGTGGTAAAATTTCAAATGCTTATTTCAATGGTACTAATAATATTTTAGTTTTAGAGCCTCAAGATTTAAAGGACTAGGCTGCCATATTTTTCCTCCAGGAGCTAGAGTTATGGACTGCCTCTAATTAAATAATATCCAGGCTGCAGTTTACCAAAATGATCATGAAATAATCATCCCCTTCTCAAATCATTCAATCCTAAACTGATAAAATTCTCTAAGCTTCAGTTGCAAACTTATCCTTTAAATGTATGACCAAGAAATATATAATTTCAAAAGAAAATAAAGATTAGCATATAGTATGTATTATTTTTCTCAATTAACAAAATTTATTGACAGAAAAAGACCCCAAAAGACACATCTGTAGTGGAAGATTAATTTTGTTTTCATCCGGAACGTTGTTTCTCTGAATAACTTGATTACAAAGCCCCTAGAAGCTGATATTAAAATTGACTTAACTAATCATGAAAATCCAAAAACTTTGGGTGGCTTTGCAAATTTATCTTTTACTTATCCCATGAACACACACTATACAAAGATTTGAAGTTAAGTTCTCTCTGAATGGTTTTTTCAGTCATAACCTACACATTTTCAGTAATGCTCAGCCAGAATGGTCATCATGTTACTCTAGAGGAACAAATTTAGAGCTGACTTCTGAAAATAGAAAAATATACATGTTGATTTTTGAGTTCTCAAAGTAATTACTAGGTTCAAAGATAATATTCCATATTGTTTAAGTATTTGGCTTCTATAAAGTGCAACTGTCTAATACACCAAAAGATGTAGACCACTAAAACATATAAATTTTCATTAGCATTCACATAAATCCTATTTCACCTAAGACAGACCCTGTTTATGCCTGTTTCACTGATAGATTTTCTTTTGACTTTTAAAATTATCCCAGTATGGAAAATGATATATGTAGATGCATTAAACTTTCAAATACTTATTTATTTCTAGATACTGTCAACAAACATTTTAGTACCTACCACATGCCAAGCATCTTCTAGGCCCCATGTACATTCTGTTTTAATGAATTTACACAAAAAATTGTTTTAATTATTGAAGAGGGCACTGAGGCTTCTACTTCCCGTAGGATATTAACATAGCTATTAGAAGCTATTATTACTGCTCAGAAATAAATGCCTTGGCTTCTGACACTGAGGGACTTCACTGGCCAACTAAGTGGTCTTAACTGAAATTAGTAAATTACACAGAAATAATTGCCACAGTTGATTAGCATACAGCCCTGGTGTCAAGGTCTAGAACAAAATTAAAGATTTCCGTCTTTTCTATAACTGTGAAGTTTGAGCTCCAGGCATTACATATTCATACAAAGTTCCAAAATGGGGATAAAGAATAGGTTGCCCTTCTAGCATAGAGGCAAATGAAATGAAATTCAATGTTTTAGACAAGACATGATAAAAGCATAGTTGGTAGTATTTGAAATAATCTTATATGGAAATTGAAGTGATCAAACTGGAAATAATTCAATAAACATTACCTACCATAAAGCTTTTTATATTACTTATTCCCAAATGAATGTTCATATCCATTTTGAATGTGATATGTACCTCCTCACATATTAATCCTTACAAAAATCTCGACATGTATATAGCCAACATGATTCTCATTTTACAGATGAATAAACAGTTTTACAAACGTTGTAACATTTATATTTTTAATAGCAAGAAGCTTTGTGGCTTATAGGAGAGACAGACACAGAAAATATAAATTAAACTATATTTATTCATTATCTTCCACATTAAGATTCTCAGAATTAATTGTTCTCTTAAAGAAATGGTGCAGCACTCTGTAGCTGCTCTCCAATCTTCAGACATTTTATTTTTTCCACCCGTCATAATGAGATCTGACTTCCTCTGTATGTTATTTTTTGGGGTTGGGTTCTGCTAGATGTCAGTATAATCTGAAGAGATAGATAGAGAGAGAGAGAGAGACAGAGACAGAGAAAGAGATCATCATAGTATGATGATTATTTCTGAATAAAAGCATATAACTTGGATCTATTAGTAGTCGGGCTTAGTCCAGGAATTACAACTACACTATTAAAGAAAAATGGAAGGAGACACACTTAAAATTTTGTACGTTATTAGTACCAATGTATTTCACAGTTGAATGCCCTTATAGAAAGACATAAAAGCATCCAATATTCATAACATAGGAAGTATTAATAAAGGATTTGGTGATTTGTCCAGATAATGGTAAATCAACTTTGCAACTATTTCACAGAGGGTGAGTGAGAAGCAAAAAGCAGAGAATGCATTAAAAAGGAAAGAGAGGGAGAAAAGCAAAAGTGAAAAAGTGAAGTCATAAAACAGAAAAAGAATAAAGGAAAGAAGGAAAAAAGGAAGAAAAAAGTTATAAACATTTTTACATACTTATAGAAGTAGATAGAAGTCATAGGCCTCAAGCCATTTAGAACACTTCTTATTTTACTTGTCCCTCCTGTTTTATTCTTATTGGCATTTCCTATAAATAAAGTGTCTGCAAACTACAGCTCATGAACCAGTTTCTGTTTTTGTAAATAAAGTTATCTTGAAAGAGAGTCATACAGTCATCCCTTTTTGTTTCTGTATTATCTATGACTGCTTTCATGGTACAATGGCATATTTTGAGCTGTGACAGATTCAGTATTGCCTACAGCCTAAATATTTATTATCTTGCCCTGTAAGAAAATCTTTGTCAAATCCTTCTTTAAATTTGCTTGAACCATACATATTAAAACAATAAAAATGTATTATCTTAAAGTTTCTGTGGGTCAGGAATCTGGAGGTGGCTTAGCTGGGTGCCTCTGTCTCAAGGTCTTTCAGAAAGACCTTGTCTTTATGAGACTGCAGTAAAGTTGTCAGCCAGGACTTTCATCTTTTCTGAAGTCTCAACTGGGGAAAAATCTGCTTCAATTTCACTCATGTTAGACTCTCTACAAGGCTGCCTTATGACATTACAGGTGCCTTGCCCCTGAGCTTGCAATTAAAGAAAGAGCGTGTGTGTGTGTGTGTGTGTGTGTGTGTGTGTGTGAGAGAGAGAGAGAGAGAGAGGAAGAGGAAGAGAGAGAAAGAAAATCCAAGATGGAAGTCATGACCTGTAATATTCTAATCACAGGCAGAACTGGTATCATATAACTTCTTGTGTGTTCTATTTGGTAGAAGGCAGTTAATAAATCCAGCCCACACTAAAGGGGAAGGGATTATACAAGAGTGTGTATACTGGGAGGCAGAAATCATTGGTTGCTATATTAGAGGCTGTCTACTACATTCTTATCACTAAAACAAACAGTTTCAGATTTATTTCGTTTACTTCAAGAAGATACATTTCCAGACTGAGAAAAGTATGGAGGTGGGAGGAGTGGAATTGCCGTGGAAAGCTAAAGTTTTTATAGCAAATGAGCCTATCTCATATGAAAATTTAAAAAATGACATTTCTATAAGTGCTTTTGTTTTCAGAAGTAGCAGCTGCCTTACTTAGACTTCACCAAAGAGAAAAAAGCTATGGGATAATTTTTTAAAGAGCTATCAAAGCTTTGACCACAACTTGAGTGACCAGGCATTAATGAGCTCTGACACCCAGGCAGAAATATTTACCAAGCCTTTTAAATTCTATTGCTAAACTATAAAAACTCTAGAAAAAAACCTAGGAAATACCATGCTGGACATTGGCCCTGGCGGAGAATTCATGATGAAAACTCCAAAAGCAATTGCAACAAAAACAAAAATTGACAAGTGGACCTAATTAAACTAAAGAGCTTTTGCAGAGAAAAATAAACTTACAGAGTAAACAGTTGACCTATAGAATGGGAAAATATTTGCAAACTGTGCATCTGACAAAGGTCTAATATCAATAATCTATAAGGGACTTAAACAAATCAATAAGCAAAAAACAAACAACCCCATTAAAAGATGGGCAAAGGACATGAGCAGCCACTTCTCAAAGTAAGACATACACCTGGCCAACAAGCATATGAAAAAATTTTCAATATTATTAACTATTAGGGAAATGTAAATCAAAACTATGATGAGATATCATCTCACACCAGTCGGAATGGGTATTATTAAAAAGTTAAAAAAATGACATATGCTGATGAGACTGCAGATAAAAAGGAAATGTTTATATACTGCTGGTAAAAATGTAAATTAGTTCAGCCACTGTGGAAATCAGTCTGGAGATTTTGCAAATAACTTAATACAATGACTATTTGACTCAGCAATCCCATAACTAAGTATATACTTAAAGGAGTACAAATCATTTTACCTTAAAGACATGCATGTGTATGTTCACAGCATAATTCACAACAGCAAAGGCATGAAATCAATCTAGATGCCCATCAGTGGTGGACTGGACAAGAAAAAATGTGGTAGATATACACCATAGAATACTACATAGCCATAAAAAAAAAATCAGATCAGTCAGGCGTGTTGGTTCACACCTGTAATCACAGCACTTTGGGAGGCTGAGGCAGGCGGATCACAAGGAGTTCAAGACCAGTCTGTTCAACATAGTGAAACCCTGTCTCTACTAAAAATACAAAAAATTAGCCGGGCGTGGTGGTGCCCGCCTATAATCCCAGCTACTCAGGAGGTTGAGGCAGGAGAATTGATTGAACCCAGGAGGCAGAGTTGCATTGAGCCGAGATCGTGCCATTGCACTCAGCCCAGGTGACGGTGCAAGACTCTGACTCAAAAAAAACAAACAAAAAAAAGAGATCATGTCCTTTGCAACAACATGCATGGAGATGGAGGCCATTATCCTAAGGAATTAACACAGGAACAGAAAACCAAATACCACGTTTTCACTTATAAAAATGTGTGCGGAATTGGTGGATTCTTGGTCTCACTGACTTCAAGAATGAAGCCGCGGATCCTCGCGGTGAGTGTTAACAGCTCTTAAGGTGGCGCGTCTGGAGTCTGTCCCTTCTGATGTTCAGATGTGTTCGGAGTTTCTTCCTTCTCGTGGGTTCGTGGTCTCGCTGGCTCAGGAGTGAAGCTGCAGACCTTCCCGGTGAGTGTTACAGCTCTTAAGGCAGCGCATCTGGAGTTGTTCGTTCCTCCTGGTGGGCTCGTGGTCTCAGGAGTGAAGCTGCAGATCTTCGCGGTGAGTGTTACAGCTCATAAAAGCAGCGTGGACCCAAAGAGTGAGCAGTAGCAAGATTTATTGCAAAGAGTGAAACAACAAAGCTTCCACAGTGTGGAAGGGGACCCCAGCAGGTTGCCAATGCTGGCTAGGGCAGCCTGCTTCTATTCTCTTATCTGGCCCCACCCACATCCTGCTGATTGGTAGAGCCGAGTGGCCTATTTTGTCAGGGCGCTGATTGGTGTGTTTATAATCCCTGAGCTAGATACAAAGGTTCTCCACCTCCCCATCAGATTAGTTAGATACAGAGTTTCGACACACAGGTTCTCCAAGGCCCACCAGAGCAGCTGGATACAGAGTGTCGATTGGTGCATTCACAAACCTTGAGCTAAACACAGGGTGCTGATTGGTGTGTTTACAAAGCTTGAGCTAGATACAGAGGGCCCATTGGTGTATTTACAATCCTTGAGTTAGACATAAAGGTTCTCCACGTCCTCACCAGAGCAGCTAGATACAGAGTGTCGAGTGGTGCACTCACAAACCTTGAGCTAAACACAGGGTGCTGACTGGTGTATTTACAATCCCTGAGCTAGATATAAAGGTTCTCCATGTCCTCACCAGAGCAGCTAGATACAGAGTGTCGATTGGTGCACTCACAAACCTTGAGCTAAACACAGGATGCCAATTGGTGTATTTACAATCCCTGAGCTAGATACAAAGACTCTCCACGTCCCCACCAGACTCAGGAGCCCAGCTGGCTTCACCTAGTGGATCCCGCACCAGGGCTGCAGGTGGAACTGCCTTCCAGTCCTGCACCATGCGCTTGCATTCCTCAGCTCTTGGGTGGTGGATGGGACTGGGCGCCTTGGAGCAGGGGGTGGTGCTCGTCGGGGAGGCTTGGGAGGCACAGGAGCCCATGGAGTGGGTGGGAGGCTCAGGCATGGCGGGCTGCAGGTCCTGAGCCCTGCCCTGTGGGAAGGCAGCTAAGGCCCGGCGAGAAATCGAGCGCAGCGCCGGTGGGCCAGCACTGCTGGGGGACTCAGTACACCCTCCGCAGCCACTGGCCCCGGTGCTAAGTCCCCCATTGCCCGGGGCCAGCAGGGCTGGCTGGCTGCTCTGAGTGCGGGGCCCACCAAGCCCACGCCCACCCGGAACTCCAGCTGGCCTGCAAGTGCCGCACGCAGCCCTGGTTCCCGCTCGTGCCTCTCCCTCCACACCTCCCTGCAAGCTGAGGGAGTGGGCTCTGGCCTTGGCCAGCCCAGAAAGGGGCTCCCACAGTGCAGTGGGGGACTGAAGGGCTCCTCAAATGCCACCAAAGTGGGAGCCCAGGCAGGGGAGGTGCCAAGAGCAAGTGAGGTCTCTGAGGACTGCCAGCACGCTGTCACCTCTCAAAAGGTTACTAAACACTGAGTACACAAGGACACAAAGAAGGGAACAATAGACACTGGGATCTGCTTGAGGGTGAAGGATAGGAGGAGAGTGAGAATTAAAAATTACCTAGTGGGTATTGTGCTGATTACTGGGCTGACAAAATATTCTGTACACCAAATTCCTACAATATGCAATTTACCCAAAGAAAAAAATCTGCATATGTACCCCTTGAACCTAAAATAAATATTGGAAAAAGAAAAGTAATAAATAAATAATATTGCTGAAAGTTGGTCACACTTTCTATTTCCAACCCAGCTTATGTGCATAAATTTTAACTACTCTATTGTAAACCAGGTAAATTAATCTATTTTTAACTTGAGACATATACTCTTCAACTAATTTAAAGGCCAGTCTTATTATCAAAAGAAATATTCTCTTTAAAAAGTTGCAGATGTTAAAGATGGATCGAGACTCCCCATTGCGGGATTTTTCTAGAGCCATTAGCTATATTCTTATTCTTCATTTGAAGAAACTGTATTTGTTGTAAGTTTTTAAGCCAGGCTCCAAGCCACAAAGTATTAGCAAATTGCCCCAAATCGTGTTCCCGAGTTCAAGCTAGGAATTATTACTGCCAAGTCCTTGTTCCAGAGAATCATTAATGTCTTCAGCTATTTAGGCCTAGAGTTAGGTTAATCAAAACAGTTTGGCCAAAAGAGAAAATAAGCGGAAATTAGGAGAAAAGAAACTTGGAAAGGAAAATAAAGAAAAAGCCAACACCTCCACCAACAATACCACAAACATTGTTCTTTTAAAACCAAAAGGTATCACAAAACTGTCTTATTAGGTAAAATATTCCCCAAAATGGCATATGATCTACTTATTGTCATATCTACAAAAATAATACCTGTGCGTGAAAACGCCTTTTTCTTTCTTCGTCAGACAGCAAAACCCTGCCTTTAAGGACAAAGTCAAATATCATCTGCTCTAAGGAATCTTCAGTAGTATTTTCTCTCATTCTCGAGCTAAGCAGAATTTAGCACATCATATTATGTGTCAAAGCTAGTTCCTATGTTCCTTTATTGAAGCTTTTGACTGTTTCTCCTCACTTTCCATTCTCTCCCTCTCACCTTCTTTTCTAAGAATTAATAATAATTTTTGAGAATAATGTTTTGAGAATTTACAATAGGTTAAGATGCTGAAAACTTAGATTATATTATTTTAAAATCTTATAGTTCAGCTAACATGAATTTATTTAGCCCTTTGTTTCATGAAGAGGAAAGAGCCTTGGGGAGATTAAGAAATGTATACCAGTCAACTCAATCTCATCCAGTCTGAATCAATTAGTTTATGAGCTAAGGCTACATTAGTGCACCAATATTCACTGAGAACACTCAGCCATTCTGTCTCCTTTTTCCAGACGCTAAGTAGTAAGAATTATTTCAAGAGGCTTGACGTTTTAACCACATATGTATCAAAATTGATTTAAATAAAAATATAATTCATTTATTTAACAAGTAATTCAAACTAAGTATTAAAATCCAGTTTGCAAGGGTGGAGCTCTTGTAGCACCGTGTCTTTTACATCCAAGTGTTTGCAGCACTTTAAAAGAGAGACCGGCACATTGGAAGAGTTCAGACTTAATTGAATACATTTATAAAAATGGTCTTTATATACATGCAAATACATTATTTAAAATTACAATATATATATATACATATATATTTACCATGATCCCATGTCACCATACACCATATTTAATAGCAATGTAAGATTTCATATAAAGGTAAATCATATTTAATTTACTACATTTATTATCATATTATGGTACATTTAGGTTGCACACTTATTTTTGCTAGTAAAATATCATAAAAATAATATATTTCCATATATATTTCTCTTTTCTTTATCTTTAAGACACTTTTGGAAGTAAAAATACAGATTAAAGGATATATACAATTTAAGACATATTACTTCAAATTTAAAGAATATACACAATTTAAGACTTATTATATCCAATTTGCTTTACAGAAAAACATTTTTACCAGTTTATATTCCTTTTAATGGTTTAACCATTTTAAAAGTGAAACCTTACTGATTTGTTTTATAACTCACCAATAAGTTATGCCATTCACTGTTGATAAAATAATGAGCTAGACACTATCCCTGCTTTTAAAATTAAAGTGTACTGGATAGCTTTCAGTGATATTCCTCTACAGTAATTAAAACAAGGAGGAGGGCTGCTCCCACTCACACTGACAGAGCAACATGTGGAGACTCACATAGTGAACTTTTGCTCCAAGAACCACTGCAGGAATATACCAATAAAACTTGAAGGGTCCACAGATCTTTTGAAAGCAGTGGCTTGTGGCTGTAAACTCTGAGACAGCTGAAAAACTGTGAGTGCCCAAAGTGTGAGATGGGAAAAGTCCACCTCTGAACACACATCCTTACTGGGGAACCTGAAAATCCAGATCATGGGAGGAAAAGTTGAAACTTACCTAGAGCTGAAATGAATTTAGAGAGCTGAGCAAAATATAAAAATAGGAGAAGCAGCAGGAAGAGCCCTATAGGTACTCCTGGTCCTCAGAGAAGCCCAGGGAAGTCATTTCTGACTTTCTCTCAACAGAGGTCTTTGGGGAGGACAGCCAGTGGAATTGGGAAAGGGCCACAGGGAGAAAGAGACATCCATGTAAACTTTGTAATAATTTCAACAGAGCACACATTTTCCTGGGCAGAATCCGGGGGTGTGAACAGGAAGTGCAGATAGGAGCACAGAAGTCACAACACACAGGAAGGGGTAAGGCCTGAAATCCTGCCTTGCCTTCTCAGTGGGTAGGCTTGTGGCATGGGGCAAGATCTCAGCCCTGTGCAGCAGAGGCCTGGGTATAAATTTGGCTCTGCTAACTGTTGAGGGAGCACGGCAGGTGTGAGATTGGCCTTACCACTTGCATGGATGCTGGGTGAGGCCTGTCACTGATGGCTTTTCCCCACTTTTTGGGCAACCTGAACAAAGCAGCAGAGGCAGTCATAATCCCCTTGGGAACATAACTCCATTGGCCTAAGAACCACTCCCATCCGCCACAGTAGCTGCAGCAAGCCCCATCCAAGGACAGTCTGAGCTCAGACATGCTTAGCCCTGCTCCCACCTGATTGTCTTCCTCTATCTAACCCGGTAGCCGAAGACAAAAGACATAAAGTTTGGGGAGCACTATGGCCTTGTCCATAACCTGAGAAACCCAAACACTTATCCGGATGCTGTTAGGGCAAAGTTGTATCCCCCTAGACTACCATAGCTGGTGCTCTCTTGAAAGAGCCACCACCTGGCTAGAGGTCAACCAACTAAAGCCATTACAGCAACTCATAACAGAACAACCCTGCTCCAAGGAAGGAGAAAACGGCAACTAATTTCACTGCCTGTAAAATCCTGTCGAGCCAGAGGTCCTGAGTCTGTCCATGTGACAAATTCCCTGCTAGTATAACCAGCATTTGAGGAAATGAGCACAGTAAACAAAACTACAAACAAGGACTCTCACAGAGTAAGATTCACCACCCTGCTACCTCCACCAGAACAGGTGCTGGTATCCGCAGCTGACAGACCTGAAGATGGGTCACATTACAGGACTTTTTGTAGATACTCCCCAGTACCAGCCCAGAGCCTGGTAGTTCCACAGGGCAGCTAATCTCAGAAGAGTAATAATAATCACTGCAGTCTGGCATTCAAGAAGCTTCATCCCAAGGGGTAGGGGGAGAGCACCACATCAGGGGATCACCCCATGTGATAAAAGATTCTGAACAGCAGCCCTTGAGTCTCAGACCTTCTATTTGACATAGTCTACCCAAATGAGAAGGAACCAGGAAAACAATTTTGGTAATATGACAAAATAAGTTTCTATTACATTCCCAAACAATCACACTAGCTCACCAGCAATGGATCCAAACCAAGAGGAAATTTCTAAATTGCCCGAAAAAAAAAAAAAATCAGAAGAATTCAAGGTTGCCATCTGAGATAATAAGCTACTCAAGGAGGCATCAGAGAAAGGTGAAAAACAACTTAAAGGAATATATATATATAAAAAAAAATACAGATGAAAAAATCTCCAGAGAAATAGATATCATAAATAAAAAACAATCACAACTTCTGGAAATGAAAGTCACACTTAAAGAAATGCAAACTACACTGGAAAGTTTCAATAGTAGACTTGAACAAGTATAAGAAAGGACTTCAGAGCTCAAAAACAAGGCTTTTGAATTAACCCAATCCAACAAAAACAAAGAAAAAAGAAATTAAAAAAATGAACGAAGCCCCCAGGAAGTTTGGGATTACGTTAGACTACTAAACGTAAGAATACTTGGTGTTCCTGAGGAAAAACAGAAATCTAAAAGTTTGCAAAACTTATTTGAGGGAATAATCAAGAAGACTTCCCTGGCATTGATAGAAATAGAGACATCCAAACAAAAGAAGCTCAAAGAACACCCAGAAAATTCATCACGAAAAGATTATGACCTAGGTACATAGTCATCACGTTATCTAAGGTCAAGAAGAAGGAAAGAATCTTAAGAGACATGAGGCAAAAGCATCAGGTAACCTATAAAGGAAAACCTATCAGAGTAACAGCAGATTTCTCAGCAGGAACCCTACAAGCTAGAAGGGATTGGGATCCTATCTTTAGCCTTCTTAAACAAAATAATTATCAGCCAAGTGTTGTGTATCCAGAGAAACAAAGCTTCATAATTGAAGGAGATATAAAGTATTTTTCAGACAAACAAAAGCTGAGGGAATTCACTGCTACCAAGCCAGCACTATAAGAGCTGCTGAAAGGAGCTCAAAATATTGAAACACAACCATAACATATACCAAAAATGACCTCCTTAAAGCATAAATCTCACAGGGCCTATACAACAATAACACAATGAAAAAAGAAAAACCAAGGTATTCTGGCAACAACTAGCATGATGAATAGAATAGTACCTCATGTCTCAATACTAATGTTTAATTTAAATGACCTAAATTCTCCACTTAAAAGATAGAGAATGGCAGAATGGATAAGAACTTACCAACCAAGTATCTGCTGTTTTCAAGAGACTCACCTAACACATAAGGACTCACATAAAGTTAAGGCAAAGAGGTGAAAAAAGATATTCCATGCAAATTGTCACCAAAAGCAAGCAGACATAGCTATTCTTATAACAGACACAACAGACTGAAGAATATACATTCTATTCATCAGCACATTGTATATTCTCCAAGACAGACCATTCGATAGGCTACAAAACAACTCTCAATAAATTTAAGAAAATTAAAATATATCACATACGCTCTCAGACCGCAGTGGAATAAAATTTGAAATCAACTCCAAAAGGAACCCTCAAAACCATGCAAGTAAATGGAAATTAAATAATCTACTTCTGAATGATCTTTGGGTCAACAATGACATCAAGATGTAAATTTAAAAAATTATTTTAACTGAATGAAAATTGTGACACAACCTGTCAAAACCACTGGGATACAACAAAAATGGTGCTAAGAGGATAGTTCATAACATTAAATGCCTGCATAAAAACGTCTGAAAGAGCACAAATATACAATCTAAGGTCACACCTCAAGGCACTAGAGAAATAAGAACAAAGCCAAACCCTGAGAAGAAAAGAAATAACAAAGATAAGAGCAGAACTAAATGAAATCAAAACAAAAAAATACAAAAGATAATAAAAAAAACTTTTATTGGTTCTTTGAAAAGATAAACAAATTGATAGACCATTAGTGAGATTAATCAAGAAAAGAAGAGAGAAGATCCAAATAAGCTCAATTAGAAATGAAACTGGAGATATTACTACCAATACACAGAAATGCAAAGGATCATTCAAGGATAACATGAACACCTTTATATGCACAACCTAGAAAACTTAGAGGAAATGGATAAATTCCTGGAAAGATACAACCCTCCTAGATTAAACTAAGAAGAAATAGACACCCTGAGAAGACCAATTACAAGCAGCAAGATTGAAATGATAATAGAAAAATCGTCAAAAAAAGTCAAAGATTAGAGAAATTCCCAGCTGGATTATATCAAATATTCAAAGAATAATTGGTACCAATACTACTAAACTATTCCAAAAGGCAGAGGAAGACGGAATCTTCCCTAAATCATTCTATGAAGTCAGTATCACCCCAATAATAAAACCCAGGAAAAGACATAACAAAAAGGAAAACTACAGACCAATATCTCTGATGAATGTAGATGCAAAAATTCTCAACAAAAATACTAGCTAACTGAATCCGACAGCATATCAAAAAGATAATCCATCATGATCAAGTGGGTTTTCTACCAGGGATCCAGGGAGGATTTAACACATGCAAGTCAATAAATGTAATACATCACATAAACAGAATGAAAAACAAAAATTATATGACCATCTCAATAGACACAGGAAAAGCATTTGACAAAATACTATATCTCTTTATTATTAAAACCCTCAGCAAAATAGATGTAGAAGGGACATACCTTAAGGTAATAATAGCCATCTATGACAAACCAACAGTCAACATTATACTGAACAGGGAAAGTTGAAAGCATTCCCACTGAGAACTAAAACAAGACAAAAAAAATGGCCACTTTTACCACTTCTATTCAACATAGTACTGGAAGCCCTAGCCAGAACAATCAGAAAAGAGAAAGAAATAACAGGCATCCAAATTGGTAAAGAGGAAGTCAAACTGTTGCTATTTGTTGATGACATGATGGTATACCTAGAAAACCCTGATGACTCATCCAAAAAGCTCCTAGATGTGGTAAATAAATTCAACAAAGTTTCGGGATACAAAATCAATGTACAAAAACCAGTAGCACTGCTATACACCAACAGCAACCAAACTGAGAACCAAATAAGGAACTCAACCTCCTTCACAATTGCTGCCAAAAATAATAAAATAAAATAAAACACCAATCCCTGGTGGGAGGTTGAGGCAAGTGGACCACTTGAGGTCAGGAGTTCAAGACCAGTCTGGCCAAGGTGGCGAAACCATGTCTCTACAAAAAAATCCAAAAAGTAGCCCAGCATGGTGGTACACACCTGTTACCACAGCTACCTGGGAGGCTGAGAGAGGAGAATCAATTGAACTCGACAGGAGGAGGTTTCACTGAGCCAAGATTGTACCACAGAGATCAGAACAGAGGCCTCAGGCAAGACCTATTGACGAGTCTTTCCATTTTAATTTCTAGTCACTGTCCCATTATTAGTTAGTATCACCAATCTGATTTTGTTTCCTCTACCATGTTTTTTCTTGCCTTTATAATTTTTATTGTATGTTTTACCTAGGAAATGATCATTTTGCTTTGCTTTCCACTGACAATGACCTAATATTTATTTCATAAATGTTTTTTCAGTCCCATTTGCTACAATTCCAATTCCCCTGATTATTCTCAAACAGGGATTTATATTCTTTGACACTGTTTCCTTGGTATACTATAGTTATTTGTACACTTTTTATAATTAACTGCTTGTGCCAGTTTTTCTTACTGAACTGTGATATTCTTGAGTGCATTGGAGGCATAATATTTTTCATTTATCTTTCTAGAAACTGGACATTTTTTGACATTTAATAGAAATATAATACAAATGTATTAGTTTTAGGTGATGAAATAGATTAATGAATTATTCTGTCAATTTGATAAGAGGTTATGTTTAACATTTCAAAAATTATTTTTCAAGCCGTATTTTCCCTAAAATTAACAAGGGCTTCTTAATATCCCATTCTTATACAAGGCAACTTGCATTTTCTACCATTTTTACCTCAGGGGTTTTGATGTTACAAACTTTAGAACTATAATAATTACTTAGACATAAATTCATGTTCAAAAGCAATTGTCTGTCATTTCTGGCCATGTGTTTACTTATTATAACCTTAGCTTAGTTCTCTTTTTTTGGCAATCTGGATGGAATCATTACATACTTTTGCCAAGGTTACATAGGCTGGAGCTGTATCATATCTGATAATTTTTGACATAACTTTCTCACATGAAATACAATCTGGCTATATATATAAAATGTTTCAGTCAAAACTTCCCACTTAATCATTTTCCAGCATTTAGCATTAGAAAGGAATTTTATGTCACATTGATATTTATCTGGAAGATAGCTTATTATTATTTAATTCAAAACTATTGATAGGAAATCCATGTGTATATATTGTATTATTAAATTATTTTCAAGTAAGAAAGCCCTTTATAGCTGAATATTCATATCATAGCTCAAAATATTTTCCAGAAAATTTAGTGTCAATTTTTACTAGTTGTTCAGGCTTCATTGTTAGGTGCATATCTGTAATTCTTAGGTGAGATAACCACTTTTTATTATTTACTTCTACACTTATCTTCTCCTCTTAATTTCTATCTACCATTCCTCTGATTTTTTAGGCCCTTTGTTCTTAATTTTGTGGTCTACACCACTATTGTAAAGTATGCATTGCTTTCTCTTTTGTCCATTTCTTCTAAAAATCTTGGCTGAGCTATCATGAGTTTATTGTTCTTTTAATCCATATTTATTTTGCACAGCACCCTTGCCATTTGGGACTGCTATCCTTTTATTTCAATGTGTTCTTTCTGTTGCTGGTTTATTGGGTCATGTTTGGTGTAATTTCTATTACCACATCAGATAATATTTGTTAGTCAGCATAGAGTCACAAGGCCACATCTAGCTTAAATAGCTTAGAAATGTTTTATTGTTGTTTTTTATTTCACTGGTTTTTTTTTTTTTTTTGGTTGGCAATTGCAACCAAATAAAAACTGGGATTTACAATACAATAGAAGAATAGATATCAGGGCAAAGCTTCCAAATATAGGGAGAAAATACATTTGTTATACAGAAGCTTTATCAATTTAAACAGAAGCGGGAAGGAAGAAATGAACAGGTAAATAAAAAGAAGATTTAAAAGGCACAAGATAGTGGGTGAAAAAATAAATTCTCATCTATCTAGTAAGATGTGCCACTTTAAATCTTCTAAAGGCTGATGCTTACCTAAATTGGCACACAAGTAATGTCTTTGAAGAATGAAAAGGAGGCTTTTACAGAATAAGGGCTTACCAAAGTGAATGGAGAAAAGGGAGCAAGAACTGAATTGGAGGGGAGGTTACTGTGTACTTCTGAGAAAAGTCGTGGTCCTTGTCGATACCTCATGTGAGAGATGTCTATTGGAGGAGTCCTGTGTTAGGCATCCACGGCTTAGCAATAGTATACTGTGCAGTTATTGCTGGTAACAGTCCAGGGGAAGTGTAACTTTGGCATGAATGATATGGTGGATCTTAATTTGCAGCAGTTGGAAATAATCAATCAACTGTGTTGCCATGACAACTTCCAATAAGTCTGCTCAGCAGCCTCTATGACTGCAATATATCCAATCAACATAAACAGAATAAAGTAACCATTAAAATACAGATTATAAATTCAGCTAAATAAATATACTTATATACTTATATTTTATATTAAATAGGTAGAACTAATAAATGACACAGAATTATTTATATAGAGATGTTTAAAATATTTATATGAAGAGTATTTATAAACAAATATTTTTTGTGTACCAAAAAATTATATAAAGCATGAAGTAACAATATCACAAAATTCATAAGGCCATAAAACAAGAGCTTTTAACATGCCTCCATCAGAAATGGCTATATATTATAGTAAACACTAGCAAAAATTAACAAGTATGTATGTATGGATGTGTGTGTGTGGGCGGGGGGGGTATTCACACATATATAATTCACATATAACTCACCAATACATAGAGACCATACAAGATTTTCAAGTATAAATTGTATGAATGAATTCTTTAAAATCTAAGTTAAAAATTCAATGAAGTTTTAATAATTTGATCATATAGGTAAGTTCTCTGACTAAAGTGCAACTAAACAATTTATAGATGTTTAACTTATATAAAATATATTTAAAATTTTTTATTTTTAATGAAAAAAGTGAAATTCAAAATGACCATTTTATCTAAGGGAAATAACTATAAAATACGAAATATTTAGAGTGAAATATAATGAAAGTACTACCTAACAAAACTTGTTGAATGCAGCCAAATTAGTAAACAGATCAATTTATGATGTCAAATGCATTTAAAACTAGTAAATTATACATTAAAATGAAAAATAGAAAGAAAGAAAGCCTAAAGAAAATCAAAGGTTGTATACAAAATGTGTATAAATTAATGAAATGAGAAACAAAAGAAATATTTATGAAGGCACCCAGAAAAATAAGATTTTGTGTTTTACAAAATTTTGACTTCATGAAGAATTTTGTAAAATGATATATCTGAAATGTTGTTTCTTCAAATTTTTAAGAAACAGCTTGGATATCACTCCCATGTAACACAGGGTTTGGTGGACTTTGTGTTTGTGTTGCTGCTGTGTTGTTTTATTTTTTTTTTTTTTTGAGATGATGTTTTGCTCTTATTTCCCAGGGTGGAGAGCAATGGTGCAATCTGGGCTCACTGCAACCTCCGCCACCCGAGTTAAAGTGATTCTTCTGCCTCACCCTCCTGAGTAGCTGAGATTACAGGAACCCGCCACTATGCACAGCTATTTTTTGTATTTTTAGTAGAGACAGGATTTCACCATGTTGGCCAGGCTGATCTCTCAAACTCCTGACCTCAGGTGATCTGCCCGCCTCAGCCTCTCTAAGTGCTGGGATTACAGGCGTGAGGCACCACACCAGGGGCTTTGTTAAACATTTAATAAAGCTATAATGGGTTTCCAATTTAGATTTACTCTATGAGAGATGTGTCAAAGACCAATTATCTTCACAAATAGGAACAAGCTGCAGATACCCAGAAGCTACATTGTTTGAGTCTTTTGGGATAATCATTTTTTATGTTTCTAAATTTCCCAGTTCACTTCAAAATAGTTGTACAATTTTACATTTCCACTTTTTTTGTACGAAATTTCTTCAAGAATTATTAAATTTGAAGTATGAGTTAATATTTTTGCTAAATAGAGATCATGAAGGAAAAATAATTGCATGGCTTTTTAGTGTCCCATAACTACAATCTGCCTATTAGTTTGTGGATCCTGCCTTAATCTAGAGCTGGCCTTAACTATATAAGAGGTTCTAGACTTACAGTGGTATAATCACGCAGAAAAGAATAACACATATGTAGGATTTATATTCTTCATGTAAAGAAAAGTTTTAGTACTTCATGTATTGAACATATCAGAATAGGCAAGGTTATATTACACAAAGAAACATCTCTAATATCTCTTCGGTTTGCCACATGGATAATTTACTTACTATTCATGCTACATACTCTTTGATGATCAAAAGAGGTACTCTTTTCACTATATCAAGGAACAAGGAAACAATTTCAAACGTTGCCAGCTTCTATGCTGGAAAGATCACTTTAAATGATAGGACCTTAACAGTTTGAACAAGTCAAATGGCCCACCCAATCACAAAAAGTCCAAGAAGTTATCCTACCTCATGTACAGAAGAGAAAAGAACAGGAAACATTTGGTTAATAGCTCTATGGATCACCAGAGTTCTTTCTTTTTATAATTGGATATTTAATTCACTTCCCTTCTTGCTTACAGAGTAAATCTCATTCCAAAATGAAATTACATTGAACGTTTAGCACCTGACAGAAACAAATTCTTGTTTTCTTTTTTTTTTTGTCTCACTCTCTTCTCAAACTCATTTTTTTTTTTAATTTTATTATTATTATACTTTAAGTTTTAGGGTACATGTGCACAACATGCAGATTTGTTACAATTGTATACATGTGCCATGTTGGTGTGCTGCACCCATTAACTCGTCATTTAGCATTAGGTATATCTCCTAATGCTATCCCTCCCCCATCCCCCCACCCCACAACAGTCACCTGAGTGTGATGTTCCCCTTCCTGTGTCCATGTGTTCTCATTGTTTAATTCCCACCTATGAGTGAGAACATGCAGTGTTTGTTTTTTTGTCCTTGGGATAGTTTGCTGAGAATGATGGTTTCCAACTTCATCCATATCCCTACAAAGGACATGAACTCATCATTTTTTATGGTTGCATAGTATTCCATAGTGTATATGTGCTACATTTTATTAATCCAGTCTATCATTGTTGGACATTTGGGTTAGTTCCAAGTCTTTGCTATTGTGAACAGTACCGCAATAAACATACGTGTGCATGTGTCTTTAGAGCAGCATGATTTATAATCCTTTGGGTATATACTCAAGTAATGGGATGGCTGGGTCAAATGGTATTTCTAGTTCTAGATCCATGAGGAATTGCCACATCGACTTCCATAATGGTTGAACTAGTTTACAGTCCCACCAACAGTGTAAAAGTATTCCTGTTTCTCCACAGCCTCTCCAGCACCTGTTGCTTCCTGACTTTTTAATGATCGCCATTCTAACTGGTGTGAGATAGTATCTCATTGTGGTTTGGATTTGCATTTCTCTGATGGCCAGTGATGATGAGCATTTTTTCATGTGTTTTTTGGCTGCATAAATGTCCTCCTTTGAGAAGTGTCTGTTCACATTCTTTGCCCACTTGTTGATGGGGTTGTTTGTTTTTTTCTTCTAAATGTGTTTGAGTTCATTGTAGATTCTGGATATCAGCCCTTTGTCAAATAAGTAGATTGCAAAAATTTTCTCCCATTCTGTAGGTTGCCTGTTCACTCTGATGGTAGTTTCTTTTGCTGTGCAGAAACTCTTTAGTTTGATTAGATCCCATTTGTCAATTTTGGCTTTTGTTGCCATTGCTTTTGGTGTTTTAGTCATGAAGTCCTTGCCCGTGCCTCTGTCCTGAATGGTATTGCCTAGGTTTTCTTCTAGGGTTTTTATGGTTTTAGGTCTAACATGTAAGTCTTTAATCCATCTTGAATTAATTTCTGTATAAGGTGTAAGGAAGGGATCCAGTTTCAGCTTTCTACATATGGCTAGCCAGTTTTCCCAGCACCGTTTATTAAATAGGGAATCCTTTCCCCATTGCTTGTTTTTGTCAGGTTTGTCAAAGATCAGACAGTTGTAGATATGTGACATTATTTCTGAGGGCTCTGTTCTGTTCCATTGATCTATATCTCTGTTTTGGTACCAGTATCATGCTGTCTTGATTACTGTAGCCTTGTAGTATAGTTTGAAGTCAGGTAGTGAGATGCGTCCAGCTTTGTTCTTTTGGCTTAGGATTGACTTGGCAATGCAGGCTCTTTTTTGGTTCCATATGAACTTTAAAGTAGTTTTTTCCAATTCTGTGAAGAAAGGCATTGGTAGCTTGATGGGGATGGCATTGAATCTAAAAATTACCTTGGGCAGTATGGCCATTTTCACGATATTGATTCTTCCTATCCATGAGCATGGAATGTTCTTCCATTTGTTTGTATCCTCTTTTATTTCGTTGAGCAGTGGTTTGTAGTTCTTGAAGAGGTCCTTCATGTCCCTTGTAAATTGGATTCCTAGGTATTTTATTGTCTGTGAAGCAATTGTGAATGGGAGTTCACTCATGATTTGGCTCTCTCTTTGTCTGTTATTGGTGTATAAGAATGCTTGTGATTTTTGTACATTGATTTTTTTCCTGAGACTTTGCTGAAGTTGCTTATCAGCTTAAGGAGATTTTGGGCTGAGACGATGGGGTTTTCTAGATATACAATCATGTCATCTGCAAACAGGGAAAATTTGACTTCCTCTTGTCCTAATTGAATGCCCTTTATTTCCTTCTCCTGCCTAATTGCCCTGGCCAGAACTTCCAACACTATGTTGAATAGGAGTGGTGAGAGAGGGCATCCCTGTCTTGTGCCAGTTTTCAAAGGGAATGCTTCCAGTTTTTGCCCATTCAGTATGATATTGGCTGTGGGTTTTTCATAGATAGCTCTTATTATTTTGAGAGACGTCCCATCAATACCTAATTTATTGAGAGTTTTTAGCATGAAGTGTTGTTGAATTTTGTCAAAGGCCTTTTCTGCATCTATTGAGATAATCATGTGGTTTTTGTCTTTGGTTCTGTTTATATGCTGGATTACATTTATTGATTTGCATATGTTGAACCAGCCTTGCATCCCAGGAATGAAGCCCACTTGATCATAGTGGATAAGCTTTTTGATGTGCTGCTGGATTTGGTTTGCCAGTATTTTATTGAGGATATTTGCATCAATGTTCATCAAGGATATTGGTCTAAAATTCTCTCTTTTTTTGTGTCTCTGCCCAGTTTTGGTATCAGGATGATGCTGGTCTCATAAAATGAGTTAGGGAGGATTCCCTCTTTTTCTATTGATTGGAATAGTTTCAGAAGGAATGGTACCAGCTCCTCCTTGTACCTCTGGTAGAATTCGGCTGTGAATCCATCTGGTCGTGGACATTTTTGGTTGGTAAGCTATTAATGATTACCTCAATTTCAGAGCCTGTTATTGGTCTATTCAGAGATTCAACTTCTTCCTGGTTTAGTCTTGGGAGGGTGTATGTGTCGAGGAATTTATCCATTTCTTCTAGATTTTCTAATTTATTTGCATAGAGGTGTTTATAGTATTCTCTGATGGTAGTTTGTATTTCTGTGGGAATGGTGGTGATATCCCCTTTGTCATTTTTTATTGCGTCTATTTGATTCTTCTCTCTTTTCTTCTTTATTAGTCTTGCTAGTGGTCTTTCAATTTTGTTGATCTTTTCAACAAACCAGCTCCTGGATTCATTGATTTTTTGAAGGGGTTTTTGTGTCTCGATTTCCTTCAGTTCTGCTTTGATCTTAGTTATTTCTTGCCGTCTGCTAGATTTTGAATGTGTTGGCTCTTGCTTCTCTAGTTCTTTTAATTGTGTTGCTAGGGTGTCAATTTTAGATCTTTCCTGCTTTCTCTTGAGGGCATTTAGTACTATAAATTTTGTTCTACACACTGCTTTGAATGTGTCCCAGAGATTCTGGTATGTTGTGTCTTTGTTTTCGTTGGTTCCAAAGAACATCTTTATTTCTGCCTTCATTTCATTATGTACCCAGTAGTCATTCAGGAGCAGGTTGTTCAGGTTCCATGTAGTTGAGCAGTTTGAGTGAGTTTCTTAATCCTGATTTCTAGTTTGATTGCACTGTGGTCTGAGAGACAGTTTGTTATAATTTCTGTTCTTTTACATTTGCTGAGGAGTGCTTTACTTCCAACTATGTGGTCAATTTTGGAACAGGTGTGTTGTGGTGCTGAAAATAATGTATATTCTGTTGATTTGGGGTGGAGAGTTCCGTAGATGTCTATTAGGTCCGCTTGGTGCAGACCTGAGTTCAATTCCTGGATATCCTTGTTAACTCTCTGTCTCGTTGATCTGTCTAATGTTGACAGTGGGGTGTTAAGGTCTCCCATTATTATTGTGTGGGAGTCTAAGTTTCTTTGTAGGTCACTAAGGACTTGCTTTATGAATCTCAGTGCTCCTGTATTGGGTGCATATATATTTAGGATAGTTAGGTCTTCTTGTTGAATTGAACCCTTTACCATTATGTAATGGCCTTCTTTGTCTCTTTGGTCTTTGTTGGTTTAAGGTCTGTTTTATCCGAGACTAGGATTGCAACCCCCGCCTTTTTTTGTTTTCCATTTGCTTGGTAGATCTTCCTCCATCCTTTTATTTTGAGCCTATTTGTGTCTCTGCACGTGAGATGGGTTTCCTAAATACAGCACAGTGATGGGTCTTGACTCTTTATCCAATTTGCCAGTCTGTGTCTTTTAATTGGAGCATTTAGCCCATTTACATTTAAGGTTAATATTGTTATGTGTGAATTTGATCCTGTCATTATGATGTTAGCTGGTTATTTTGCTCGTTAGTTGATGCAGTTTCTTCCTAGCCTCGATGGTCTTTACAATTTGGCATGTTTTTGCTATGGCTGTTACCAGTTGTTCCTTTCCATGTTTAGTGCTTCCTTCAGGAGCTCTTTTAGGGCAGGCCTGGTGGTGACAAAATCTCTCAGCATTTGCTTGTCTGTAAAGTATTTTATTTCTTCTTCACTTATGAAGCTTAGTTTGGCTGGATATGAAATTCTGGGTTGAAAATTCTTTTCTTTAAGAATGTTGAATATTGGCCCCCACTCTCTTCTGGCTTGTAGAGTTTCTGCTGAGAGATCAGCTGTTAGGCTGATGGGCTTCCCTTTGTGGGTAACCCGACCTTTCTCCCTGGCTGCCCTTAACATTTTTTCCTTCATTTCAACTTTGGTGAACCTGACAATTATGTGTCTTGGAGTTGCTCTTCTCGAGGAGTATCTTGGTGGCGTTCTCTGTACTTCCTGAATTTGAATTTTGGCCTCCCTTGCTAGATTGGGGAAGTTCTCCTGGATAATATCCTGCAGAGTGTTTTCCAACTTGGTTCCTTTCTCCCCGTCACTTTCAGGTACACCTATCAGACGTAGATTTGGTGTTTTCACATAGTCCCATATTTCTTGGAGGCTTTGTTCATTTCTTTTTATTCTTTTTTCTCTATACTTCTCTTCTCACTTCATTTCATTCATTTCGTCTTCCATCGCTGATACCCTTTCTTCCAGTTGATTGCATCAGCTACTGAGGCTTGTGCATTTGTCACGTAGTTCTCATACCGTGGTTTTCAGCTCCATCAGGTCCTTTAAGGGCTTCTCTGCATTGGTTATTCTAGTTAGCCATTTGTCTAATTTTTTTTCAAGGTTTTGAACTTCTTTGCCATGGGTTCGAACTTCCTCCTTTAGCTCGTAGTAGTTTGATCTTCCGAAGCCTTCTTCTCTCATCTCGTCAGAGTCATTCTCTGTCCAGCTTTGTTCCATTGCTGGTGAGGAGCTGCATTCCTTTGAAGGAGGAGAGGCGCTCTGATTTTTAGAGTTTCCAGTTTTTCTGCTCTGTTTTTTCCCCATCTTTGTGGTTTTATCTACCTTTGGTCTTTGATGATGGTGACGTACAGATGGGTTTTTGGTGTGGATATCCTTTCTGTTTGTTAGTTTTCCTTCTAACAGTCAGGACCCTCAGCTGCAGGTCTGTTGGAGTTTGCCGGAGGTCCACTCCAGACCCTGTTTGCCTGGGTATCAGCAGTGGTGGCTGCAGAACAGTGGATATTGGTGAACTGCAAATGCTGCTGCCTGATCATTCCTCTGGAAGTTTTGTCTCAGAGGAGTACCCAGTGGTGTGAGGTGTCAGTCTGCCCCTACTGGGGGGTGCCTCCCAGTTAGGCTACTCGGGGGTCAAGGACCCACTTGAGGAGGCAGTCTGCCCATTCTCAGATCTCAAGCTGCATACTGGGAGAACCACTATTCTCTTCAAAGCTGTCAGACAGGGACATTTAAGTCTGCAGAGGTTACTGCTGCCTTTGTTTGTCTGTGCTCTGCCCCAGAGGTGGAGCCTACAGAGGCAGGCAGGCCTCCTTGAGCTGCGGTGGGCTCCACCCAGTTCGAGCTTCCCAGCCACTTTGTTTACCTACTCAAGCCTTGGCAATGGCAGGTGCCCCTGCCCCAGCCTCACTGCCACCTTGCAGTTTGATCTCAGACTGCTGTGCTAGCAGTGTGTGAGGCTCCATGGGCGTAGGACCCTCCGAGCCAGGTGCAGGATATAATCTCCTTGTGTGCCATTTGTTAAGCCAGTTGGAAAAGTGTAGTATTAGGTGGGAGTGACCCGATTTTCCAGGTGCTGTCTGTCACCCCTTTCTTTGACTAGGAAAGGGAATTCCCTGACCCCTTGTGCTTCTCAGGTGAGGTGATGCTTCACTCTGCTTTGGCTCACACACAGTGTGTTGCACCCACTGTCCTGCACCCACTGTCTGGCACTCCCCAGTGAGATGAACCCAGTACCTCAGTTGGAAATGCAGAAATCACCCATCTTCTGTGTCGCTCATGCTGGGAGCTGTAGACTGGAGCTGTTCCTATTCGACCATCTTGGCTCCACCCTCTAAATTCTCGTTTTCATGTCAAGTCTGGATGTAACTGCTCATGATCTGAAGAAATAGTGACTTTAAACATTTTGAATCTGCTTTTTAACTTATTCAGTGCAAAAAATTATATTAGTTATCTATTACTGAGTGACACATTACCTGAAACCATTTATATCTGCAGTTTCTGTATATCAGAAGTCTGGGCATGAGTTAAGTGGGTTTTCTGGTCTTGGTCTTGCAAGACAACAAGCTGTTGAACAAGACCTCAGTCACTTCAAGTTTGATGGAGGCAAGATCATCTTCTAAGGCCACTCAGTGATTGTTGGAAGGGTTCATTCCTTTTGGGTCATTGAACGGAAGGTATGGTGTGCTCTCAAGCTATTGGCTGGTGGCCTCTGTCTTTCATACTATGTGGGCCTCACCCTGAGGTAGGCATTAATATAGAATTTGGCTTCATGAGAGCCAGTAAGTGAAAGGATGAGACAGAGTGAAAGCCAGATGAAAGTCTTACTCTTCTATAATCTAATGTTGGAAGTGACATCCAAACATTTTTACCACTTGCTATTTGTTAGAAACAAGTCATTAGGCCCAGTCCACACACAAAGGGAGAAGATTTTTACAAGGGCGCGTGAACATTAGAAGGACACACAATATTTAGAGGCATTTTGAAACCACCTATCACAATGATAGAAAAACAGGATGATTTTGAAGAACACTCTTATTTTGGAAGGACAAAAGTAGAGACACAGAAGGTTTTTGGATTACAGGAATTAAAACTCTGGCTGGACAAATATAGCAAGAGACTTCCTGTACTTGGGGTGTAGGGTTGTTCCTTAATTAGACCTGTGCTATTATTTATTAGATGTGCTTCCCAATCCTTTGCTTTTGGTGGACCTTGGTAATGTCCTATTTCTTATGGGACTGTTCCTTTTCCATTTTTCTTCATGACCACATCAGTTTGGGGGCTGAGCAAATTTCTGAATCCCCTATCCTTAGAAACTTGGGAGACCAAGGGCAGTTTTTTGTCTTGGTCAAATAAAATATTAACAGAGGGTCATGATTGTTTTCTTAGTACAGTTTTCTGAAGATCTTAATAGTAGTTACACATCTTACTCTAGTTTTAGTTCCAAAAGCCACACGTGCAGTTATTTTCAACTTAATTACAGATACTTTGAGCCTTCCCTCATCCATTCTCTAAGCCATTTTGTCGAAATAAAAGGATTTTTGAGGCAAGGCTTTAATCTAGAGGTTTTAACAGTGAGTGAACTAATCACATCTTCATTTGATTTCTAAAAAATGGATGACATCTAATTGGACTTTGTTGTTCAGAGGCATTCTCAGTTTCCTACAAATGGTTTAAGAATGAGATGCCTCTCTTGTCTCTTCAAACACTGCAAGATCCCAGGTTTTGGTTCTCTCTCTAGTCCCTTTCATTCCTGTTTCAACCTGTGCTTATACATTTTTTGTAATACCTTGCCAAATGTAGCCAACAACAACTATTATGTGCTACTGTCTATTGTCCAGGTTCTTCTCCTAATGCTATGTTGCCATTAGGCACATTGTCTAATTTCTGTGTTATTGCAGAAGCAAATTTTAAAAGATGTTGCCCTACATGAGAGTGATTTCCATCCTTCTAGCATCTGATAATAGTTTCTTCACTATCGACTAACCAGTCCCTAAGCCAGTGCCACATATTTAGGGTTTTTAATGGTGTCACTCACTTCTAGTTATCGATATTTGCATAAGTAATGATAGAAGAGATTTATATGGTGCTAAGAAAAATTAAAAGATAAAAAGAACTTG
The DNA here is from genome assembly GCF_000001405.40 of Homo sapiens. Taxonomy (NCBI): domain Eukaryota; kingdom Metazoa; phylum Chordata; class Mammalia; order Primates; family Hominidae; genus Homo; species Homo sapiens. The sequence continues at coordinate 43,652,565 of NC_000004.12, read as the reverse complement.
GGGATTTAATTCAACAAGAGCTTATTATTCATCTGTTATATATGTTCATCATGGGTTGTCAAAAGGTCCCAATTGTTAGTCACTTGGGGACACAGGATAACAGAGCAGTAATAATTTTAAATGTCAGTAGTTGCTGTGAGAGAGGAAAGGATACTTCTTGTGTGATTGTACAATCTAGTAAATGTTCTGATCCAAAGGTGACACATGAAATTTTATAAGCTATAAAATCATAAAAGATCATGAAGGTCAATTCTGTCATCTTCCTAGAAGGGAAGAGAGCCAGAAATATTTGGTAAACAGTGCTGGTAACTACTAAACATATATTGTCTCATTTAATTGTCACATAACCACATGAAGTAGATACTAATTCACGGTTTAAGGGATGAAAAAATTAAGCAATGAAAGATGACATACATTCCTCAATGTCATGCAGTGTATTAGTAGGGTTCTCCAGAGAGACATGACTAATAGGATAGATATATATATGAAAGGAAGTCTATTAAGGAGTATTGACTCACATGATCACAAGGTGAAGTCCCACAATAGGCAGTCTGCAAGGTGAGGAGCAAGGGAACCAATCCGAGTCCCAAAACCTCAAAAGTAGGGAAGCTGACAGTGCAGTCTTCAGGCTGTGTCTGAAGGCCTGAAAGCCCCTAGCAATCCACTGGTGTAGGTCCAAGAGTGCAAAAGCTGAAGAACTTGGAGTCTTATGTTCGAGGGCAGGAAGCATCCAGCACAGGAGAAAGATGAAGGCCAGAAAATTTAGCCAGTCTAGTCTTTCCACGTTCCTCTGTCTGCTTTTATCAAGGCCGCACTGGCAGCTAATTAGATAATGCCCATCCAGATTGAGGGTGCGTTGGCTTCTTCTAGTCCACTGACTCAGATGTTAATCTCCTTTGGCAACAGCCTCATGGACACTCCCAGAAACAATACTTTGCATCCTTCAATCCAATCAAGTTGACCCTCAATATTAACCATCACATGCAGGTAGTACATAGTAGGGCAAGGACTGGAACTTAGCCAGTTCTGCTGCAGAGCTGGCTTCCTTCACCAGTACTCTATGGTACGTTGCAACAGTGAGAGAAAGGTGGAGAGAAGGGGCCTGAAATTCTACTTGATTAAAATCAGAGTTGCATTATGCCACTATTGCACATGAATTATTTTTAGGTCATTACTTCTTGTAAACTCGTTTATAGTAGTTGCCAGAAATAATATCAAGAAACCTATTTTACCTTAGCCTTATAAATAGCTCTCAAAATGTTTAGTTTATACTCCTGCTTTCTGATTTTTGAAAGTGAGCTAAGAATGTGTATCAAGTGCTGCTTGCTTTGGAATCACACTCTTGCAAGTAATCATTATTTGTACTCTTAAATCTAATCATGAAGAAGAGCTTTTATTGCTATGAAGTTAATGTCCTTAGTTGAAATAAAAGAGTTTCATGGGCACTAATTTTTATTTTCTTTTGTTTATACTTTTGTCTTGGAATCAAATATTTAAAGAAACCAAGTTGTCTCAAATCAGGATGATTCTTTATGCTAAACAAAACTATCCATAAAATAAGGAAATAGGAATAAAGGATAAAACAAATTAGGATAATAAAACATTATAAATATTTGTGTGGAAAGCATAGAAAAAGGAAATGACAGTAATACAAAGTGCAAAATGACAAAATGACAAAAATTTATGGAAGGCAGGAAAAGAAATATAAATGAAACTTAAGTAAAACTATTTAATAAATAATATAAATAAAAGTTCTTGTCAACCACTAATTTTCTGCTACATTTGCCTAAACAAATAGAAGAAACAGTATTTAGTAGCTTACAGAAGCTTTAAAATTTTATTTTTCCCATTTTTTAAAAAGAATTTTATTTGCTTCTGGATAAAATGTCATCAAAATTAATGCTCATAACATCCATATTTAACTTTCCAGTTGAATCAATGCTGTCAAGTGTCCTTGTGCCAACTTTCTTGAACTGTTCAATAAATCTGTCATAAAAGGATGATCTAAAATCTGCAACAGATGCATTGATCTAATCAGTTTCAGCAAAATACCCCATTTAGTGTCACAGACAGTTCAACATCCAAAACATTGGCATTTAGTAGACCAGAAAGCTGATGTACAGGAAACACTTTTTTACATGTAGCAAAAGCAGAAACCAAAAAAGCATCCTTCAATATACAGTAGTTACTGTAGATATGGTGTAAAATATTTTCTACTACAGACACAAACATTGCTCAAATAAAATTAGAAGGTATGCTCCTCAGATAGGAAGGCAATAGTCTCTAGCTGTGTTATAAAACATCACACCAGAAAATAATAATATTGAAAAGTAACCCAAAATTTAACAGTCTTATGCTTTCAGATAAATATAGAATCCCTATTAAAAAATGCTTATGATGAATGTTCAGTTGAATAAAAATCAGAAAACCAAGGCCCTGTTCATAACTGCAATTCTGCTTACCTGGGTAATCTTAAACATGGCCCTTAAATGCTAGCAAAAGTAGTGAACTGGGCTATTTATTAGACAAGGAATTTTAAAATGTTAATCAATAAGTATTATAGAATTAATAGAATTAATAAGCAATACCAAAAATATTGCTCTAAGAAAGAAAAAGTTAAGTAATTTGTGTGCTACACCAGTTTGTGTGTGTGTGTGTGTGTCTGTGTGCCTGTGCATACATGGTGTTGAATAATTCTTGTTTCTGCTTTGGGAAGATGGAACAGAATGATATTGTGGGTGCTTCCAAAAATAAAGCTGAATAATAAAACTGAAAAGATAGTCAATTGTATTCTATCAAAATGTAATTTTCAAATGAATAAAAACATGATTATCATACAAATGCAAATGAACACATATAAAAAATTTAACTCATTATTAATAAGAGAACCAGTGAAATGGGATATTTGCAGACATGTCTAAAAATCTTAAAATAAGATTGCTAGGTTAGAAGAAAATGATTAACATTTTATACAGCAAGCAAAATCATCAGCTTTGATGTCATCTTCTTTATCAGTCAGAAATCAAGTTAACATGTATCTTTGCATTATATGGGCTGTATCACATAGTAAATCCTAAAGTTTTAAGAACATTTTCATTCTTCTAGAGCATTAAATATTCCTCAGACAGTAAAAAAAAAAAAACATATTATTCCAGAGAAACAAGTTAGCATTGAATATGGCTTTTTCTCTGTAGAATTTGCCCTATGGCATTTGTGGAGCACCTAGATATCAATTGACTGTGTGTAGAAAAAAGAACACACAAAGTCAGGGACTTGAGCTTGGTTAGAGACTGGACTGGAAATCTCTGTATAACTACATATTGACTTGAGATAAGAAAGCAATCTCTCCTTGGAGAAGGAAATTTTGAATGCACGCTTCTATCAATGTTGAATGGTGAAGGGGGAAGATGACAAAAATTTTTCTGGAGTTTTCCCAATGACAAACCTATACTGACAAAGATTTGGGGCCAGAATTTATATTATCTATGGGCTTAGAAAGAAATTTGAAAATTGGTTTGATGTTGTTATTTCTATTCTTAGGAGTCTTTGAGAAATAACCAAAAATGCTCTTTGGAAGAAACTGTTTTAATTCAGTACTTAGGAATTCCCACTTAAAAAGTTCCAAATTATGAGTTTATATATTGTTTTTAAATCACAAATTTTTGTAATGTCCATTTAAACAGTAATAAGAAGAATCAGCCAACTACAGAATCAGACAAGTAAAGACTGAAGATAATACAGTGAATCAAAACAATTTAAAGTATGTTTGTTTGATATGTGTTAGAAAAATAAAGAGCGAACAAAATATGAACAAAGCGTCTATCAAAATGACAAGGCAGAATTGAAGGTAAATCAACTATTATTTCTAGAAATGAAAAATAGATAAGACATCGCTGATAAAAGGAAAAAGTAAATACAGCATCCTGGAGAACAGATTTCAGGAAAATTACACAGAAGGCAGCACAGACAGACAAAGAGAAGGAAAATTTGAGAAAGTAGTTAATAACACGGAGAACAAAATTAAAATTTCTAACACAAAGCCACAGGATCCTCAAGAACATATGACAACATTAAAAATTATATAATGGCTGATAGTTTTCTGTAATTGATGAAAAAGCCTTATTGTCTGAACTAGGAAGATCATGAATCCCAACCAAGAAAGATAAAAAGATATTCACACATACACACGTGGTAATGAAACTGAGGTTTGTCAAAGTTATGGAGGTCTGGGAAGTCAGAAATACATGTCAGATTGCCCACAGATGAATTAAAATTAGACTGATATAGTTGATTTAATAAGTTTAGAAGGCAAGGTATTGTAAAATTTATTTTGAAAGCACTACAGGAAAGATATCTGGTAACAACCAAAACTTCTATCACATTGGCAATGTATATTCTACAAAAATGATCAAATTATAAAGCTACATATAAAATTTTGCTACTAATTGATTTCAATGAAGAAACTGCTAAAGTTCATATGTGAAAAACAAACATAACCATAAGAGAAAAATAAGTATAACATAATGTGGAAAATTTTCTTCCAAGTGTTAATAAGCATGCTGGTAAACCTAAACAAGCATGGACTACATAAAAATAACTATGTGTCTGATTAGTGGAGTTAATACAAATAAAGATAGAATTAGTTATTGAGTAACTTACATATTAAATGAGGAGAAGGTATTTGAGGAAACATACTCAAGGTTATTTGATGTTTTGGTAGAGGGTAAATATGTTAAAAATTTTAGAGTTTAATTTGAAAAAACACATTAAAATATCCAGCATAAATAAGGAAAAAATACACAATTCTCCAATTCATAAAGATAAATGTATAGAATGAACAAAAGATTCATTCCAACAAATCAAGAAACAGTAGGGAGTGGGGAGTAAACACAGCCACCTGGCCAAAGAAAACATAACTCCTCTGGAGAAGCACACTCTGCAAATCATTTTCTTGTGTATATAAAATTTTCAGGGCCCATTCTCTCCGTATTTTGTCATAACTTATATCCCTCAATAAGATTCTGTACCTTCTCTTCACATCTAGTTTGGGAAATGAAACAGTTTTTCAAAGATTTCTAAACTATCTTGAGTCACAGTGCCCTTAAGTCTCAGTAATTTTTTTCACAGTGCCTATAGGCCAGAAGAAATACCTAAATATTTTATCATGGAAATGATATATTATCATGTTTGGTGGAAAGGCTTCAGAGGGAAAATGTTAGTAAGATAAACAGTCTGTGAAGTGCAGTGTTTAGATCAAACCGAAGAAAGTCCTAAAGAGATAGCTCCCAAAATTTACAGTTTCTGGGATGACTTATAGCTTTCTAAAATGAATTTGTTCCGGTATTTTCTTAATGGGTACTCATTTTCTCAATATATGAGAAATGACTTCCTGGTTAGGTTGATTATTTCTTGAAGGAGTCCTTGGAGGGTTATGAGGGATCGGGATTAGCAGGTCCCCATAATTATCAGCAGGTAACCATAAAGAGATAGCAGAGGCTGTGATGCCTTTATTCTCTCTGGAACAGCTTGATTTTATCTTGAAAGAAGTCCCTGTCTACGTGAAGAAAAAGAACACTGAAACTGCACGTTAAGTCTATCATGCACATTATATTTTTATAGAAAAAAATCTCTCATAGATCATGCAGAGAAAATATAATTTATCATTACTCAGAAGTTTATTTCATATATTAAACAAACTCATACCATTTTACCTTTTCTCCAGAAACGCCATTGTATAAATTACTCGTAAAGCTAATTTTATTCATGGATTGTAATTCTGAGGTTGGGTGTAAGTTTTATAGGGCTTTGCTGAATGGTTTTCATTATACATAGAAAAAATAAAGATACATTTTGATACGCAAATTAAGACATACTTCTAATGCTGTCCCTTACTTAACGACGTAAGTGAAACTACTGCTAGAGTTATCCCAGAGATCGCTGCTTAACATAATGAAATTGTGATAATAATAACTTTAATCGGAAAGAATCCTTTTTAATTTTTAAAAATAGTTCTGGAGAATTGGCCTATCAGAAAACAATATTCATAGTACATATTTTCTGTGGATTAAACTTTTAACATTTGCCAAATCATCACCAAGCTTGATAATTTATGTATCTTAATCACATATCAGAAAATTGATATCTTCCATATGTAAAATTTAGAAGGCTGTCAAATTGTTTCCTCTCAAAAAGCAAGATCTATATGTAGACAAATTTTTATTTATTTGTTTACTTATTTACTAGGAGTCTCTTTCTGTCATCCAGGTTGACTAGGAGACTCTTATTTACAGAGTCTCTCTCTCTGTCACCCAGGTTGGAGCACAGCAGTGCAATTGTAGCTCACTGCAACCTCACACTCCTGGGCTCAAGCAATCCTCCCTCCTTATTCTCCAGAGTAGCTAGAACTACAGGCATAGAAGCATGCACCAGCATGTCTAGCTAACTTTTGTATTTTTTATACAGACAGGATCTTACTATGTTGCCAAGACTGGTCTTAAACTCCTGGCCTCAAGCAATCCTCCAGCCTTGGCCTCCCAAAGTACTGAGATTAAAGGCATAAGCCATTGAACTCCCCCCAGCCATATAATTAGGGGAATCTTTTATATTAGTCCCTTTGCCTTGTGTTATGGTTTGGATCTGTGTCCCCACTGAAATCTCATGTTAAATTGTAATCCCCAGTGTTGGAGTGGAGTCTGATGGGAGGTGATTGGATCATAGGGGTCGATTTTCTCCTTGGTACTATGTTGCAATAGTGAGTGAGTTATCATAAAATCTAGTGGTTTAAAAGTGTGTGGCACCTCCTCCCCTCTCTCTTCTCCTCCTGCTCTGTCCATGTAAGACGTGCTTACTTCCCCCTCACCTTCTGCCATGATTGAAAGTTTCCCAAGGCCTCCCCAGAAGCAGATATTGCCATGTTTCCTGTGTAGCCTGTAAACTGTGAGCCAATTAAACCTCTTTTTAGAATAAATTACTCAGTCTCAGATATTTGTTTATAACAGTGCAAGAAAGGACTAATATAGAAAATTGGTACCAAGGAGTGGGACATTGCTATAAAGATACCTGAAAATATGGAAGCAGTTTTGGAACCGGGCAACAAGCAGAGGTTGGAAGAGCATGGAAGTCTCAGAAGGCTGGAAGGTGAGGGAAAGTTGGTTAGGAAAGTTTGAAACTTCCTGGAGACTTGTTAATTGTTGTGACCTAAATGCAAATAGTGACATGGACAACTAAGTCTAGGCTGAGGAGATCTCAGATGAAGAGAAACTTATTGGGAACTGGAGGAAAGGTCACTTTTGTTGTACATTAGTAAAGAGACTGGAAGCATTGTGTCCCCAGTCTAGGGATCTGTGGAACTTTGAACCTAAGAGTTCCATCTCTGATTAAGAGATGGAAAAATTTTCTAAGCAGCAAAGTGTTCCACATGTGACCTGGATGCTTCTAGCAACCTATGCTCACATGCTTGAAATAAATGACTTGAAACTAGAACTTACATTTAAAAGGGAAGCAGAGAGTAAAAGTTTGGAAAATTTGCAGTCTGCCCTTACCACAGTAAAGAAAAACTCATTTTCTGGGGGAGAATTCAAGCCAGCTGCAGAAATTTGCATAAGGAAAGAGGAGCCAAATGTTTATAGCCAAGACATTGGAGAAGAGACCTCCAAGACATTTCAGAGACCTTCAGTGCAGCCCCTCCCATCACAAGACCAGAGGCCTAAAAGGTAAAGAGGGTTTCAAGGTCCAGAACTTAGGGCCCCAGAGCCATGCTACTCTGTACAGCCTCAGAACACTGTTCCCCACATCTTCGCTGGCTCCAGCCAAGGCTCAAGGGGGCCCGAGTACAGCTCAAGCTGCTACTTCAGAGGGTGCAAGACATAAGTCTTTGTGGTTTCTATGTGGTGCGCAGAGTGTAGGAATTGAGGCTTTGGACCTTCCACCTAGATTTCAGAGAATATATGGAAAACCCTGAATGTCTAGTCAGAAGCCTGCTGCAAGGGCAGAGCCCTCATGGGGAGTCTCTGTTGGGGCAGTGCAAAAGGGAACAGCAGAGTTGGAGCCTCCTCAAAGAGTCCCCACTGGGGCACCGCCTAGGGGAGCTGTGAGAAGAGGGCCATCATCCCCCAGGCTCCAGAATGGTAGAGCCACCAACAGCTTGTACCACACTCCTGGAAAAACACAGGCACTCAATGCCAGCCCTTGAGAAGAACCACTGAGGCTGAACTCCAGAAAGTCACAGGGGTGGAGCTGCCCAAGAGTTTGGGAGCCCACACTTTGCACCAGCATGCCCTGGATGTGAAACATCGAATCAAAAGAGATTATTTAGGAGCTTTTAGGTTGAATGGCTACTCTGCTGGGTTTCAGTCTTGCATGGAACCTGCAGCCCCTTTCTTTTGGGTGATTTCTCCTTTTTGGAATGGGAGTAATGATACCCCCATTGTATCTTGGGAGTAAGTAATTTCTTTTTGATTTTACAGGCTCATAGGCAGAAAGGACTAGCCTTGTTTTAGTTGAGATTTTGGACTTCAGACTTAATGCTGGCATGAGGTAAGACTTTGGGGACTGTTGTGAAGGGATGATTGTATTTTGCAATGTCAGAAGAACAGAGATTTAGAGGGGGCAGGGGAGGAAAAATATGGTATGGATCTGTGTCCCCACCCAAATCTCATGTTGAATTGTAATCCCCAATGTTGGCAGTGGGGCCTGGTGAGAGGAGATTGGATCAGGAGAGTGGATTTCCCCCTTGGTACTGTGTCATGGTACTGAGTCAGTTCTCGTGAGATCTAGTTTTTTAAAAGTGTGTGGCACCTCCTCCTCTCTCTCTCTTTTCCTCCTGCTCTGGCCATGTAATATGTGCCTGCTTCCCCTTCACCTTCTGCCATGATTGAAATTTTCCTGAGGCCTCCACAGAAGCAGATCCTGCCTTGTTTCCTGTGCAGCCTGTGGAATTGTGAGCCAATTAAACCTCTTTTTTAAATGAATTACCCAGTCTCTGGTATTGTTGTATAGCAGTGCGAGAATGGACTAATACATCTTGCCAAGAAACCAGATCAGGCTTGAAGAGGAATATATTTACTTTATGTGTATCAAATAACTCAGAGATTAACATATTTGTTCATGTATTGATTGATTTGCTCAATAATTTGGCAGACAATTATAGAATGATGAATTATTATAAGCCATTACAAGGAGGTTGTACTTGATTTTTTTTAGGCTGAGTCACTGAAAGTGCTCAAGTTGGTGAATGGCAGGGTCAGATTTGCATTTTATGGATATTTGTTTTCCATTAGGGTAGATTATGGGAAAGAGGGACAAGACAGGAGTCACAAATAACAGTTAGAAGTGTAAGATGATGAAGGTCTGGGCCTAAGTTGAGACCAAGGTAAAAAAAAAATGTAGAGAAAGAAATCTCTTTGAAGAACAATTTATGTGGCAATATGAGGAAGTGATGCCAACTCTCCTCATGATTCTTGTTTGGTACACAGGAAAAACATATACACCTTTTCACCCCCCAAGAAATTCCAAGTGGCCTCAATTTAAGATGTTTTCAGGAGGAGAGAATTACCCACCAGCAATTTTTCTTGAGTGTATATAAAACTTACGTCAGGGCTGAAATCATTTGAAAAAAAGAATCCATGAACCCTCTCCCAATCAGTCTTCTTGTGATGTTTTATACCCTCTTTATGGGTTTATACCTTCTGACTTATTAACTACATTCTGGTAGAAGCATCATTTGAAATTTGATGAGCATTTTCCTTATTTTCATTAATAATTGGAATTCTCTGCCTTCTTCATCAAAATTTATCAAAACAAAACCAGAAATATTTTCTTTGCCATTATTGCATTTAGTAGTAGTCAATTTATTGTATAATATTACTAGAAAGGAAAGGACAATATGGAATTGATATATTTTTAAATACATTCCCTGGTGAGCTACCAAGTTGGAGATTATATAAGAAAGGACATAATGACAAGAAAAACATTTTTAATTCTGTAACATCCTTTTTTAACATATTGTCTCTCAAGTTTAAGTGTTTGTGAATTTTTAGCACATCCATAGAGCATATTAAAAATAAAAATTGAATGTAATGAAATTGAATTGGAAAATAATGGGAAATTAAGGTTTTTATACTCAGGGAAATAATAATATACAAATTGTGAGTACTTCTTGCAGAATCACTGGGCACAGTAGGTTGCTGAGTTATAGCTTTGATAGAAGCAGAACTTCAGCTTTACAAGTGTAAAGCCATACTACTGAAAGATACCATCTAAGAGTTGGAAAAAAATTACATTCATTAAAAGCAAATAAAAAAGGTCATATAACACTTAAAAGTTATTTATATTTTGTCCTCTTCAAAAGGAAATTTATATTTATGAACTCTTAGATGCTTTCTTATATTTTCTTATGGTACATAAAACTAATGGGTGCTGTTTTTTAATCTACTGAAGGTTTTGCAGTAGATCTGAACGATATGCTACAATTTTAGGCAACACAATATGGATAGGAAAAAGCAATATTGCCATGTGGCAAAGCACTGACATTCATTAATTAATCAAATACTTGTGTAAAACATACTATGTGTGAGGCAAATGAGTAGGATTCAATGAAGATGGGCAAAACTGGTGAGATCAACAGGAGCCTGAAGCAACTGACTAAGCAAGCTGGTGTGGTGGGAATAGAGGTAATTTATCAGTAAAGAGAAACACTGTGTAGGAATGTCTTTGGAGGGTTATTTTCATGAGGAAAACTATTATGCTTGCTAGCTTTAAGGATTTACTCCCAATTCATAGAATATAACAAACACAAGAACAATTTTTGAAAAGATGTATTCTGAGCCAGCCCTTGACCTACCTGAATCTTATCGATTGCTTCTTTCAATTTTACCATTTATTAAACTTTAATGCCCCCTTGAATGTTTTCTCTTGACCATGCAGCTTATATTTCCATATACAGCTCACCCTTGAACAATAAGAGAGTGAGGGTCATCAATCCACCCAAGAATTTGAAAACTTGTGTATAACTTCTGACTAGAAGCCTTACCAATAATATAAACAGTTAATTAACACATATTTTGTATGTTATATATATTAAATACTGTATTCTTACAGTGAAGTAAGGAAGAGAAAAGAAAATGTTACTAAGAAAATAATAAGGAAGAGGAAAGATAGTTACTATTTATTAAGTGGAAATGGATTGTCATAGGCATTTGCCCTTGTAGTTTTCATGTTGCATAGACTGAAGAGAAGAAAAAAGAGGAGGGATTGGTCTTGTTGTCTCAGTGGTGGCAGAAGCAGAAGACCTGTAAAGGTAGAGGGGAGATAGGAGAAGCAGCACATTTGGTATAAATTTTGTTGAAAAAAAATCATGTATAAGTGGATTTGTACAGTTCATATCTATGTTGTTCAAGGGTCTACTGTATTGTTTATCATTGCTATCTGTACATAAATTTTTTTCTTGGCACTAGGACACTTTCATATGAATTATGCTTCCTTAAAGCATACAATTGAGTACAACCACTGTCAAATGCCTCCATTTTTCTACATGATTCCATGCAGCCACAATCCCTGAGTATCCAATAATGAGTGGAATGGAAGATTCCATAGGAAACATGAAAGGAGGTGATAATTCTCAAATTGGTCAGTTTGCAGTTGCAATGACAGATTCTACTGCAGCTAATTTGAGCAGAAAATGTCCTATGGTAGTGTGAAAAACGACATACCAAGTTATTAAGAGAGGTGAAGATATAAATTCTAGGTTTGGCTTATAATAATGACTCTCCAAGTGACACCACAGACTGAACCCCAAGAATCTGCTGCTCCTGCAACAACAGGAAGCCATAGAATCAGAAGTTTTAGCTACCAGCTCCATGTCCATGCCTCCTTTGCTGTTATCCATATCTGCAACCATCTCTGCAAAACGGATGCCTCCACAGCCTACCTTTCTTCAGAATTTGTCGGAGTGTGCCTTATCGGCACATCTTAAATCAAATCTACAGCTATCATTGAAAGAGTGTCATGAATTCTTATCTGTCCAGCCTTTTATTTTCAGAAAAGCATTCCATGAGAAGTTTGAAGCAAATATTGTTTACATCAAATCACAGTATCTGCCATACTGTGATTAATCTGCAGATTAAATATAAATGCTAAAAAACATGTGGATTTAGTATTACCTTTGTACATGCTTAAACATTTCTGTATTAAAAACAATAAGAAATAAAAATAAATAAAAGTTTTTAAATGCTATGTTAGTCAGGTAGCTGGTACAAACAAGAGGATATCACTAGTCTGATGGAAAACAACTTATCCAGTCAATCAAGCAGTACTGATCAAATGCTTCCTCTGACAGATGTGATTTTGGAGGCTACTAGAGAAATATTGGTGAGCTTTATACACACTGCATCCACCACCAGGAAACTTAGAACTAGTAAGGAAGGCAGATGCTAACTCAGCTATTATAAATGTTAGGAATGTCACAAAAGAGATATACTGTATTCTCTGAAAATATATAAAAAGTATTCTAAATAACCTAATCTCAAATGGAATAAGGTCAGAGAGAGCTTTCTGAGGAGATAATGTTAAAGATAAAGCTTGAAAGATGAATAGGCGATAAGGAGGTGGTGTAAGTTTAGTATGACTGGGGCAACTAGAACTATAGAGCTATTACAGAGAGAAGAGTTGACTCTCTTGAGAGGAAACAACAATTAGGCCATGCAAGATTTTGTGATCATGTTGAGGATTTTGTACCTTTTTTTTTTTTTTTTTTTTTTGAGACGGAGTCTCGCTCTGTCGCCCAGGCTGGAGTGCAGTGGCTCGATCTCGGCTCACTGCAAGCTCCGCCTCCCAGGTTCACGCCATTCTCCTGCCTCAGCCTCCCGAGTAGCTGGGACTACAGGCGCCCGCTACCACGCCCGGCTAATTTTTTGTATTTTTAGTAGAGACGGGGTTTCACCTTGTTAGCCAGGATGGTCTCGATCTCCTGACCTCGTGATCCGCCCGCCTCGGCCTCCCAAAGTGCTGGGATTACAGGCGTGAGCCACCGCGCCCGGCCGATTTTGTACCTTATACTGTGGGTCATAGGAAGACATTGATGGATTTTAAATACAGGAAGAATAGAACATGATATATGTCTTCAAAATTTCACTATGGCAATTTCATAAAAATTTGGTTATAGATGAAAAGATCATAAGAAATTCATTGTAATATTGTAGGCCAGAGGTTTTGGTGACCTAGACTAGGGTAGAGAATAATAGATGGAATGGAGAGATTGCAGAGACAGAATTGTCAGCAGGTCTTAAAGTTTGCTGATTATTAAAGCCAAAAGAAAGGGATAAGTCAAGGATGATTCCTGAGGTTCAGGCTCTACTAGTCTGATAAACAAGTCAGATATAGGAGACACTTGGATGCAAGCAAGTTTGATTATAGTTAATCATGAATTCAAATGAAAAACTATTGTTTCAATTGCTGGGGATAAAAACATACTTATTTTTAACTATAAAATTAAATAGTTTATATAAAGAGCTTGGCACAGTGCGTAGACAGGTATTTGTTACCTATGTGGATTAAGTTAGCAGATTAGAGAGATATATTTGGGTTGTTGAAGTCAATAGATAGTTATCAAAGCCATAGGAGTGAATGATATTTCACAGAGAAAGTGTGTAGAATAAGAAGAGGAGAGTACCTAGAACAAAGCTTTAAGGTCAGGAGGAAAAGGAGATGCCCACCATGGACAAACTGCAAGTACTGGCTCTACCCCTTAAACAAAAGGGTGCTGATTTCTTGTTCTCCAATATGTCATTTCCAGTTAAAATATGACAATACCATATACATGTATGGGATTTACCTACATGAATACCATGAAAGATTATTATCCAGATATATGAAGATCTGACCTGGAGAGAAAATGACAAGTAACAAGAGCTTTATGCTTTAGTTTGATTGGAATCTTGCTAATCATATAAACTTTAACATTAGAACAGTATCAGGGGAACCAGCCCCCAATATTTCAATGTAGGTTCTTTTCTATTTTCCTAAGTGTTGGCTGGTCTGAGAAATAAAGAGAAAGAGTACAAAAGAAAGAAATTTTACAGCTGGGTCTCCAGGGGTGACATCACATGTTGGCAGTTTCAATGGTGCCCCCGAGCCGCAAACCAGCAAGTTTTTATTAGCGATTTTCAAAGGGGAGTGAGTGTATGAATATGGTGTGGGTCACAGAGATCACATGCTTCAAAGGCAATAAAATATCACAAGGCTAATGGGGGCAGAGCAAGATCACAAGGCCAAGGCAAAATTAGAATTACTGATGAAGTTCCATGCCCTGCTGTGCATGCATTGTCATTGCTAAACATCTTAACAGGAAACAGGGTTCAAGAGCAGAGAACTGGTCTGACTAGAATTTGCCAGGCTGGAATTTCCTAATCCTAGCAAGCCTGGGGGCGCTGCAGGAGGCCAGGGCATATTTTATCCCTTATCTTCAACTGCATAAGACAGACACTTCCAGAGCGGCCATTTTAGAGGCCGCCCCCCGGGAATGCATTCTTTTCTCAGGGGTGTTCCTTGCTGAGAAAAAGAATTCAGTGATATTTCTCTATTCACTTTTGAAAGAAGAGAAATATGACTCTGTTCTGCCCAGCCCCACAGGCAGTCAGGCCTTATGGTTATCTCCCTTGTTCCCTGAAAACTGCTGTTATCCTGTTCTTTTAGGATGCCCAGATTTCATATTGTTCAAACACACATGTTTTACAAATAATTTGTACAGATAACGCAATCATCACAGGGTCCTGAGGTGACATACATCCTCAGCTTATGAAAATGACAGGATTAAGAGATTAACATAAAGACAGGCATAGGAAATTATAAGAGTATTGACTGGGGAAGTGATAAATGTCCATTAAATCTTCACAATTTATGTTCAGAGATTGCAGTAAAGACAAGCATAACAAATTATAAAAGTATTAATTTGGGGAACTAATAAACGTCCATGAAATCGTCACAATTTATGTTCTTCTGCCATGGCTTCAGCCAGTCCCTCCATTCAGGGGTCCCTGACTTCCTGCAAGAGAACAGTAACAACAAAACTGAAAGAAAAAATCACCCCTCACACGTACACACAATGACACATTATTTGGGCAGTTTCAGTAATAATACTAGTTGTAATTAACTGAGTTCTTTCCTACAGCACCATGTCTGGTAATGTATGTATATATACACACACACACACACATATTATATAAATATATATATATATAATTTTATCATTACAAGTATGAGAATCATACTTAATCCTGAATTAAAAAATGAGGAGCATGAGGCTTAAAGCTGTGAAGTGCCCTGTTTAATGTCACACAGTAAGTGACAGAGTGACAGACTTGGGAATCAATCTCAGGTTTAACTAACTCAAGTCTAAAGCCTTCCCCACCTTTGTCAACAACTTTACAAAAGAGAAGCCGAATATGCTGACATGAAGACCAGTCACCATGAAAGGATGCAGGACCATAGGTAATAAATATCACACATGGTAAGAATAACCAGATGGCACCAGAGTATGTTTTTTCATCTTTATTCATGTCATTCATGTGTTCATTCCAGGTGCTTTTCATTTTCTATGCTCTGGGAAGACAGCAGTGAGCAAAATAGATGAATACTTGTCCTAATCATAGCAATTTGGGGATAAAAGAGTAATTTTGCTAAATATAAACTCTGTGCCATCCAGTTCTGCTTTATGCTAGAAAGTACTCACATAAAACACTGCCAGGAACTGAGCTGATTAACACAGCAACAGTTCTTTTCTGCTCCCCTTTATTGAGTCAATTCACTCTTAGTTTTGTGATTTCCACTACTACTGGCCCCTTAGTATAGCACATCTGTGACAGATTCCAACATTTTGTCGAGGAGGAATTCATGAGAGTTGTTTTTTTGGTTCTTGGCAACATAGGGGTCCCAAATAGTGCCCTAGGCAGAACCTATTTTAGAGGAAAATACCTGGGTACCAGTTATCCATTCTGTAGGTCCAATATTTGGAATTCACTCATGCTCTTCACACTCTTCCAGAGACAATAGAACTAGCTTCAGCACCACTCTAATATGTAACCTTGATTTCTCCTATTCCTTGTTTTTTGACTTGTTGTTTCTTATACTTATCTGTTTCTCTTGTCTTTGGGCATTCCAGATCTTGCTGTCCTTGGTAGTTTTGTGCTGAAGTCAGTTCAATATTGACCCACAAGAGCCAACCATTAGTTTTACAGAAGTTTTTTGAGCCAGTTATTAAACACAGGCATTAGTCAAAATTAAATTTTACAAACTTATAATTACATTAATTATATTCAAAACAATTATGTCCACTACATATCACTTCCTAGCTATTTCACAATGTTTTACTATTGCTTATACTCTCAAGATTATGTGCCTCTACCATAGCTGTATGGTGGGATTACTCTTTCACCGTGTGCTACCACCCATCTCTTTCCAACTCCATGTTCAGTAACATCACATTAATAGCTTGACATTTGCCGTGGTGAGAAAGTAGACAATGGAAATCAATCAAAGCTACCAAATGAGGCTTAATTGATTGTTTTGTTGATTATCTAGACTTAATAAAATGATGAAGAAAGTGTTAATAATGCAAATTGTAGTTAGAAGTATGTTGTGTCTCTAGCTATAACCTTATAAATAGCACAAAAAAACCCAGAAAATATTTTTTTCAATATCTTACAACTATTGTCTGTTTTAACATAATTGATTAAAAATTGAAAACTGTTAACAACAGTTTTCACATAATTGATGAAAAATTAAAATGTGACATATGTAGTCTAAATGATACAAGTAATTTCAGTGCAATTAATATAATTTATGTGAAGTTCAGGAATTGTTTAAGGGTAGATCACACATCATATTTTAAAACAATAAAATTATTGAGAAAGAGTTAGTGGGTTGAGATGCAATTCCATTTGTCAAATCACAGTTGAATTGCAGACATTGGTTCTTTTCAGATAAATGAGTTCATCAAAAGTCAACAAAAGCATTTTGCAAAAATCATTTGGCTGTGTAAAATTTACAATAGAAATATTGCATTTATTATAATTATTATTAAGTTATGTGTTACATATATTTTTATATCAGTAAAATTTAAAACAAGCTCTGTGTATACATGTGTATATGTTTTCATACATACGTGTGTGCTTACATACATGTATGTATGCATATGTGTGTGTTTACATGCATGCATGTGCGCGTTTACATAATGCATGTATATATGTTCAGTTGTTTTATCACTTTTACCCTTAGCAGATACAATTTTTTACGGCTATACTGATGTCTACAGCTATGAAATTTTTGTTACTTGAAAACCTTAGTTATGTTCACAGTTCATCAATAGTTAAGAGTAAAATCTTTGTGTATGTAACTTTACATACATACACACATGTATATTCACACATACACACACACACATATATATATATATACATATACATATACATATATTTTTATTCTAGAGAGTTACTTGTTAACATATACTGGCACACTACCACTTTAAATGCTTCTTTGGTATTGATGAACTATGCATTTGATCTCAATTTTATCACTTTTACCTGTAGCAGACAAAACTTTTTGCTGTTATATCACTGTCTATAGTATGAAATTTTTGTTACTTGAAAACCTTAGATATGTCCACAGTTCATCAATTGTTAAGAGTAAAATCTTTGTATCCAGACTCTCTCAATTCAAATTTAGACTCAGCCTCTTACTAGCTCTGTAACTTCAGGGAAATTCACTTAACTTCTTAGTTTCCATAGTAGTAAAGAAAGAATATTATTAGTATGTATATCATAGGGTAGTAAAATTAAAATGAGTTCACACATATACATTTCTTAGAATGGTGCCTAACTGAAATATCTAAGATACTTACTTAAAAAATCATGATTATTACTTTTTATTATTAGGCCTGTGTTGAGCCCTAATGATCAGGTTCTCTGCATATCTTTGTCACAGTTTATTGGAAATCAGGCTGCCTCATATCTGAGACACGTGTCCTACTTCCCCAGAGAGTTGGAGAAACTATAATCCTAGCATGGCTTGCTCAAGGAATGGGTATTTTATGTGGAATATATGTGGATATAATGGCATTTCAGGACAGGAGCTTAAGGTGTACAATACATCTATATTGTTCCTTGACCTAGATGGCATCTAGCCCCATCTGCTTAACCCATCTGCTGCTGATAGTTGTGCAGAGACCCTTTGTTGTATAGTAACACAGTGTGAGGCTCCACAGAGCATAACCTAACAATTAGGCCCTCATCCCTTTTTTCTCAATTTGGTCTCAGAGTCTTAACCTCTGATTGAGGGTGGGGTCATTTATAGAATGTCCTAAACATTCTATAGAATGGGATATTCGGTTAAGAAACCACAGCATTTTTGAGGTGGTACTTGAAGTCATATTTGAATATTGTATTTCTTCAACTTTCTTTTTTCTTTAATTACCTCCCTCTTGTCATCCTTCCTTCCTTTTCTTTCCTCAGCCAGGTACTTGTTAATTGCTTCTAGCATTAAATGATCTGACTCATTCTATTTTTCCTTCCTTTCAAACTTCTAAGTTGCCTAGAAGCATCTCTATTTGCCTCAAATGTACGTTATGTTTATTCTCATGTCACATAAAATGTGTTTTTCCTTTACAGCTATCATTATTCGATATGTCAAATATTTTCTATGTTACTCATTTGGGAACAGATACTGAATCAGAAATCTGAGTCTAATGGAAAGAACACTAAAAAGTTCATAACATTCATGACAGCAACAGGAGAACATATGAATTTACTCGTAAAGGATAAAGTAGTCATTCATAGAAAGAGACTTTGCCTAGAGCATACAGATTATAGAAATGTTATTTTTCTTAAGATACTGAGCTTTCTTGACCAAGAGCTTTTTAAAATGGAATGCTTCATCTGTAGAAACAAGTATATATCCTTATTGATATAGATTTAATCTCTGACTTAGCTAAGCTCCATATTCCTCCCAACATAAATTCTTTAATGCTAAATAAAAGCTCTTTTCAAAGGGAAAAAAGGATAAGATTTGAATTAGTAATTTAGACTTTTTATTTGAAAGCCGTTTTAGCTGTTTCTTATTTCTAATCATGCTGACATTTTTAAAGCTTTATAACCAGAAAGTCTATTGGTGAATATCTACTATCTCAAATTCAACGAAGATTATAAGTAAAGTCCAAGATAGGCTCACTCTTTTATGGAAACGAAAATACACAGTCCCCAAAGCACCAATACAAGTTATTGAGAAAAAACAGAAATAGTAGATTAGTTAAAATTAAAGTCTAATATTATCAATTATATTCAAAACTACAACAGAATGATGTGTGTGTGTGTGTGCACATGTGTGTAATGTATAATGCTGGATGATGAAATTTAAATATCTGAAACACCTTGTGTTAGCTGTGGTGCAAACAGGATCTCAAATCATTACCTTCCAAATGACTGCTTATAAACCTATTCTACATCTTTAAATTACTGAGGAAATATAATTCTGAAGACACCACATACACTGCATATACACTTCTAATTTCTGTCTAGGTCTTTGGCCCCATATCCCTAGGTTTTTGTTTTTCTGTCTTGATGATCTGAGTTGGGAAATAGGGAAACTTAAATACATGGTTTCTTCTTATAGCTTAACACATAGAGCTGAGCCAGGCCTTAGCATATAACTGCTTGCTACTCAATTTATCCTTGCTCTGCCATTTTCACCCAAGTGACACTTCTCTAACAAAAGACATCCAGCCTAAGCAGATTTCTCCTGCTAACTTCTATATAATATTTTATACTTCACCCATTAAACGCTGTGTTCTATCCTGTAAAACAGAAAGAAACAGGTGGAACATTTCCTAGAAGCATCATTATTTCTGGGAGGATTATTTTCTCCATAATGCAGAGGAGCTTTCTGTTTCCCTTCTAGGCGTAGAACCAAGTGCTTAGATTATGTGGCCAAAAGATAGCGCAGTATCTTGTGTGGAAAATAATGAATACTCCAACAATTGGAAGGAAAAAGGCAGGCTCAGGATAACACCAATGGAAGACAGTGACTATTAAACAAACCTAGAATGTCACTCCTTCAAAAACAAACAGCAGAATAACAGAGTTCTGATTCTGGAGTATACCCTGAGTGTTCCAGCCTAATAAAAAGTGTGCACAAAAATTTTATTTTTATATTCCATAATTCTTCTCAGAACAGAAACTAGAGAAATGTTTAAGAATCATTTGAGGCAACAATTTAAAAGTTAATGTTAAGTTACACCTATGTTAATGAGACTAACATCTTATGACTGTCATTCATTCATGGTTTATACATCTTCCCCAGATACTCTTGTTGTTTTTGGCCATTGGTGGCTCAGATTGTGAACTAGAACATATGAAAAGATTAGAAGAAATTCACCACAAATACTACAAATATAACTCAAAAAAGCATGCTTTAGCACATAATATAAACTTGAGCTGGAGGGTGGAGGTAGCATTATATTGTAGAGAAAAAAAAATGTTTTCTCTTTTATGGCTGAAAAATGAATCATTTTTGACTACTGTTCATCTTAGCCAGACTACAAAAATATACCATGCTTTCTCAGCCCAGCGTTTCAAAATCTTGCTCTTACTCAGCTAAATTGAAAAAATGTAGTTTTCCCTTAGTATTTGCTGGGAATTTGTTCCAAGAGCCTTCATGTTTTGACTTTTTGGCTGTGTTTTCATAATTCTGAATGCCTTCTTTGAACTTATATAAGGAAAGGGATTATTTATCTAGCAGAGATCAGAGGAATCAGTTACTATTAATTTTTATATTATTTTA
Organism: Homo sapiens; assembly: GCF_000001405.40. NCBI lineage: Eukaryota > Metazoa > Chordata > Mammalia > Primates > Hominidae > Homo > Homo sapiens. The sequence goes on along the minus strand of NC_000004.12, from coordinate 43,631,742 downwards.
GAATTAATATACTCATTTTGAAAATATGGAGACATAATTTACCTCCACAGCAGGGCTTCCTCTCTTGATGAAGGAGATTTAAAAATTCTCTGAGATTTCTACTTAGAGGGGCATTGGTTTACAGTAAATTTTCTGTCACCATCACCTCTCAACAATGTTTCCCAAACTTTCAAACTGAGCTAAGAGTCACCAGACCGCACTTGTTAAAACACACATTACTAGGCATTTATCGTCTAAAGCAGAATGTACAAGAGAGGGGTTAAAGATGATCAGGAGTTTAACAAAGTTCCCAGTGACTCCTGAGGTGAGGGAAACTTGAAAGACACTGATGTACAGAGAGGAATCATCTAGGATTCATGTATTTGTCCATTTTCATGCTAACAACAAAGATATACCAAAGGCTGGCTACAACTTCCACAATCATGGTAGAGGGTGAAGGAGGAGCAAAGTTTCATCTTACATGAAGGAAGGCAAGAGGGCGTGTGCAGGAAATGCCGTTTATAAAACCATCAGATCTCCTAAGTTATTCACTATCAATGAGAACAGCATGGGAAAACCCAACCCCTGTCCCATGATTCAATTACCTCCCACTGGGTCCCTCCCATGACACCTGGGAATTATGGGAGCTGCAATTCAAGATGAGATTTTGGTGGAGACACAGCCAAACCATATCTATTCACAAATAATTGACCACTCACTTGATTCTGCTGAGTAGTTCCAAATATGACTTAATTATGGACTCTTAAAAAAGTAGCACTAATTCTTCCCACCCCAGACATTCTTATTTAATTGGAATATAGTGCCATCAGAGCATTGGGTTTTTTTAAAGCTCCACGTATTTAAATATGTGGCAAAGTTTATGAACCACCAACCAGTGAGTAAGACTTGTTCCAATACATCTCTGGGAGCTTACAAATAGAAAACTTCTCTGGCCTCAATATCTCTGAGGTTCATTTTGTAGCACCTTGTGAGAAGAGAATATATTGAAAACCTCAAGTCTGCTCATATGCTTAGAGCAAATGATGACGGTTGGTGGATGGGAATATTGACACTGATCTTGTGGTTGGTTAGTTTGCTGTGTTTTTACATTATTGGAAGTAAGGAGTATTCAATACACTGCTAATCAGTTAGTAGAGTTTTATAACAGAGGCAGTGAACTAACAATGAGAAACCACTTCTATTTGTTTGGTATTTATCACTTAGTGTCCTACATGAAGGTCGGTCTCTTCTCTGGACCTCTATATCCTTAAGATTGGGCCAGCATTTGTCATGACCTCTTCACAAAATTACTGTGAGTCTGTGAGTGCAAAGTGTTTTTTGAAGTAAACAGTGTTAATAATATGAAGTATTATCATTTTCTCCTTCTAGTAATGTCACTAATAAAATAATTTATTTCAGTATACTCATAACATTCTAATCCATTTTTCTCTTTTTAAAATGCTTCTTGCAGTAAACCATGCATATCCGAGAGGGACAAATCATAAACATACAGATAGATGAATGGTTTAAAAAATGAAGTGTTCTCAATAAATTTAATTTTAAGTATTTTTGTTTGTGATCAACATTTTTGCATGATCATGTGTATTATTATTTATAATATTTGATATTAGAAACAGTAAAATATTTGTCAAAGTTGTCAAACATCCTTATTCTATTTTATTGTCCCTGTGACATGTATTCAGCTTTTGCTATCTATGGAATTTTAGCAAGTTTCTTTAAAAATATTTACCCCTTTTGTTTCAGTTTGCTTTTATTCAATAATATTAACAGATACAGGGTTGTTCAGTTTTCTCCACATTCATATGTTCTACAAAAATAAAATTAACAGATTAGAAATACTTTCCTGTTCCTCTTATGTCCTGGAAAATAAGTACTTGGCTTCAGTAAAGATAAAAAATTTTCTTCATTTATTCCTTTTCCCAGACAACCTATTTTTTCAGCTTATATTCCAGAGTTATTTAAAAATATTTTACATATCTAAAGAAAGAGAATGTGAGGCTAACATTCCCAATGAGCCTTGTACAACTTATTTGTGACACTAGTGCACTAAATTTTCCCTCCTTTCCTCCCTTCTTTCCTACCTTCCTTCCTTTCTTTCTTTTCACCACACTACAAAAGAATAATATAATCTTTCTCTGACATAAGAGAAGACCAATTGGGGTGGGCAGAAAGATCAACCTGTGCTCTTCCCCTGTATTTCAGTGGAATGTTGAGCAGAAATGGCCTTATATAAGTTTTCAGGGTGTTAGAATTTCAACTATTTTAACAATGCCCTATCAGATACTTTCTTTTGGGGGGTACAACAAACTATCCTTTGAAATCACAAGAATGAGAAAAAAATTTTTTTTTCTTTTCTGTTTCTTCAGTTTTCCTGTTCTTAGGCAGGACTCCATTAATAAAAGCATCAAATTCCATTTGGTTGGCAATGTTTAATTAATTTTTTTAATTTCCCAGGAATTCAAAGATCCTTTCTTGTTAATAGTTTGTGAGTATATTTACTGGCAGCAAAGCAGCCTCAAGAAAATTCTACTGCACGTGCACTCTGGGCTTTTCTACATTTTTATTTGTGAGCTGGAGCTCGTAAACCTGACAAAAGTCTCCTCAGTAGCGAGCACTTCACTGAAGAAATGGGACAAGTAAGTCTTTTCTACATCTGTAAACATGTAGCAGACTTTATAGATCTAATCTTGCCCAATATTCATACTTTTTTTATTAATAATGAACACATGTCTAAGGACCTATGTATTTATTCTGCACAGTAAGTGGGCAGATTGTCACTGCACACCTGCTGCATTGGAGACACTATGACATACAGAAACTAACTGGTGAACAGAATGACCTATGCACTCAGAGAATTTGAGATCACGTAGGGGAGACAAATGTGCTACAGCAATACCAGAAGACTTTAAGCTCCAGGAGGCCAGGGACTGTGTCTGTCTCTCTCAACTGCTAAATCCTTGAATCTAATGACATGTATTGTCCACACTATATGGAATACATGAGTAAATTAAGGATAGTTTCAGAAAACCTCTCCTTTATTTTCAGTATTCTCCCTCATCTAAAGTTCACTGTAGCCATGCCAGAAATCTTTTCTCTACTTTCTTCTTTCAGCAGACTATGAAAATTAAGAAGCCTATTAGGCATCTAAATTATTATCCAGGCTCCAGTTAAGCTCAATATAGCACTCTGTATCAGTAACGTGGCTCAAGGTCAACTACACGTAAGCCAATATTGTGTTTTCTCTTTGCCATTTTCCCATGGAGGAGAGGTAGCTGTGATATGGATCAGGATTCATGTATTTCCAAGAGATATTTTACACAATTTTGATAAGTGCCTTTATTAGGAAATTACAGAAAGAGCATGCAGGTGAGGACACTGCTCTAAGGTTGGGGCCCAGCACAGGAATACCTGGAGGAGATTAAATTGTCTTCCAAGATATTAACTAAAATGTGAAGATGGAATTTTCTCTTAGTGTGCCTGAATTAATTGCCTCTTGGGAGACATGAAATTTTTAAATATCATAAGTTGCTTCTAAATTTCTAAGTTTGAGTGCTTCTCTCCCTTACGTAATATGACTTTTCTATATTCATAATAATATAATATAACAAGAAGAATTCACAGTGACTTTTCTAAGATATATTGGCACAAAAATTGCTCACTGGTTTAATGTGTGTGTATGTGTGATGGTATTTGAATAATATAACAAATTCTATTAATTAACTTAATTAAAAATAATCTCTTTAGTACAGGAAGATTTATAGGATAACATCAAATAATTCTGCAATCAGTAGTGCTATATAATGAAGAAATTTACTCATTTACAAGTGAAAAATATCTTATATCAGATTAGTTAGTATGTGTCATCAATATCTTTGCCTGTGCATCTTAATAAAACTATGAAGAAGAGTCATTGATGAGAGCACATGAAGCTAGATAAATTGAATAATTTAATCCTCTAATAAGCAATAACTGCAGCTCTAAAAATTATTCAGATTATTTAGAATTAGGAACTTGTGAAGGCAGAGAGCTTGCTCCTCTTTTGACCACCAGGACTTCCAGTGATCAGGCATGAATGATTTCTGGAGGGTTTTGACGAGAGGAGTAATATGGATCTCTAGGAGCTAGCTGGACATGTCAAGAGTTCCAGAAAGCAAATAAATGTACATATTATTTCTAATAGACATGTAAAGGCATTTCATGGACTGAATAGGAGCTAATAATAAGCTTGAATCCTTTTCAGGAAGAGCAAGTTCAAATAGAAGTCTATTTAGGAAAAATTTTAAAATATCGTTGATTGCCTCCATTGTCTCAATTCACTAAATAACTGACCAAATAGCTGATTCAAGTTATGACATCAATTATGAATTTTGCCATAATTTTAAATGTGTACATTTTAGAGATGTTTAAAAAGGATAAATCAATATAAATAATTAATTGTCCCAGTTTGTCTGGGACTGAGGCATTTCCTGGGACACAAGAAATTTAGTGCCAATATGTGGAGTAACAAATCACTCCAATATTTCTGTTCTTAAAGTTGGTGGGAACTAAAGTAAAGAATATAGAAAAAATGCAAATGAGGGAGATATACAATGTTTCAGTTGAAATCTACAGACTATGAGACACCTATGAAATAGGCCCTGGGACTGAGCAGTAGAGAGTTGTTATATGTTTCTAGATTTTACAAAGAAATAGAAAATTTAAGGAAAATACCAGGAAGTTAGCAGGCTGCCAATGTCCAACTGTCAAAGACCAAGGAACATACCTGTATTCAAATACAGTTAGGTTCATTGACTTCTTACAGTGAAGAAAACCATGTACCATGGGAAACTGTGGGGTGTTTCACACAAGGGGTATTAGTAAGTTGGCTTTGTGAGGGGAGATTTTGGACAGGATGCAAAGGAATATATACTGAATTGAGCACTTTCAGAAAGCAGGGTCATTCTATGACCAAGTAGCTGCTGTGATTTAAACATTTGTCACTTTCAAAACTCATGATAAAGTGTAATTGCTAATGTAATGACCTTACCAGGTGGAACCTTTGGGAGGTGTTTAGGCTAGCAAGGCTCTGTCCTCATGGGTGGAATTGATGTCATTATAAAATAGCAAGTTCAACCCCATTTTGCCTCTTTGCCTTTTCACCCTCTGCCGTATGAAGACAAAATATTAGACTTCTCTCTTTCAGAGGATGCAGTATTTAAGGCACCATTTGGAACAGAATCACCAAATCTTCCAGCGCCTTGACATTGGGCTTTCCAGCCTCCAGAACTGTGAGCCAATATATTTCTATTTATAAATTACCCAGCCTTTGGTATTCCATTATAGCAGCACAAACACACTAAGACAGTATCCCAGTAATTTTTATCTAGGAAGTTTGAGTAATGGAATGGGGACAGAACTGTAATTGATGAAGAAGCAGCAGTCATTTCTGTAGCCCAGAGAATGGGATATTTGGTTCTTTTGTGGTTTCTAAGTGTTCTAGGTTTTTTGTTTCGTGTTTTTTTTTTTTTTCACTCAAACATGGCAACACTTTTTTTCTTGTTCCACCAGTCACAGGTGAAATTGTTTGACTGTGGTTTTCTATGAAATTGTTTATGTTGAGTAGGGAACATTGTAATCTAGTTGTTAGAGCAGAATAGATATCAGCTGATAGATGTCAGGGATTGCTCTTTTCTTTCTCACAACTAAAGCAGCTATTTCAAACTATGAGCATTCCAGAGATTGGCTAGGGATGGTGCACAGATTACAAGAAGAAGAGAACATGGGTAGACCCTGAAGTATATCATCAGTTCTTTAAAATCCCTCTCATCTTACTTTCTCAATCACTGCCATTCCTAAACTCTTAACGTCTTCTTTAAGTCATGGGGTAACCTACAAAAGACCAATCAAGTTTTTTGCCTCTAGTAAGTTGAGAAATTTGGTTGACAGGAAGCCAGGAGATTCTACAGGGATCAGCAATTTTACACCTCAAGCTCTTCTCTAAAGAATATGTTGTATAAAAAATCTAAATATCAGAGAATCCTCTTCTCTGAACATTTAAAATAGGAGAAGAGGCTTTAATGGCAATTTATGAGCACATTAAATAGAGTTTGAAGAATATTTAAAATAGTGATTGTGAGGAGTATGAGAGAAAGTGGGCTGGAGGAAAGCAGCATGACTTTAAGGTATTATTAAGGATCCATGTGAAATTAATCATCATGTATTTGGCATCACTTGATTTAGAGTCTCTTTCATGGTTTGACCATTTCTTGTAAGCTTAGAGGTGTAGAATCTAAGATGGTTAATACCTTTGGCACTCATTTTCTATCTGGCCCTGCCTCCTAATGCTGATCTCCTGTATCCAGATTTAACTTCGGATAGTCTTACGGACAAGCAGCACCATATTGCCATTGAAGCACAGATTCAAGACTATGTCCCAGAGTTCTATTCCTTTTTCCACATCTTTCTTGATCTTTAACTTTGAGCAAGTTAATTAAGATGTGCCTGAATTTCTTCATCTACAATACGGAGATAATAATCTCACTGGTTATTATGGGGAATAAACAAATCTTCTCAATATGTAGTAAGCACTTTTCAATTATTTGCTATTACCATTATTTTAATTGTTTCTTGTAGTAGTAGTAGTATGAATGGTAGTGTAATGAAGAATTAATCTTACCCAAAGAAAGATCTGGCCTTTGTCCCAGTTCCTGGTAGGTAAGCTCTAAACTCTTGGGACTTCTCAGGTTATAGGAGTGTCTTTGTTATTCATAATGGACCCATCAAACCACATGTAAACTTTATGCTAATGAGATGACTCAAGATGGTGCCAGCCACATCTGATAGTCTTGGGGTGAAGGCTGCTCTTGCAGAAAGATCAACCTTGTGATTATAGAGTTGAGATATTGAGCCAAGAAAGTATCAATCAGCCTGACCTCTGGGGGAAGGGGAAGGGGGTTGGAGACTGAACTCAACCACATAGGCCATAATTTAATTAATCATGCTTATATAATGAAACCTCAATAAAATCTCTGGACACTGAAGTTCAGGTGAGTATCTTATGTTGGCAATACTCAATTCACATATTTTCACCCATTAATACTGGAGAAACAACATATCCCTGAGGACATGGAAGCTTTGTGTTTGGAAGACTCCTAGTCTCAAATTCCACCCAATCTCTTCCTTTGGTTGGTCTTGATTGTATGCTTTGGTGACAATAAAAATGAAATTGCCAATATAGCACTTTTTTGAGTCCTGTGAATTTGGCTTACACTTTATAGAAATAAGAAAGTTAATATATGCAAATTTTATTAGTATATATTAAGTACTATTTAACTTTTGGCTATTACCATTGTTTTTATTCTTGCTTGTGTTTTTCTTTTCAGATTCATCTCTTCTTTTGCCTAGCTAAAAAAATGACTTACACTTAAATTTGCTCCTGTGTTAAGACCACTGCTTTCCTTCCCATTTCCTGTTTCTTCTTTGACCTTCTGAGTTTAGCTATTCATGATGTGACTATACCAGTCTCTACTTACTCCCATCTTTATTCTTGCATTGCACAGTATATACTCAACATATCATTCAGTTTTTCTTCAAAAATATAGACCAAACTATAATTATCCTCTTATCCATATTTTTTATAGTGTTTTATCTAACTCAGTACTATATTCACACCCCTCACCATGGCCTGCAAAGCCTTAGATAATACAGCTCTCAATATATATGTGATGTGTCAGTTCTCAGCACATACCACCTTTTCCCATTTTCATGTTTTATTCTAGCTAGCAGACTGTCTTACTCTTTCTCAAACATATCTTCTAATTCCTGCCCCAATGCCTATATAATTACTATACATTCTGCCTTGAATATAGATATTGCAGAACCTGTGAAAACCTTTTATCTTTGTATAATTGCAACATGTCATTGTCTCTGAAAACTCTTATTAAGTATATGTTGAATGAGTAGATAATGGGTAAATAGATAAATGAAAATGAGAAATAATGATTGAACTGATGAATGAGTGAATACATTTCAGCCCTGAAAATGAAAGTCTGTTCATGCAAATAAAGCTCTTTGGAATGAATACATTAACATTATTAAATTTGTGTGCACATATAATGCCTACTTATTTATGTTATTTATGTGAAGGAAAAATTGAGTAAATATTACAGCCTAAGGCACCTGGAAGAAGGATTTGTCATTGAAGAGAGAAAACAATCAGTGGAGAAAATTAAAGCATACAAAGAAAACTTTTTGGTTTTGTGAGGAGTATAGGCAAGTTTTGTCATAAGTTGTGATGAAAAAACAGCTCCCAACTCACATTAATTTTAAAGCACAGTGTTATAGAATACATAATATGTATATATGCATGTATAAAATTTTGTATACAATTATGTTTTCAGATATTATATTAATATACATTATACAATAAGCCATATTTTTAAAATGTTTAAAATATATAGCTGAATAAATCTTTGAAACTTTAATGATGTTGATTTTTACAAATTATGTTTTACTTTTGAATCGCAGGCTTAAACATATTTCTACTACTTAAAATGACCTTGTTGGAATCTTAGATCAACACAATTTCTATAGTATACAAAGAAAATTTAAGTACCACTCACCTATAATTGCGAGATTGCTTTAATGCTTTTTGCTTAATAGAAATTGCTTTAATATTATTTTTAAATAATCAAAGAAAATTAAACATTTTATTAGAAAAATAGTGATTTTTTCCAAAGTTTATATTGGTAACATGCTGAATGTTAGAATTGCTTTATAAGAAGGGCACACTACTGCTGATTTAATTTTTATAACATTTTGTGGATTTTCTTTTCTTTCCTAAATCTTTCTTAAAAACTACTAAAGTTAACCAATTGGATTTAATCACTTCCCCATGAAAATAAAGATAGAAATATGATAATTTTAAATAAATTTAGTCGTCATGAATGTTTATTATAACATCGAGTTTTGAAATAATAGAATATCTCCCATTTAGGGTGACAACAAAGATAATTGATTTAAAACTTATTTTAACTTTGGCAACAAAGTTAAAATGATATATTTAAATTATATTTTTGTCTTTAAGTAAAAATAGCTCATTAGTCTCATTAAAATACTTTTTATAAATTAATATTACCTTGCCTCTAAATAAAAGAATATTTTTAAAGAAGAAAACTGGTTCAGCTTTTTGAAATATATTATCTGACCATATTTGAAAAGTAACAATATGAAGGCAGCTTTACAGTTGCATTAGTACACATGTAAGTAATAATCTCTAATTTATGAAGTTTATCTGTTATAACATTAATGTATGAAAAGCACAAATATTTTGAAACATACAAAATTTGAAATTGAGTTTATGAGAAAAATTTTAGTTTAATGTCAGGCAGTATCTATTTTCTTATTTTTTCTCTTTAACTTTTATTTTAGTTTCAGGGGTTACATGAGCAGGTTTGTTACATGGGTAAATTGTGTGTCACTGGGGTTTGCTGTACAAATGATTTTGTCACCCAAGTAGTGATCATAGTACCCAATATGTAGTTTTCCAGTCCTCACCCTCCTAGCCTCCACCCCCAAGTAAGTTTCAGTGTCTATTGTTCTCCTCTTTGTGTTCATGTGTACTGAATGTCTAGCTCCCACTTACAAGTGAGAACATGTGGTATTTGGTTTTCTGTTGCTACATTAATTCTCTTAGAATAATGGCCTTCAGCTACATCCACTTAGCTGCAAAGAACATGATTTAATTTGTTTTATGGTTATATAGTATCCATGGTGTATATGTACCATATTTTCTTTATGCAGTCCACTGTTGATGGACATCTAGGTTGATTCCATGTCTTTGCTATAATGAATAGTGCTGTGATTAATATAAGCATGTATGATTCTTAATGTTAGAATGATTTATATTCCTTTGAGTGTTCGTTTGGGTTTTTTATTCATTTTGTGCCTATTGTGAATGGAATTGCATTCTTGATTTGGCTCTCAGCTTGGACGTTATTGGTTTATACAAATGCTACTGATTTTTTATGATTGACTTTGTATCCTGACACTTTGCTATAGTTGTTTATCAGATCTAAGAGCCTTTGGGCAGAAACCATGGGGTTTTCTAGGTATAGAATCATATTGTCTGCATAGAGAAATATTTTGACTTCCTCTCTTCCCTTTGGATGCCTTTTATTTATTTCTCTTGGTTGATTCCTCTGGCTAGAATTTCCAGTGCTATGTTGAATAGGAGTGGTGAGAGTGGGCATCCTTGTCTTCTTCTAGTTCTCAATGGGGAATTGATGATATGGTTTGGCTCTATGTCTCACCCAAATCTCATCTCAAATTGTAATTCCCATGTGTCAATAGAGGGACCTGGTGGAAGGTGATTGGATCAAGGGGGTGGTTCCCCCATTTTGTTCTTGTCACAGTGAGTTCTCATGAGATCTGATGCTTTAAAAGTGTGGCACTTCATCCCTCACTCTCTTTCTCTCTCTCCTGCCGCCATGTAAGTTGTGCCTTGCTTCCTCCCCTTCTGCCATGCTTGTAAGTTTCCTAAGGCCTCCCCAGCCATGCAGAACTGTGACTCAATTAAACCTCTATTATTTATAAATTACCCAGTCTCAAGTAGTTCTTTATAGCATGTAAAAACAGACTAATACAAAAAATTTGTACCAAGAGTGAGGCATTGCTATAAAGATATGTGAAAATGTGGAAGCAACTTTGGAACTGGGTAATGGGCAGAGGTTAGAACAGTATGGAGGGCTCAGAAGAAGACAGGAAGATGTGGGAAAGTTTGTAACTACCTACAGACTTGTTGAATGGTTTTGACCAAAATGCTGATAGTAATATGGGAAATGAGACCCATGCTGAGGTAGTCTTAGATGGAGATATGGAACTTATTGGGAACTAGAGTAAAGGTCACTCTTGCTGTGCTTTAGCAAAGAGACTGGTGGCATTATGCCCCTGCCATAGAGATCTTTAGAACTTTGAACTTTAGAAAGATGAGTCAAGGTATCTCATGAAAGACATTTCTAAGCAGCAAAGCATTCAAGAAATAACATGACTGTATCTAAATGCATATAGTCATATGCATTCATGCATTCACAAAGAGATGGTCTGAAATTGGAACTTATGTTTAAAAAGGAAGCAGAATATAAAAATTTGGAAAATTTGCAGCCTGATCATATTGTAGAAAGAAAGAATAATTTTCTGGGGAGAAATTCAAGCCATCTGCAGAAATTAGCATAACACCTGGATGTTTAGTTAGAAGTCTGCTGCAGGGATGGAGCCCTCATGGAAAGCCTTTACTAGTGCAAAGCAAAAGGGAAATGTGTGGTTGAAGCCCTTACACAGAGTCCCCACTGGGGCACTGCCTAGTGGAGCTGTGAGAAGAGGGCCACTATCCTCCAGAATCCATAATGGTAGATCCACCAACAGCTTGCATTGTGCACCTGGAAAAGCTGCAGCCACTCAACACCACCTCATAAAAGCAGCAGCAGGGGCTGTACTCTGAAGTGCTGCAGGGGTGGGCTTCAGAGTGCAGCCTCCTGAGAGCCCATATCTTGCATCATCATGCCCTGGATGTGAGACACAGAGTCAAAGGAGATTATTTTGGAGCTTTATGATTTAATGGCTGCCCTGCTGGATTTCAGACTTATATGGGGTCGGTAGCCCCTTAGTTTTCATCAACTTCTCCCATTTGGAATGGGAGCATTTACCCAATGCCTGAACCCCATAGTATCTTGGAAGTAACTATTTTTTTTTTATTTTACAGGCTCATAGATGAAAGGGACTTATGTTGTCTCAGATGGGACTTGGGGCATGGACTTTTGAGTTAATGCTGGAATGAGTTAAGACTTTGGGGGACTATTGGGAAGACATGATTTGTTTTGAAATAGGAGAAGTACATGAGATTTGGGAAGGGTCAGGGGTTTGGCTCTGTGTCACCACCCAAATCTCATCTCAAATTGTAATTCCCACATTTCAGGGGAGGGATCTGGTGAAAGGTGATTGGATCATGGGGACAGTTTCCCCAGTGGTATTCCTGTGACAGTGAGTTCTCATGAGATCTGATGGTTTAAAAGTGTGGCACTTCCCCCCTTGCTCTCTCACTCTCTCTTTCTTTTTTCTCTCTCTCTCCTGCCACCATGAAATCATGCCTTGCTTCCCCTTCTGCCATGATTGTTAAGCTTCCTAAGCCCTTCCCAGCTATGCAGAACTGTGACTGAATTAAACCTCTTTTCTTTATAAATTGCCCAGTCTTAGGTAGTTCTTTAAAGTAGTGTGAAAAGAGACCAATACAGGAATGCTCCCAGCTTTTATTTGTTCAATGTGATATTGGCTGTGGGTTTGTCATAGATGAATCATTTTATTTTGAGGGATGTTCCTTAAGTGCATAGTTTGTTGAGGGATTTTAACAGGAAATGATGCTGAAATTTTTTAAAAGCCTATATGCATATATTGAACAAACCTTGCATCCCAGGAATAAAATCTATTTGATCCTGGTGTATTAGCTTTTTGACATGCTGCTGGATTTAGTTTGCTAGTATTTTCTTGAAGATTTTTGCATCTGTGTTGTTCATCAGGAATACTGGCCTAAATTATTTCTTCGTTTGTTGTGTCTCTGCCAGTTTTTGGTAGCAGAATGATGCTGACCTCTTTGAATGAGTTAGGGAGGAGTCCCTCCTCCATAATTTTTTACAATAGTTTCAGGATTGGTACCATCTCTTCTTTCTACATCTGGAAGAATTTGGCTGCAAATTCATTTAGTCTAGGGCTTTTTCTGGTTGGTAGGTTTTATATTACTTATTCAATTTCAGAACTCATGTTAGTCTATTCAGGTATTTAGTTTCCTCCTGGTTCAATCTTGTGAGGTTGCATGTTTCCAGAAATATATCCATTTTGCCTAGATTTTCTAGTTTTTTTTTTTTTTTTTTTTTTTTTGCATAGAGGTATTCATAATAGTCTCTGAGAGATTTTTGTATTTCTGTGGGGTTGGTAGTAATGAAACATTTGTCATTTCTGATTGTGTTTTGGATCTTCTCTCTTCTTTTTCTTTATTAGTCTAACTAGTGGTCTATTCATCTTATTTATTCTTTCAGAGAAGCAACTTTCTGTTTCATTGATTTTTGTATGGATTTTCACATCTAAATTTTATTCAGTTCTGCTTTGATTTTGGTTATTTCTTTTCTTCTGCTATCTTTGGAGTTGATTTGCTCTTGTTTTTCTGCTTCCCTTAATTGTGATGTTAGGTTGTTAATTTGAGATCTTTCTAACTTTTTGATGTAGGAACTTAGCACTATAAACTTTCCTTTTAACACTGCTTTACCTGTGTCTCAGATATTCTGGTATGTTAAATCTTTGGTTTCATTGTTGTCAAAGAATTTCTTAATTTCTGCCTTAATTTTGTCATTTACTCAAAATTCATTCAGGAGCAGGTTTCTAAATTTCCATTTAATTGTATGGTTTTGAGAGATCTTCTTGATATTGATTTTTATTGTTATTGTGTGTGGTCCGAGAGTGTTATTGGTATAATTTTGTTTTTTTTGTGCTGTTTCTTGAGAATTGCTTTACGGCTGAGCATTTTGTTGACTCTAGAGTATTGCTATATGCAGATGAGAAGAATGTATATTCTCTTGTTCTGTGGCATATTCTGTAGATGTCTGTTAGGTCTATTTGGTCAAGTGTTGAGTTTAGGTCTCAAATTCTTTGTTAGTTTTTTTCCTTGATGATCTAATACTGTCAGTGGGATGTTGAAGGCTCCTACTATTATTGCGTTATTATCTAAGTCCCTTTTAGGTCTCTAAAAATTATTTTATTAATATGCTGCTCCTGACTTGGGGCATATATATTTAGGATCATTATACTGAAGTGAACCCTTTGTCATTATGTAATGTCCTTATTTGTCCTTTCTGATCATTGTTGATTTAAAGTTTGTTTCATCTAAAATAAAAATAGCAACCCTTGTTCTTCTATGTTTTCTGTTTGCTTGATAGATCTTTTCCTTTCCTTTTACTTTGAGCCTATGGGTGTCATTGCATATGAGATGGTTCTCTTGAAGACAGGATACAGTTGAGTTTTGCTTCTTTATCCAATTTGCCACTCTGTGCCTTTTAAGGGACATTTAGCCCATTTACATTAAAGGTTAATATTGACATGTGAGGATTTGATTATGTTATGTTGTTAGCTAGTTGTTATGCGAACTTGATTGTATAGTTGCTTTAGAGTGTCAGTGGGCTGTGTACTTTGGGGTGTGTGTGTGTGTGTGTGTGTGGTGGCAGATAATAGTTTTTCTTTTTCTTTTTTTTCAGACAGAAGTCTTGCTCTGTCCCCCAGGCTGGAGTACAGTGGCATGATCCCAGCTCACGGCAACCTCCACCTCCCAGGTTCAAGCAATTCTGCCTCAGCCTCCTGAGTAGCTGGGATTACAGTCACAGGCCACCAGACCTAGCTAATTTTTGTATTTTTTAGTTGAGATAGGATTTCACCATGTTGGCCAGGCTGGTCTCGAACTCCTGACCTCAAGTGATCCACCCACCTCGGCTTCCCAAAGTGCTGCAATTACAGGAGTGAGCCACTGTGCTCAGTCAGGTAACAGTCTTTCATTTCCATGTTTAGCACTCCCTTAAATACCTCTTGTAAAGGGGGTGTTGTGGTAATGAATTTCCTTAATATTTGTTTGTCAGAAAAGGATTGTATTTCTCCTTCACTTATAATGTTGAGTTTGGCTGGATATAAAATTTGCAGTTGGAAAATTTTTTTCTTTAAGGATGCTGAATGTAGACCCTTATTCTCTTCTGGCATGTAAGGTTTCTGCTGAAAAATCTACTGTTAGTTTGATGAGGTTCCTTTTGTATGTGACATTGCCCTTATCTCTAGTCACCTTTTATACTTATTTCTTTCACATTGACCTTGGAGAGCCTGATGATTATGTTGCGAGGATGGTCATCTTGTATAGAATATTTTTGGGATTCTCTGAATATCCTAAATTTGTATATCAACCTCTCTAGTTAGGCTATGGAAATTTTCCTGGGCAATAGTCTGAAATATATTTCCAAAATAGCTTGCTTTCTCTCCCTCTCTTGCTGTAATGGCAATGAGTCATAGATTTGATTTCCTTACATAATCCCATATTTCTCAGGGGTTTTCTTCATTTTTCAAATTATTTTTGTTTGATTGAGTTGATTCAAGGAACCAGTCTGTAAGTTCTGAGATTCTCTTCTCAGAACTTGCTCTATTCTGCTGTTAATATTTCCGACTGTATTATGAAATTCTTGTAGTGAGTTTTCAGCTCTAGAGTAGTTTGGTTCTTTCTTAAAATGGCTATTTCTTCTTTCATCACTTGTATCATTTTATAGGATTCCTTAGATTCCTCTGATTGTCTTTCAAATTTCTACTGAATCTTAATGATCTTCATTGCCAGTCAGATTCTAAATTCTATGTCTGCCATTTCAGTCATTTCAGTTTGATTAAGAACCTCTGCTGGGGAGCTAGTGGAGGCATTTGGAGGTAAAAAGACAACCTGGCATTTAGAGTTGCTGTAGTTCTTGGACTTTCTTTCTCCTCTAGGTGGACTTTAATGTTTGTATATGGCACTTTTCGTTTCTATATTTTTTGATGCCCTTGAGGATTTTACTGTAGTGTAAGTTGGGTTTAGTTGGTTGGCTTCATTTCTTGATAATCTCAGAGGGGCAATACTGGGACTCCTGTGCTGCATGCTCTAACTTTTGCAGGGCTAGGACCTGGCCCACTGCTTTGCTATCTGGCCCCTGGAGGTTAAGCACCTGCTGTGCTAGTTGGTCAGAGGTGTTCTCAGTCTGCTGGCAACAATACTCAAATGGATGATGCTTATCAAAAGTGCTTTGGCAGGGCAGTGGCAAGTCGATGGGAGTCCACATGCTCGTGCACACCTCCAGCAGGGCAGCAGATGACCCCACAAACATGTGCATGACGGTCAGTATTTAATTTATATTGGTATAAAAATATATCTGTTTGGGTTGCATAGGCCTTACAAAATCTTTTTGGAAACAAAAAGTAGTTGCAAATGGTAATCGTGTTAAACTAAAAATAGTAAATGTCTATATTTACTTTAATAAAATCCTAACAGCAGAAAGTTTTACAAGGAGGAAAAAGTCTTATTTTTTCTTATGTTTCATTTATATAATCTGCCTCTCTAGAAATAATCATTATTATGAGTTCCCTGTGAGTGATTTTTTTCCAGGTATTTATTCCACCCAACCTTGAACTCGTTCATTAACAATTTACTAAACAAATAGTTATTGAGCATTTACTATATACTAGGTAATTTTCCAGATATTAGGGATAGAGAGGTGAACAACACAAAATTTATCATGAACTTTACAATATCAATGATGAGGCAGCTAGTTAAGTAAAAAAAATAAAGTAAATTTAAAGTAAAAAAGTAAAAAAAAATGTCAGTGGAAAATGCTATGAAGAAAAACATGTAACAAGCTAAGGGGGCAGAAATCTAATTTTTCATTAGATCCAGAGTTTATCAAAGATTTATCTGAAGAGGTGGAATGTGAGCAGATACTTCCCTAAAATTAGTCCCATAAATCTGAGGGAAGACATACATACAGAACAATCAGCAACATTTATTTCCTATAAGCTTGAGTTGAGTAACACCTGTAATTCTCACTTTATGCCCGTAGAGTGAGAGATAAAATGGAAGTTAAGGTGAAATACCTGTATTCCTGGATTCAACCCTCAGTAATTGCACCAGGAAGACCCTTATAATGCCACATGCAATGCCAGAATGGGGATCTGCAGGTACACATGGCAAACTGATACGGTGGCTCTTTTAAAAAGCAAGGGCTTTTAGGATTCAAGAGACTGGAATTGATTCTCGGCTCTGCTACTAATTTCCTCAGGCAAATTACTTAACCTTTTTGTAGTTATCTTCTGTCATCTGATAAATGAGGTAAATGGTTAAATGACTGTCATGATGACTAAACGAGTCACTATATATACAATATTTAAAACTGTATTGGCACCTAGAAAATATCCTAAAAAGGTTAGCTATTATTATTAAAAGTTAGGTATTAAAATGAGTAATTATTATTATAACTATTAGTATTATTCTTGTGATTATACCGTACATCCAAGAGAGTGTAACTGAAAGACTTCAATTTTTTTAAAAAATTAATGAATCCAGGAGCTGGTTTTTTGAAAGGATCAACAAAATTGATAGACCACTAGCAAGACTGATAAAGAAGAAAAGAGAGAAGAATCAAATAGATGCAATAAAAAGTGACAAAGGGGATATCACCACAGATACCACAGAAATACAAACTACCATCAGAGAATACTACAAACACCTCTACGCAAATAAACTAGAAAATCTAGAAGAAATGGATAAATTCTTCGACACATACACCCTCCCAAAACTAAACCAGGAAGAAGTTCGCTCTCTGAATAGACCAATAACAGGCTCTGAAAATGTGGCAATATTCAATAGCTTACCAACGAAAAAGAGTCCAGGACCAGATGGATTCACAGCCGAATTCTACCAGAGGTACAAGGAGGAACGGGTACCATTCCTTCTGAAACTATTCCAATCAATAGAAAAAGAGGGAATCCTCCCTAACTCATTTTATGAGGCCAGCATCATCCTGATACCAAAGCCGGGCAGAGACACAACCAAAAAAAAGAATTTTAGACCAATATCATTGATGAGCATTGATGCAAAATTCCTCAATAAAATACTGCAAACCGAATCCAGCATCACATCAAAAAGCTTATCCACCATGATCAAGTGGACTTCATCCCTGGGATGCAAGGCTGGTTCAATATATGCAAATCAATAAATGTAATCCAGCATATAAACAGAACCAAAGACAAAAACCACATGATTATCTCAATAGATGCAGAAAAGGCCTTTGACAAAATTCAACAACACTTCATGCTAAAAACTCTCAATAAATTAGGTATTGATGGGACGTATCTCAGAATAATAAGAGCTATCTAGGACAAACCCACAGCCAATATTATACTGAATGGGCAAAAACTGGAAGCATTCCCTTTGAAAACTGGCACAAGACAGGGATGCCCTCTCTCACCACTCCTATTCAACATAGTGTTGGAAGTTCTGGCTAGGGCAATTAGGCAGGAGAAGGAAATAAAGGGTATTCAATTAGGACAAGAAGAAGTCAAATTTTCCCTGTTTGCAGATGACATGATTGTATATCTAGAAAACCACATCATCCCAGCCCAAAATCTCCTCAAGCTGATAAGCAACTTCAGCAGTCTCAGGATACAAAATCAATGTACAAAAATCACAAGCATTCTTATACACCAATAACAGACAAACAGAGAGCCAAATCATGAGTGAACTCCCATTCACAATTGCTTCAAAGAGAATAAAATACCTAGGAATCCAACTTACAAGGGACGTGAAGGACCTCTTCAAGGAGAACTACAAACCACTGCTCAATGAAATAAAAGAGGATACAAACAAATGGAAGAACATTCCATGCTCATGGGTAGGAAGAATCAATATCGTGAAAATGGCCCTACTGCCCAAGGTAATTTATAGATTCAATGCCATCCCCATCAAGCTACCAATGCCTTTCTTCACAGAATTGGAAAAAACTACTTTAAAGCTCATATGGAACCAAAAAAGAGCTCACATTGCCAAATCAATCCTAAGCCAAAAGAACAAAGCTGGAGGCATCACGCTACCTGACTTCAAACTATATTACAAGGCTACAGTAACCAAAACAGCAGGTACTGGTACCAAAACAGAGGTATAGATCAATGGAACAGAACAGAGCCCTCAGAAATAATGCCGCGTATCTCCAACTATCTGATCTTTGACAAACCTGAGAAAAACAAGCAATGGGGAAAGGATTCCCTATTTAATAAATGGTGCTGGGAAAACTGGCTAGCCATATGTAGAAAGCTGAAACTGGATCCCTTCCTTATACCTTATACAAAAATTAATTCAAGATGGATTAAAGACTTAAACATTAGACCTAAAACCATAAAAACCCTAGAAGAAAACCTAGGCATTACCATTCAGGACATAGGCATGGGCAGGGACTTCATGTCTAAAACACCAAAAACAATGGCAACAAAAGGCAAAATTGAGTAATGGGATCTAAGTAAACTAAAGAGCTTCTGCACAGCAAAAGAAACTACCATCAGAGTGAACAGGCAATCTACAAAATGGGAGAAAATTTTCGCAACCTACTCATCTGACAAAGGGCTAATATCCAGAATCTACAATGAACTCAAACAAATTTACAAGAAAAAAACAAACAACCCCATCAAAAAGTGGGCAGAAGACATGAACAGACACTTCTCAAAAGAAGACATTTATGCAGCCAAAAAACACATGAAAAAATGCTCACCATCACTGGCCATCACAGAAATGCAAATCCAAACCACAATGAGATACCATCTCACACCAGTTAGAAAGGCAATCATTAAAAAGTCAGGAAACAATAGGTGCTGGAGAGGATGTGGAGAAATAGGAACACTTTTACACTGTTGGTGGGACTGTAAACTAGTTCAACCATTGTGGAAGTCAGTGTGGCGTTTCCTCAGGGATCTAGAACTAGAAATACCATTTGACCCAGCCATCCCATTACTGGGTATATACCCAAGGGACTATAAATCATGCTGCTATAAAGACACATGCACATGTATGTTTATTGTGGCACTATTCACAATAGCAAAGACTTGGAACCAACCCAAATGTCCAACAATGATAGACTGGATTAAGAAAATGTGGCACATATACACCATGGAATACTATGCAACCATAAAAAATGATGAGTTCATGTCCTTTATAGGGATATGGATGAAGCTGGAAACCATCATTCTCAGTAAACTATCCCAAGGACAAAAACGAAACACCGCATGTTCTCACTCATAGGTGGGAATTGAACAATGAGAACACATGGACACAGGAAGGGGAACATCATACTCTGGTGACTGTTGTGGGGTGGGGGGAGGGGGGAAGGATAGCATTAGGAGATATGCCTAATGCTAAATGACGAGTTAATGGGTGCAGCACACCAGCATGGCACATGTATACATATGTAACTAACCTGCACATTGTGCACATGTACCCTAAAACTTAAAGTATAATAACAATAAAATAATTTTTAAAAAATTATCTCACTTTTCCTAGAAAACCTCTTATTAAAATAATATGTTAAGGTCAGAATCAGTGAAAGGCAGGTAAATAGTGAACAGTTAATTCAGTTAAGTTTTCCCTCACTTAACAATTATACTCGCTGAAACCGTAGAAAATAGATGATAATTTAAAAATAAGAGTCTCTTAGCTGTGTCATCTTGTCTTTCCTGTTATGCACCTGTTATAGTGATGTTATTTGGGACTTTTTAGTCAATGAGACTAAATTGAATGGAAAATACATTTAAGAATTATTTTTCTATAAAATAATAATCTACATATTATGTTGTGCCAGAGTGAAGTAATATAAATTAAACATTGGCAGTGATTTTTTTTTACAAAGGCTGAACCTTAACTTCCAGTTTTCCTGTAATTCAGTTGTCTCTCTCTGTCATTTAATTTCTTTGTAGTGTTGCTATAAAGTTGTAAAGTACAAGAGGAAAAGAGTTATAAATTTTTGTAGACTTACACAGATATAAAACTTAGATGGATTGACATCCTTTTAAAAAGACCTGAAAGTATTGTCTGACATGAGGAATTGACCCCATTAACAGTGTGCTGCAAAGGGCAGAGATAAGCTATCATAAACTTTTAGTTTTAGCAGGAGAACCTGTGACTATAGCCATGGTAATAGAATGATTTAGAGACTGGGTCACATTGACAAAGTGCCTGAAGCTGACAACATGAATATTAGCATGACATGAAGCCATAAAAAGGGTTTTCACTCAGGTTCATATTTACATGCATCACAGAGCTCTATCAGATTCCTTTTTCTCTTACCATAGTCGCATATCCTGAATCTTACCCTTCTGTTCTGTTCATCTACCATAGTTACTCTTTTCCCAAACTGCCTAGAGCCTCACCTTCATCTCATTTCCTGATATTTAAGTAAATTTGCTTTGAAATGCATTTACAATTTGGTATAAAATAATGCATCACATAGAAAGTGCAATCTTAAGTGGCTAAAATATTTGTGTTCATAATAACGGCAAACACATAGTACATGTGAAAGTGTTTTAAATGTATTAATTCCCTTAATCTTCAATCAACCCTGAAAGAGAGTGGCATTATTATCTACATTGAACACATGAGGAAAGTTGGGCATGGAGAGTTTGTGTAGCTTGCTCACACTCACAAAGCTGGAGTATGGTGGAGCCAGGATCAGGATCAAGTCAGTCCATCTTACAGTCTTTCCTTTTCAACTCTTAGTTTAATAAGTTATTTTCTAGAACTTACTAGCACAGTGTTCGTTTTGCTTAGATCCTTTGACTCTATGAGGGGATCTTTATGGAATGCTTTGATATTTTAACCTGTTTTTATTTATTATGTAGGTTTTCAAATGACTTGCATTATGGCCCAACCCACATGAATGATATGCACTATATCTATCTATCTATCTATCTATCTATCTATCTATCTATCTATCTATCTATTATAGACATATTTGTCAAATATGTGTTTAACAAGAATAAAAGGCTCAAATACCTTGGAAAGGTTGACCTTTGTAAATTTCCCAGGATAGAAAACCAAGCTAAGACACAGGCACGGTGGCTCATGCCTCTAATCCCAGCACTTTGGGAGGCCAAGGTGAGCGGATCACTTGAGGTCAGGAGTTTGAGACCAGCCTGGCCAACATGGTGAAATCCCATCTCTGCTAAGAATACAAAAGTTAGCTGAGGGTGGTGGTGCATGCCTGTAATCCCAGTTACTAGGGAGGCGGGGGCAGGAGAATCGCTTGAACCTGGGAGGTGGAGGTTGCAGTGAACTGAGATCATGCGGCTGCACTCCAGCCTGGGTGACAGAGACTCCATCTCGAAAATAAATAAATAAAACCAAGTTAAAATCACAGCATACTGCTGCCTTCCAGAGCTCTACACTTATTATTACCTAAAGATTAAATTTATAAAATTTTCCATGAAGAATTAGAAATTATTTTCAGAATATGCTGCTTAAGCTGAGTGAACAAATGCCTTTATATATATTAGATTACTATGCAGTCAGTAAGAAGTGCATTGCTACTAAAGGTGTAAACTCTGGAGTAAAGAACATTGCCTTTCACTAAGGTGGGTGGTCCTTGGGCAAATGACTTTACTTGTCTCAGACTCAGTTTCATATTCTATAAATTGGGAAACATAGTTGTATCTAATCAATCAATTTTTTTAGAATAAAATATAGTAACACATAAAATTTGTAGCATAAACTAAGTACTCAATAACGGTTAGTGTTTGTAGCATAAATTAAGTACTCAATAACTGTTAGTGGCTCTTCGTACTTTTATCAAATTGAGGCTACCAGGTTTCTCACTAACAAGAAAGAGCTCACTCCGATGCCAAAAGTCAGCTTACTCTTTTGTTCTTTTACTTAATCCTGACAATATCCATAGGAAGCAGAACAATATTTTCTACCATTTGAAGAAATTCCGGCTCGCATATTCACCATCCTTTGCACACAGAATAGTAAGGCAGTGAGCTAATTTTTATGAGCCTCACTTCACTTTGGACAGGTCTCATTATCAGGCAGAAACTGGCCCTATAGAAGAGTATGAAGATTCACTGAAGGGTGCATCAGCTGAAGGACATCTTGTGAAGTTGAGAGGCATGTCTTATGTGTACTGAGCTAGCAGCCCGTGTACAAGGTAGTCCTCCCATAGTCAAAAATTGTAATTCCAAAATCCAAGAAGTTAAAGTGAAAGGTGAAAGTGGTATCTCTCTCCCTATTACTCTTTTTTTTTTTTTTTTTTTTTTTTTTTTGAGACGGAGTCTCACTCTCTCGCCCAGGCTGGAGTGCAGTGGGGCAATCTTGGCTTACTGCAACCTCCGCCTCCCAGGTTCAAGTGATTCTTCTGCCTCAGCCTCCTGAGTAGTTGGGACTACAGGCATGTGCCACCACGCCTGGCTAATTTTTGTATTTTTATTTTTAGTAGAGACAGGGTTTCACCATATTGGTCAGGCTGGTCTCAAACTCCTGACCTTGTGATCCACCCGCCTCAGCCTCCCAAAGTGCTGGGGTTACAGGCATGAGCCACTGTGCCCCGCCCCTATTACTCTTTTTACTCTTCTTGCAAAACTATTTTTCACATCATTATCACTGTGGGATTTGATTTTAAGATCTAAGCACACAGATAAATAAGTCAAAAAGTTAGGGGCTTCTCTCAGAGTTTTATTAATATTGTTATGTCCAATGGTTAAAGCACATGGATTACTTTAACAACTTCTTTCGGGAAGAGCCATCAGGGCTGAAAAACTTGCATTCTAAAAATCCAGTTTCCACAACAGGTAAAGCATCATAGAGGAGCTGCTAGATAAGTGAGATAAACATTGAAAGGCTTGTGATGTTATTAAATCTATGTGTGGTTTCATAACATGTTACAAAAACAGGAAGTGTAGTATCTTCTCAACCTTCACTCTCGTTGTGCTATTTATATATTTAACTTAATTATACTTTTTTTCCCCTCTCATGTTCAACCATTTTATATAAAATGGAGTAGTGTTTTTTTTGTTGTTGTTGTTTGTTTGTTGTTATGTAAGCCACGGATTATATATACCATGACAGGATTGCTGCAGAACTAACAAAGTCAGACCTAGAAGTGATTACAGTCAGAGATTAGACATTGATTTGTGCTGCTTGGTGTGTGTGGAGGGAGGTTTACCATTTAATAAAGGAAAGTTACTGAAAAGTGGCAGAATATGCCACCCAAAATATGCCACTCTTGCATGAGGATTATTTTGGGCTAAAGGCACTTGAAAAAACAGCAGATGTAACAAGGGAATTCGAATTATTTCCTTTTCTTTCTGAAAACAGGAGATTAGAACCCCCATGTGAAAGACACCTCCCTTCTACCAAGACAAAATAAAACATTTTTTGATGGGGAGTCACAGCCAAGAGAATCCTGTACAAACAGACCTTGTTAAAATAATTCTTATCTTCCTTTGACCTCCCACATGATTTAGTTACTTTTTCAAATATTCTGTGTTCAATCTAGCATAAAAGCATTAAGACTTTGTCAGTTCTTTGGGCTTTCACTTCCTTATGAGGGTTCCTATGTCACTCAAAACTTATATACATTTGGATGCCTTTCTCTGGGAATCTGTCTTATATCAATTTAATTCTCAGGCTCAGCTGAAAAAAAGAAGTAGAGATAGACATTTGCCTCTCCTATATTGCCTATTGTTAGTGATGCAATTTTTGTTGATGATGGAAAGTTTAAATGTGATAGAAGTTGTGCGGTGATGTTAGGGCTGTAAGGAGTAGCTACCACAGGCATGTGTGGCTGATCATCTTTGAACATCCTTCTCATTCTTAAAATCATGTCTTAAAATGTGTGTCCCAACTTATCACAGTGAAAACAACACCAAAAAATGTTTTCTAGGCCGTCTTCAAAGCTTCAGCATAAGCAAGCACCTGCATAACCTGTGATGTGATAGGAGTAAGTGGATAGGTGAGGAACCCCTGGCTTTGAGAGTATGATAACATAGAAAAGTAGCTTTATACGGACAGCTGTGAATGAGCTGCCATGCTCCACCAGGATGAATGACAGCTGTGCCTCAAGCTTCGTATGTGCAAGATGAAGAGCCTGCGTATTTTAAGGTGAGGTGCCCAACAGTAGCAGCTGTGGGGTTCTTGCCAGAACATCCCCAAAAATGCCTATGGGGATTCTGGCTGCATAATTTAGGAGCCCAACTCTCTGGTCATTCCAGAGATTCTACAATCTACCTTATGTCCTTTAATGCAATCTTATTTTCCTAATACAACAAGGCCTTATTCTGTTTTTTTTTTTTTTTTTGTAACTAAAAATATCTATTGAAATTTTGAGCAATAAAATAAAATTTGAAAGTATTGATATAAAAAAGCCATGCTACTTTAGCTTTTTAGCACCAAAAAGGAAGACCAGAAGATTAATTAAAAACAACCTCTTTTAATAATGATTACTGGCCGGGCGAGGTTGCTCCCTCCTGTAATCCCAGCACTTTGGGAGGCATGGGCCTCCAGAAGTGCTGGGATTACAGGCGTGAGCCACTGTGCCCAGCCTGAACTCTTTTTTTTTTTATACTTTAAGTTCTAGGGTACATGTGCACAACGTGCAGGTTTGTTACATAGGTATAAATTGGCCATGTTGGTTTGCTGCACCCATCAACTTGTCATTTACATTAGGTATTTCCCCTAATGCAATCCCTCCCCCAGCCCCCAACCCCCCAGCCAGCCCTGGTGTGTGATGTTCTCTGCCTTGTGTCCATGTGTTCTCATTGTTTAACTCCCACCTATGAGTGAGAACATGTTTGGTGTTCTGTTCTTGTGATAGTTTGCTTATAATGATGGTTTCCAGCTTCATCCATGTCCCTGCAAAGGACATGAACTCATCTTTTTTATGGCTGCATAGTATTCCATGGTGTATGTTTGCCACAATTTCTTAATCCAGTCTATCATTGATGGACATTTGGTTGGTTCCAAGTCTTTGCTATTGTGAATAGTGCTACAATAAACATATGTGTGCATGTGTCTTTATAGCAGCATGATTTATAATCCTTTGGGTATATACCCAGTAATGGGATTGCTAGATCAAATGGTATTTCGAGTTCTAGATCCTTGAGGAATCACCACACTGTCTTGCACAATGGTTAAACCAATGGTTAAACTAATTTACACTCCTAGCAACAGTGTAAAAGCATTCCTATTTCTCCACATCCTCTCTAGCATCTGTTATTTCCTGACTTTTTAATGATCACCGTTCTAACTGGTGTGAGATGATATCTCATTGTGGTTTTGATTTGCATTTCTCTGATGACCAGTGATGATGAGCATTTTTTCATGTCTGTTGGCTGCATAAATATCTTCTTTTGAGAAGTGTTCGTTCATATCCTTTGCCCACTTTTTGATAGGGTTATTTGTTTTTTTCTTGTACATTTGTTTAAGTTTTTTGCAGTTCATGGATATTAGCCCTTTGTCAGATGGATAGATTGCAAAAATGTTCTCCCATTCTGTAGGTTGCCTGTTCACTCTGATGATAGTTTCTTTTGCTGTGCAGAAGCTCTTCAGTTTAATTAGATCTCATTTGTCTATTTTGGCTTTTGTCCTAAGTGTATTTCTTTCAGCAAGGACACCAGTTTAAAAAAAAGCAACTCAAACTCTTCTCAACTTTTTACATCAAATAAATCAAAGCTGGTGGAATCAATTATTTGATCAATACACAAAATTGTAAAATTCCTAATCCTTATTGCCATTAACAAAATGGTTCAGGAACTCCACACATAAATGACTATTTTATATCCATAAGAGATCATTATACTACATATTGACTTGTGAGATTTCAAAAAATTGACTAGTATATGGAAAGCCAAACTATCTTAAAGTAAAAAACAAACCTTCGACAAGTGTATGTATGTTTGATCAGTCTCAAATTAGAGAAGAAAGCTGTCTCTGTTCTAAAATTTGAATATTCTCAATCTCCATCCTTGTGGGAAAGCATTAAGAAAAGAATTACAGTGGTTGTATTTATTCTCCCTTTATTGACTGCTACAGGCAGCACATACCCTCTCCTCCAATCTCTGAATATTAGTCACTTGCCAGTTAATTTATGTTTTCATATTTCTACATAGTGACTCAAAAGCCAATATTTATAATACCATTTTAACTTCAAATTATAGATACTAACAGTAGCATTTTGAGGTATATCCAAAATAGGTTTTAAAATACACCATTTGCCCAGCCTGAAATTTCATAAATATTATTCCGAGGAACTTAATTATTCAGCTAATTCTTGTTTCACATCTCTTTAGGAAACAAAAATCTGGCTAATGTTAATTAATTGCAGTTTTAAATCAAGAAGCTAGGGTACATTTGTAAACTATATCCCTTTTTTCATGTAAGATATTACCTTGGATAATTGAGATCTAAATATGTGTGTTAGAGGCCCATACTCAAAATATTTTTGTTTTATTATTTTAATGTACTAAGAAACCAAAAGAAACAACATGAAATATAACATCATGAATGTGGATGCTGAACGTCTGCCCACTTGAAAAGTCTGGGAAGGGAACACTAATCCTCTAATGAATTCAGGTGAGTGAGCAAGAACGTGTTAAGAAGAGTTTATGATAGTTGGAGAGAGGAGAGAGAATCATAGTTGTCAAGGTGGATGCTGCAAAGAGAACTGTTGATGTGTTTAGCGGTAACATTGACTACTCACCCTTACAGGAATTGAACTACATTAGATGTAAGACTGTATTGATGCAAAATTTGATTTATTTGGTAAGAAACAAAACTTTGTGTGCCATATGAGAAAACTAACAGAAAGAAAAAATTGATCTCTAACTGAAAGTTGGCAAATGACAGCAGATAATTGGTTCCACAGATTTGCAAATCTGAGAAAGTGTCTTCCTTGGGGTCCTTCTTAGGCTGAATCAGAGGTAGGAAAAATGTACATTTCAATTCTGGGAGGAAGAAAGAGCAAGGTCAGAGCCAGAGAGAGAAACAGAGACAGAGAGAGAACCATTAAAAGCAGCTCAGAGAGAAAACAAATTAAAATATGACAAAGAAAACAGCAGGGAGATCAGAACTCAATGCATCTTTTGGAACTTTGTTTCCCTCATCTTTTGCAGTAACAAGAGTAGAACAGGCATTGGGAGGTTAATAAGCTGTTCTGAAATAAAAACTTAAATGACTTAAAAATTCAGAAGAATGAGAAACCTAACACAAATATGCTAATTAGAAAATCCCACTGCAACAAATATTTCTTTTTGAAATTCCATATGATCTGAAAAATAAAAGAATAAGTACTTTTCTACTTTATATTCTTTAAAGAATAAGAGAAAGATAAAAGAAAAAGTACTTTTCCACTTTATATTCTCCCATAAATGTGCTAGTTCTGTATGAAATTATTTTGGACTTTGAATGGCATTAATATAATTTGAAGGACAGGAAACTATATATTAGGCATAGAGTGAAATACGTTATATTCTGACTTGAAATAGAAATTAAATTTTCATAATTTAATTTAAACATTATACTTTTCCACAAAGTATAATGTTTTTTTCCAAAATAACAATGGTTAATTGATATTTATTTAGTTTTCTGATAATTTCAATAATATTTAACTTTTAGTAGCTTATAATCCTTTTGCATGTTTTTTAATTAAGTGAATATGTTCTTTAACATGAACAAATCATTTTAAATAATAATTATCTTTCTATCTAAACAATACTCTTTAAGAATATGCCTTCCTACAGATACTGAGCTATATTACAGAAAAAAAAAGAAATAATTGCTTTTACCTCTTATTATAACTTTTTAAATATAAATGCAGTGTATTAGTCCATTTTCACACTGCTATAAAGAACTACCCAAGACTGGATAATTTATAAAGGAAAGAGTTTTAATGGACTTACAGCTCCATGTAGCTGGGGAGGCCTCGAGAAACTTATAATCATGATAGAAGAAGAAGCAGGCACCTTCTTCACAAGGCAGAAGGAGAGAGATTCTGTGAAGGAGGAACTGTCAAACACTTATAAAACCATAAGATCCTGTGAGAACTCACTCATTATCACAAGAAAAGCATGGAGGAAACTGCCCCCACAATTAAATCACCTCCCACCAGGTCCCTCCCTTGACACTGGGGATTATGGGGATTACAATTTGTGATAATATTTGGGTGGAGACACAGAGCCAAAACATATCATTTCACCTTTGGCCCCTCTCAGATCTCACATCCTTTTAATGTTTCAAAATCAAGCATGCCTTCCCAACAGTCCCCCAAAGTCTTAACTCATTTCAGCATTAACCCAAAATTCCAAGTCCAAAGTCTTATCTGAGATAAGGCAAGTCTCTTCTGCCTAGGAGCCTGTAAAATCAAACTCCAGTTAGTTATTTCCAAGACACAATGGGGGTACAGTCATTGGATAAATGTTCCCATTCCATAGGGGAGAAATTGGCCAAAACAAAGTGGCTACAGACCCCATGCAAGTCTGAAATCCAGTGGGGCAGTCATTACATCTTAAAGCTCCAAAATAGTCTCATTTGACACATCTCACACCCAGGGCATGCTGATGAAAGGGGTGGGCTCCCATGATCTTGGGCTGCTCCATCCTCTTGGCTTTGCAGGGTACAGCCCTTGTGACTGTGTTCACAGCTGGTGTTGTGAACTTGTGGCTTTTCCAGGCACACAGTGTGAGCTGTCAGTGGATCTACAATTCTGAGTTCTGGAGGATGGTGGCCCTCTTCTCACAGCTCCACTAGGCAGTGTTCCAGTGGGGACTGAAAATGACCTGAAAGCTATAGGGTTTGCTTAAAATGTAATTACATGTTTTAAAAGCAAGGTGAGAGAGATGACTGAAGACACATAAAACTTTATTATGAACATACTAGGTTCAGTCTGTTCAATAACCTTCTCATGTATTGATAAAAAATGTTTGAGAGTCAAAATGAACAGATCTATAAATGGGCAATTTTTTATATTTAAATTTATTTTCAAATATTACACTGTCACATAATGACTACATTATAGTGTGAATTATAAAGTAAGCCGTTCAGTTTACCTGCTTTTTATGTATTGGTTTGATTGCTGTTTTTATTAATGGCCATTGATAACCTACATCAATTCACAAAAGATTCAAGGAGGTTTCAGTATAGATAAATTGATTGGTTGCCTACCGAATTCATAGGTAGAATTACGTTATCCAACTTCTATAACCAAAATTGTAAAAGTTTATTAACATAATCATGATAATGGTTGATATCTTCTTTTAATATACTTGCTATGAGCTTCACTTAACCACTGAGATTTAGAGTTTAAATGTGTGAGCTCTCAGGGCAGTGTGCTTCAGGTTCAATTCCAGTTCTACCACATATAAACTGTGTATCCGGGGCAAATTATTTAAATATTTTTCATCTATTAAATGGGGTTATCAGTACACTTATTCTATGGGTTGCTATGATGATAAGATGAAATAATACAGCTAAAGTGCTTAGAATGATGCCTTGAAATAAATAATCCTTAAATAATTTTAGCTATTATTGGGAGATATACCTAATGCTAGATGACACGTTAGTGGGTGCAGCGCACCAGCATGGCACATGTATACATATGTAACTAACCTGCACAATGTGCACATGTACCCTAAAACTTAGAGTATAATAAAAAAAAAAATTAAAAAAAAAATAATAATAATTTTAGCTATTGCTAATAATACTGTGTAGTATGTAGTTTTATTATCCAAATTATTATCTGAATATGGGATAATTATTCCCTATCTGTTAACGTGGAGAATATATAATAAGTTTTTAATGGTCACATAATGAATAAATGAATGTCAGAGCCAGGAAATTTCATATTCTTGAATTTCATGCCACGCCTAGAGAAGCAGGAAATATGAACTGATATTGAAAGACATCCCTGAAAATAGGTTAAAAATAATTAATTGTTATAAAATATATGTTTTATAGAAAAAGAGAACAAAATAAACAAAAAAAACCCCACTGAATGGCAATAGATAATTTGAAAAACAGAACTCAGATAAATGTTGCCTATAAATAATAACATTTCTACATTGGAATGATATTTAAATACATTTTAATGGAATTCTCGCCTTTAAAATCAAGTTTGGTAAAAACCTTATTAAGATTTAGATTTTTCTGGAATCATGAATTTGATTCGATTTCAAATTCTGCAATGAAAATTAATTTGAAAATCTGACACACACACACACACCACATACCAATTATTGCTACTGCTAATGATCCTAATAGAGTTCTATAGAGTGCTACAGATCTTTGTTCTAGGCTCAGTGCAGACCAATGTCGAATATCCATCTCATGGAAAAGACATGTTTACCATAATTGCAGATCCAAGAAGCTAGAAAGCAGAACTAATACCAGCTATCATAAACCATGTTTCAATAACGAATTGAATGATATTTTTGTGGAAAACCGAGATAATGTAGTTACATGAGAGTAAATCAAAAATTTTTTACCAATTTTTTTACTTTCAAAGAATTGCACAAGTGTAAGATTAGAGATTCCTAAAGTAAGTGAACCTGCTACTGTGAGCAGGAGATCAAAAAGCAAACAAATAAACAAACAAATGCCCAGAAACACAGATTCCTGACATTTTTGAGTCCTTGAGCCAATGTTAGCAAGCCTTTAACCTTCAAAATACTTGCTATGTGAGAAAAATTAACTCCTGCTATTTAAGCAACTATTTGTTAAGCATTTTGTTACTTACAGGGATAGAATATCTAATTGATACACCATCTATATGCTGTTGGCTTTTTAATGCATGTTTCTCAGAATTCTTGTGAGCTGCCACATCTTTCACACAGGGTGAATATTTGTTAACTAACTAATGAATAAAAGAACTTGATCTCTTTAAGAAATTCCTATTTGACATCTATAATTGAATGTTTTGAATCAAATATATTATGGTCGAAGCTGGACTTTTAATTGTCTCTATGCTTTAAAACTTATTTTTTCTTTATAATATTTAAATAAATGAGATAATATTTACCAATGTGTTCAAACAAAAATCAGGATTCATCTTTGATTATTCTCTTTGGATATTTTGTTTGTTTTTGTTTTAATATTCGAAGACTATGCTCATTCCCACTTCTAGCTTTTATGCGTAATCATTTATTGTATATGAAACACTGTTTCTAACCTTTACATGGCTACTTCCTTTCTTTTTTTAATTCTTGAATTACAAAGGATATTCAAAGAGAAACTTCCCTGATTTCATAGTTAATTCAGTTTCTCAGTTATTTGCTATCACAGGACACTATTTTTTTCACTTCATTGTATTTATTGTGGATATGATAATTGTTTTTAATTGAGATTTTTTTTAAAAAATGAGATTAAAACAATAGGATAATTGTGTTTTTTAAAATATTTACTGTGGGTGTATTGTTGTCCCACAACAGGAGATACATAAATTATGAATATATTTACCTTCTCTATTCAGGCAGGAAAATAGGGTCTTGGGGGCAGTAAACCTAGAAGTAAATCAAATGAAAAAAAAAAAAAAACTTTCTATGACCAAGTAAATAACTTTGTAACTTCAGCTATGGCAGAAAACATCCTCTTCATTTGCATAGGGTGTACATCAAGTAAATTACTTTGTAACCTCACTTTATCCTCTCATTTGCATAGGTCGTATACAAAGTAACCAATGGGAAACCTCTACAGGATATTAAAATCCCAGAAAATTCTGTAACCGGGCTCTTGAGCCACTTGCTCAGGCCTGCTCCCACCTGGCGTGTGCTTTTATTTTCAATAAATCTCTGCTTTTGTTGCTTCATTCTTTCATTGCTTTGTTTGTGCATTTTTTCCAATTCTTTGTTCAAAATGCCAAGATCCTGGACACCTTCCACTGGTAACTTATTTGCCTTTCTCTATGGCATTCAAATCCAAATTTAAATAAAATCTGCATTAGTTATCTATTGCTACATAGCAAATGACCCCAGAATTTAGTAATGTAAACATCAAGCATGTATCTCATAGTTTCTGTGGCTTACAAGCCTGGGTGCAGATTAGCTGGGTACCCCTAGGTCAGAGTTCCTCACAAAGCTGCAACTGAGGAGAGGAAGTTAATAAGCCCACTCATATAACTGTTGGCACACTTTAGTTCCTAGTGAGTTGTTGAATAAAGGACCTTAGTTCCTTACTGGTTGTTGGCTCCAGGCTTCCCTCAGCTTCTTGCCACATAGGACTCTCCAGAGAGAATCTCACAACTTGTCAGGTAGTTTCATTCAGAACAAGCTAGTGAGTGAGTGAAAATGAGTGAGCAAAATGGAGCCTACAGATGTGTGCAATGGTGCATACCTATAGTCCCAACTACTCTGGAGGCTAAGGCAGTAGGATAACTTGAGTCCAGGAGTTCTGGGCTGTAGTGCACTATGCTGATCAGTGTTTGCACAAAGTTCAGCATCAATATGGTGACTTCTCGGGAGCTGGGATCACCAGGTTGCCTGAGAAGGGGTTAACCACCCCAGGTAGGAAACAGAGCAGGTCAAAACTCCAGTATTGATCAGTAGTGGGATGGTGCCTACGAATAGCCGCTGCACTCCAGCCTGGGCAACCTAGAGAGAACCTCATCTCTGAAAAAGAAAAAGAAAAAGAAATTGAACCCACAGTCTTTCTGTAACCTACTCCAGAAAATGGAATTCCATCATTATAGCCATATCCCATTCCTAGGAAGGGAATCTTTGGGTTCTGTCCACACTCGATTGGAGGGGAATACATAAAGGCATAAATATTAGGAGACAGAGGTCATTCAGGGTCATCTTAGACTCTCCCTACACCAAACAACATTTCAGAGTTTTAAATTAAGTCATTATGCTGTATACTTTTTATCCTCTAGAATGTAAGGGCCACTGATACAGAATATAATGTTTGTTTAAAACTGTATCTCCAGCTTTCTGACTATTGCAGGACCATATTAGGCACTTGTGTTAGGCTAAATAATGCCTGCCCCCAAAGATGTTTGCATTCGAATCCCCTTAACTGGTGACTACATTACCTTACATAGTAAAAAGGGATTTTTCAAACATGATTGTGTTATGGATTTTGATATAGAATTTATGGTGGATTATCTTGGTGGGCCAGTGTAATAACAAAGGCCCTTGAAAGAGGGAGGCAGGAAGATCAGAGTGAACAGGAGATGTAATGATGAAGCAAGAGGTTGTAGTAATGGCAAAGAAGAGGCCAAGGAATACAGGCTGTCTCTAGAAATTGAAAAGGGCAAGGATACAAATTATCCCCTAAATTTTTCAGAAGAAAAGCTCTAAACTGCTAATCCATCCTGGACTTCTTACCTCCAGAATTATAAGAGAATAAATTCATGTTGTCTTATGCTACTAAATTGTGGTTATTTGTTTCAGCAACAGAAAACTAATAAAGCACTCAAGAAATACTTGTTGAATGAATAAAAAGTTCTATAAAGTTTTCACATAGCATTACAACTGTCATTACATATCCATCACCGCCCCCGCAAAATTAAAAACGCAAAGAAGGGTAATTATGAGGAAGAAAGGAGTGAAATATTTCAGTGAGTTAAGAAGAAGGAAGAATGGAAGGAAGAAAATAAAGAAGGGTGGAGGGAACATAGGATGGGAGGGTAGAAGGAGAGAGGGAGGAAGGTAAGGAAGCTCAGTTTTAGATTTTCAAAATTATATTACCTAGATTATGGGAAAGAATCATCCAATTACATTTTAAAGGGGTTAAACATCAACTAATGTTTAATCCTTGGTATGACATTTTCAATAAACCTTTGAAAAATTAAGGTATATATAGAGAGGTGACTGACATGATGGAAACCAAAATTAAATATATTAGTTGAGGAAATAAAAGTGAGTAGTCAGAAAAACAAAACAAGCAAAATAAGACACTACTGTGATTAGAGATTTATCAAAGCATGAGTTAAAACATAAACTTTGAATTTGTAGTGATTAAAACACTTAGTAGGTACTAAAATAAATGCACTTGAAACCCCCTTCTAAATATAACAGTCCATGATATCACGATTGTTAGATTACAAGTTCAAGTTGAATTTTTCAACCTCTATGATACATTTTAAAGTTGTATGTATTAGTGTCAGCTGAAAATGTATCTAAACTCAATACATATGCACGCATTTTACAGAATTATGCAATATAAACAAATCAATTCAATGAAGTACTTGTCAATAACCAAATTCTTCTTAGAGAAAGGTAAAATATCTTTTAGGTTTTCCTGTTATTTTGCAATTCACTAAGAATAGAGACGGAGTGAAGTATATGTGTAAATTGTAATCCAAATGCAAATGTAATTTAATACATTTCATAAAATCCACTGAAAATACTCCTAGAGAGATAGATAAATTCAGTAAATTTCTTAAAGTAAACATTACATACATTGCTCTTAGAATTTTTTTTTTTTTTTTTTTTTTTTTTTTTTTTTTGAGACGGAGTCTCGCTCTGTGGCCCAGGCGGGAGTGCAGTGGCGCAATCTCGGCTCACTGCAAGCTCCGCCTCCCAGGTTCACGCCATTCTCTTGCCTCAGCCTCCCGAGTAGCTGGGACTACAGGCGCCCGCCATCACGCCCGGCTAATTTTTTTTTTGTATTTTTAGTAGAGACGGGGTTTCACCGTGTTAGCCAGGATGGTCTCGATCTCCTGACCTCGTGATCCACCCGCCTCGGCCTCCCAAAGTGCTGGGATTACAAGCGTGAGCCACCACGCCCGGCCTGCTCTTAGAATTTTATATTAAAAAACTATGATGATTTTTCTATGTTTAGAACTCCATATTATTTAAACTGATTTTATAGTACTAAACTGTATTTATTTAAATATATGTAATGTGGACTATTACAAAGATTTATATTCTAAAAGTATTTGGATATTAGTAGAACTTCACTGTCAACATATTCCAAGGACTCATGAAATTACAGATTTTTTTGGAAAAAAGCTAAAGAGGCTTCCAAAGGGAATTAGTAAAAACAAATCACCTGTCAAATTCTAATATCAGATTTTCCATCAAAAGTCAATCATGAAATGTCTTTGTACATTAAAAATTGTTATACTAATAATGCATCAAATGGAATATTTGTTTGATTGTAGCTTGTGTTTAATAAATCATCTTTCTTCCTTAATTTATACAAATAGATATATCACTGATGTGTCCCAGGAAACCTATC
Source organism: Homo sapiens (assembly GCF_000001405.40). Classification (NCBI taxonomy): domain Eukaryota; kingdom Metazoa; phylum Chordata; class Mammalia; order Primates; family Hominidae; genus Homo; species Homo sapiens. Next base: position 43,595,966 of record NC_000004.12, on the reverse strand, counting down.
TTTAGAAGGCTAAAGTTGTTTATAATGAACTGGCATCTTACAATTAAATAGAGGAAGTGATATTTATAACTTTTTGCTGTCTTTGAAGTATATGAAAGAATAAGACATAATATGCCCTTTCTTTCACTGCATTTGGTCCATGTTTTCGATTTTTATATAAGAGTAGTCTGTAGTTAGATCTCATTTTTTTAAAAAAATCCACCAAGAAGCAACATATTAAAACAAACACCCATGGACACACCCACACTCACACAAATAGCCCTTGAGTAAATGTGTTTGGGGGTGGGGGGTGGTATGTGCGTGTTTTAAAGTTAGGAATGATGGGGATGAGTTTAGTGGAGGAGGTTGGTGGTAATTAAAACAAGTTAAAACAATCGACTGCAGCTCTTCCAGGAACGGATTACATAACAAACCTTAAGGGAAATTGGAAAATCTATTAGTTTAGAGCCTAGATGTGTCTAACTACTAGGTAAAAACAATGGAACTCCATTAGTGCTTCAGAATGAGAACTTCACATAACACAGCATGTAATAATCGTTAAGCTAAAATCCCATCAGTAATCACCTGGAATCAAGTAGCCAGTGAAGGAAAGACTTTGAATGAAATGAATTATAGCTTCTTTAAGACAGAACAAAAGATATAAATTTGAGGCTGTAGTGTGATGTGACTCCTTGTCATGGAACTTAAAAGTTAATTTAAAAAATTTTAAAAATTATAAGATCAAATCTCTAAATTCTTAGTTCAAAGTGTGGTAGACTACAAAAATGAACACTAATAATGTCTCTGATTCTTCTATGCTTATGCCACTCAACTCATAAAAAGATAAAGTCAGCTCCTTTCTCCTCAAATCTGGGCTGCTCTTGTGACTGATTTTGATCAACAGAATGAATGAAGAATGACACTGTATGAGTTCTAGGGCTTGAGCTTCAGAGATCCTAGTAGGTTCCATTTTCACCTTATTGGGATTCAGCCCCCATGAAAAAAAGCTTGAATCACAGCTTTGAGTGATAAAAGAATTCATGAAACAGAAAGGACCAATGGATGCCCAGCCATAATATAGTCATGCCAGGTAAGGCTCTAAAAAACATGGGGGTAGCCATATGGGATCCTCCAGTCCTCGTTGTGGCTGTAGACAACACCATATGGAACAGAGACAAGCCACCATCAGTAGGCTGAATAATGGTCCCCTGAAAAATTTCTGCACCCTAATTCCTGGGAACTATGAATGACATCTTTTATGTCAAAAGGAACTTTGCAGATGTGACTAAGTCAAAGATCTTGAGATAGGAAGATTATCCTAGAGTATCTAGTTGAGCCTTAAATAGGGCTCAACTTATTTATTCTTAGATAAGAATCCCATAGGTTCTTACAGAGAGGCAAAGAGTCTGAGACACATTTCTTACAGTAGTAAGAAAAGTAGTAATTTTCATGAATATAACGTGTAAGAACTGTTATATTCATGTAAATATACATACACATTTCTTACTAGTGTAAGAAAAGTTATATTCATGTAAAAAGCAAGATATTGGAGTGAAGTGATGTGAAGAAGGAGTCATGAACCTAGGAGCCAAGCTGTAAGAAAATAAATTTTTGTTGTTTTAAGCCTCTTAGTTTTTGTTAACCAGTAACAGCAACAATAGGCAACTATCACAATGCGTCTGTTGACTCCTGCACAAATTATACAATAGGGAGAAATAATGAATAGTTATTGCTATTTCATGTCACTAAATTGGAAGGCAGTTGTTAGGCAGTAATAAAAAACTGTAATACAAAGTGTGAGTACAAATCCAGGCTCCTTATAACTGTGCTAAAAGAAACTGCTAGTTAGAGTCTCAGGAGTAAGATAACTAAGAATTAAGGTTAAAGTATATTCTATATATTTACAGTGTTAGTTGAGTTCAAAGGGTAACAAAATCTTTTTTTTGTTTGTTTGTTTTTTGAGACGAAGTCTCCCTCTCGTCGCCCAGGCTGGAGTGCAATGGGGTGATCTCGGCTCACTGCAACCTCTGCCTCCTGGGTTCAAGCCATTCTCCTGCCTTAGCCTCCCGAGTAGCTGGGATTACAGGCACCTGCCACTACGCTCAGCTATTTTTTTTGTTTTTTTAGCAGAGACAGGGTTTCACCATGTTGGCCAGGCTTGTCTCGAACTCCTAACCTCAGACGATCCACCTGCCTCAAACTCCCAAAGTACTGGGATTACAGGCACGAGCCACCACGCCTGGCCCACAAAGTCTTTTATGTGAAATGTAGTAGCCTGTCAGCAAAGAGTGGACAACTGATAAGTGGAATGGAGATTTGGAGATTCAGAATACAAAAAGCATAACACCCAATTAGTCTCATTTGGTTGCCAGAGCAAAGCTCTGACCATGCCAAAGCTCTCTAACCTGAGGGAGTTACTCTGCAATGCTCTCTATAGTGACAACTTAAACCAGGTCACAGTAAAATTCTAGATGATAATAACAAAGTCAACCCATGAGAAGATGTACCTGCAAAACAACATCAGGGATTTGTTAATTTGTAAAAAGTCTACAATTTGCATCTTATATTTGGGCAAAGAATTCTGAAAGTGTTTGTACAAAAAGTGGAGAATGTAGTTTTAGACTTAAATGGATTCATGGATTATATTGTACTCATCAAAAATATTGCTTCCTTCCATTTCCTTTGCTGTTGTCATCATGTAATTTTATTGTTACATATTCTATAAACTCACAATAACTTATTTTTACATTAGAAAGTTATATTTACTAGTTTTAAAATAATATTAAGTAATATATTATAAATTATATTTTATATTGTATATATAATATTATATTTTATATTGTATACATAATATATATTATATATAGTAATAATTAATAATTATTAAAAATATTATTATAATTAAGATAATTATTGTATGTGTGCCCATACAATTTTCTCTCACATATCTTATTTATTTATATTTGATGAACTTTCTTTTTTTTTACTTTTATTTTAGGTTCAGGGGTACATGTGCAGGTTGCTTATATAGGTAAATTATGTGTCACAGGGGTTTGGTGTACAGATGATTTCATCACCCATTTAATAAGCATAGTATCAAATAGGTAGGTTTTTGATCTTCACCTCCCACCCTCCAGCCTAAAGTAGGCCCTGCTGTCTATTTTTCCCTTATTTGTGTCCATGTGTTCTCAGTGTTCAACCCCTACTTATAAGGAAGAGCTTATGGTATTTGGTTTTCTTTTCCTAGGTTAGTTTGCTTAGGATTATGGCCTCTAGCTCCATCCATGTTGCTGCAAAGGATGTGATCTTATTCTCTTCTGTGGCTGTGTAGTATTCCATGGTGTATATATACCACATTTTCTTTATCCAATCTACCATTGATGGGCATTTAGGTTGATTCCATGTCTTTGCTATTGTGAATATATGTGTGAATGTCTCTTTATGGTAGAATGATTTATTTTTCTTTGTGTATATACCCAGTAATGGGATTGCTGGATTGAATGGTAATTCTGCTTTGTTATTTCAGAAATTGCCACACTGCCTTTGGCAATGACTGAGCTAATTTACATTTCCACCAGCCATGTATAAGCATTCATTTTTCTCCACAATCTCACCAGCATCTGTTATTTTTTGACTTTTTGTTAATATCCATTGTGACTGGTGTGAGATGGTAATCTCATTGTGGTTTTGATTTGCCAACAAATGTATGAAAAAATGCTCAACATCACTAATCATTAGGTAAATGCCAATCAAAACTTCCTTTTAAGATTTGTTTTTAAATTGAAGGTCTGTTGATAGTGAATTCTCTCCTCTGTTTTTTGTATTTAAAATGTCTTCATTTCACATTTGCTTATGAAAGAGAAGCAGATCATTTTGTACTAGAGTTACATCAGCTCTTGGGCTATGCCACAATTTTTTCTACAGAAACCTTAATTGTTACATAATAATTTCAGCTGATGACATCACTCCCACATGACTACCAGAGCAGAAAATAGAAAATGACCTGAAAGTTTTGGTGAGACACTTGCATGTTGGAAGATGTAGATATGTCACACAAACATACAGGGGACTGTTACCTCAGTGAAGTTTCTGTGGTCTGAACTATGGCAGGATATCCATTATACTTTGCATAATCATCACTAATGAAGGAGAAAGAAATTTACTCATTGGGCTTCTTTACCTTTTGGAAGTAATTTGCAAGTTTTTCTTTTTCTCCATGCCATCTGATTTACCAAAAGGCCACCAACTCACAGTAGGGCTTTGAAAGAAGAGAAAGATCTCCACATGGTTCCGACTCCAGTAAAAGCAGCCCTGACCTTGTGATTCAAATAATACAATGATGTTCTAAGAGTCTGTGGCAGATGAGGTGATAGAAATCACAACAGAGGTCCCTTGGCTTTTATAGCAAAGTAATGCCCCTTAATCAAGTAGTAACTACTTTATTTTGTTTTTATGTTTTCAATTGACACATTGTAATTGTAGAAATGTGTAGGGTACAGTTTGGCATTTTGATGCACATCTATGTTGTATAATGATACAATCAAGGTAGGTAATGTATCTGTTACTTCATGCATTTAGTATTTCTTCATGTTGAGAATATTCAAAGTGTGTCTTCTAGCTATTTTTAATACACAATATTTTACTATTTAACCAAGAAGAAGACTATTTTCTTCTGCAAAATGGCTCTTCATTATATATTGGGCACTGGTAGAGGGAGACTTATCCTGCTCCATGTCATTATACAAAGGGAGCTAGCTGCCCATAATATACAGGATGATATTTATCTAGCCCATAATATCAAACATATCCAGTAACACGCTATCTTAAAATAAAGTGAAGTGCCTGGGACCAGACCTGAGCTACTACTGAAACCACAGATAAATTTAATTAACAAGTAACTCTACCCATACTAACATCTAACATCTTTTCCATAATATGCACTTCTGGACTTAATGAGTACTGTCCATGATCATGTGAGAAATAAAAATAAAATTGTGAGTCTGATAAACAATACTCTGGCAAAACATAAAATGACATGCTCTTATTTTACATACTTATAAAGAGGAGACCCTGGAAAACCACATAATCCTTTCAAAATTCTTCTAAGGCAAAACTTCCAGTGGTGTATCTCATTGTCTATTTCTCTTGGAAGGAAAGATAGCCTAAGGTATCCTGTACATCAATTTGGTGTCAAATGTTAAGGTTTGGCCAGATGGCCAGGGGCCTGCAAATGATATGATTAGAGGACTAGTACCAAATTTAGTATGGTTGAGGGCTTTTACTTAAGGTACTATATGGACACTATCATGGATGGCTAAAATTACCCTGCAGGATGGGAAACATATAATAAAAGGTACAAATGAAGGAGAAATGAAAGGAGTATTAATGATATGAATAGTTTTGTTCTTTGGGGCCATCCTCTGTAACCATAACCAGTGGTAAAATTTAATAAAATACCACTAAATCATTGTACAAATTACCAAGAGTTCAGGTCTCATAGGAATAAAGTTTAATCACATCTCTAAGCCAAAATCCCTATCATCTGGGGACAGAGAAAACATAGAAATAGTGATTGCAAAAGGAAAGTAATAAACATAAGCGATGGCTTCCTAGACAAATGCAGACACAAGGCCTTATTTTGGTATTTTTTACTATGCTACCTAAATATTTATATATTTAAAAAACACTTATTTAGCTCACTTTGCCTTTTTTAGTAATAATGTATATAAATTTTATTGTCAGTAATTTATTTTACAATCTTGCTTTTAGAATGTATAATATGGAAACAAAATAACATAAAAATTAGAGAATGTGATGAACATTTTGTAGGGATTCTGGACATGGATCTGGTAGTTAAAACTGAAGAGATTTTGACTGGCTTCTTTAATCAGAAGATGAATGAATACAAGTCCTGTAGAATATAAGTCACCCTTACAAATGAAGGAAATCCTGACATTTGCAACAATACGGATAAATGTTAAGGACATAATGTTAAGTGAAATAAGCCAGGAATAGAAAGATAAATTTTACATGATCTCACTTGTGTTGAATCTGAAAAAGTCAGGCTCACGAAAGCAGAGCTGAACAGCAGTAATCAAGAGCTGAGGGGAAAACAGGATTTGAGAGACTTTGGTTAAAGGACACAAAATTTCAGTTAGAAGAAATAATTTCAAAGAGATCCATTGTATAAAATTGCAAATATAGTTAGTAACAATGTTTTGTAGACTTGAATATTAAGAGAGTAGATTTTAAGTATTCTCACCACAAATTAATGATGTCTCTGAGATAATGCATGTGTTAATTAGCTTGATTTAATCATTCCATAATATATATTTCAAAACATCATATTGTACACCATAAATATATATATTTATTTGTCAATTAAAAATAATTGACTAAAAATATAAAAATTTATATTCAGTTATATACTGCCTTAGAGGATTCTGTGTAATTCTTTTTTTTTTTTTTTTTGATAGGTTCTCACTCTGTTGCCCAGGCTGAAGTGCAGTGGCATGATCTCGACTCACTGCAAACTCTTTTTCCTTGGCTTAAGGGATTCTTCAATCTCAGCATCCTGAGTAGTTGGCACTATAAGTGTGAGCCACCACGCCCGGATAATTTTTTCTTTCTCTTTTTCTCTTTTGTACAAATGGATTTTGCCATGCTGCGCAGGCTGGTCTTGAAGTCCTGAGCTCAGAACGACCCACCTGCCTCGGCCTCTCAAAGTGCTGGGATTATAGGCGTAAGCCACCATGCCCAGCAGTGTAATTCTTTTAGTGTATGTTGATCAGTCTCAATTTATTTTATTTTTTCTCAAAGAGGATGATTTCTATTGTACATGTGGGTTTTTCCCTACTTAAACGTTTTGAATGATAAACAGTCTCTCTACAAAATGAAGGAAATCTAACTTTAGTGCATAACTCACCCCACCTGCTTCCCTGTTGCTCTGGCCCAAGTCTCTATTTTCGTGTTGGTTACTCTTTGCTGTGATAACTAATGTCTATTATGTCTAGGGGTCATCTATCTACTGTAGTGCCACTGTACTAAGGTTTAATTCTTTCTTGCTGTTCTCTTCAGTTCATTCTTTTAAAACATTTTCAGCATTGATTTTGGTTATTTATTTACACATTTCTCAAAAATTTGTGGCATGCCAAATATTTTTGGTACTGTTTATTTGATGAGTAAAAATCTCTGCCCTCATGGAGCTTATATTCTGGTAAGAAGAGACAGATTAAAGAAAATAAAGTATTTTATACATGTGATGATTATAAGAGTAATTGGAGAAAAAATAAACTGGTTAAATGAAAGGGGACTGCGGAGATGGCATTTTATTTTATATTGTGTAGTCAGAGAAGACCTCTCTGGAAATAACTTTTGAGCAGAAATGGGCAAAAAAGTAGTTTAATATGAATTGAAAAGGAAGCTTGTCAGGTATTATTATGTATCTCTATTTTAATCTAGAAATATGTTAAGAAGCAGTTCTGTAATTTTTAAATATTTTTTACAGATATTGTTAACTCAAATGATCTCTAATTTTATTTCATATTTAAAAGACACAATTTTGGTTACAGCATTTATATTTGCTTTTGTTCACATGTATTTTAAAATTCTCCAGGTGAATATTTTACTATAATTTGAACTATCAAATCCTGAATAGATTAATCCTTTTATGCCTGAGGTTGCAATTTTTTAAATTTGTGCATGAAATTCATATATGTTACCTAGAAAAGTTCAAGACACAAGAATTTGAAAAGGAAAAATTTTTATTATGTTGTATTGTTGAGTTATGTGGCATTCAAAAAATGGAACACTAGGCAAAATCCTTGCTACATTGTACATAATGTATAAAATCATGTTTCTTGTCTCAGGGGGTGGTGAAACCTGCTGTCCAGTGTGATATTCAACAGAATGCTTCACATGCAAGGTAACATCACATTTTTCACATTGAAAAGTGTTGTTCTTATGACACTCAGCATACCACATTTGCATTCCCTGTTTGACTATCCCGTGATTTATGCCGTCATAATATGAGTCAGTGTTATGCTTCTGAGAAGGTCTTTTTCGGCCAGGTTTTAGACGATGACCATGGGTCTTCAAATAATGGCATACCACACGTCGATGAAACTCCGGAAAATCCACTGGCTTCTCATCGTATGCTTTATGCAATTGCCAAGCATTTTGTAAGACCAATTTGAAACAGAACAAAAGAGGGCTTGATATCATTTATTTCCACAGATTGATGCCTGATACTTATTAATGTTTTCATCTGCTGTGTGTATGACTCCCATGAACTGGTTATAAACACTTTGATCATGTTTGGCTGCTGACCTTGGATCTTCTTTTTCAGCTTCTGGGAATAAGAACTGACAAGACACAGGGGATCAATACCAGCACCAGATGAGGCAATAGTGACAACACTGTTATCATTCCACCTGCAGACAGTACTGCCTTTGCCATCAATTCGATAATCGAATTTGCCTCTATCTTTTTTTCTTTAGAGCTGCAGCTGATTCCAGTGGAGCCTTGTCAATGCAATACTTTCTCACTGTACCTGTTGCCTGAGGTCCCATTAAACTGAGTTTATCAAGAAGTGCAATACTGGTGAAAAAGTTATCAAATACAAAATGGTATTGTCCAGGGTGTGTCTCTGTAATTGCCTCACCAAAGTGAAGGACAAGTGAGGCACCAACACCAGATTCCTCATGTTTAGTATCAGGGTTTTTACCCTGATAAAGCTGAAACCCGCAATGTAGCCCAGACATGTGGTACCACACCAAATCTTACAGCCAAACCGAATGGGCTTTCCCCAGATAAATTATTTGCACCCCTGACAACCAAAATAAGGAACCCTGGATTCATCAAAGCTGAAATATGTTTCATTTGGAGCAAATTTCATACATCTCTCATTGAGTTTGCTTGCAAGAGGTCACCACTCGGAAAACTGGTCCATTGGATCTAAATTTGCATTGTCAGCAACATGCAAATTAGAAAATGTAGTTCAAAACAGTCACGTCTCATGGCAGTACATTATGCCAGTACATTATGTGCATCTGTTTTTGTTCCCCAAACATATGCCTTCTAGGAACTGAGATGTAACCACTCAGAAAAATAATTTCCAGAAAAGATTTGAATTTGGAGGTAGTCAAGCCAAGATGTACATCCTTACTTCGAGCACATAAGTTGGAGCCCTTGACAATGAACTCAACAACCTCATCATCATGAAAAAGTTCAAGAATTTCTATGGGAGTTCTCATTTTGGTGAAGAAATCGTTTGGTGATTCTGTAACTCTACCTCTTATGGGCTGTACAGTTAGGCCAGCTTTTATCCCTTTGCAAACAATTTTGGTCACTTTCCTCCTCTTTGATGGTGGAGGTTGCTGTGCAGTAGATGTAGATGAAAATTCATCAGGAGAGTCATCTTTAGGTGCATATGAGGGATCATCTCAGTCAGATCCAGCATCAGAGCCATCTTGAATAAGATATGCAGTTGCAGGCAACAAAGAACCTGGTGGATTATTTCTTGTTCCACCTTCTTTATCTCCTGAGTCCTCATCAGAAACAGGTGCTGTAGCATTTTCAGGTGATTGTGTCACTATAGCACTTGCTGTTATCTGTCTTTAAAAGGTCAATTGTTTCATGTAAATTTAGAGTTTGCAGCATCTTGGGACGAAAATGAAAAAAAAAGGTATTATTAGTCCTAGTGGTAGTGGTTTTGCCTAGTCTTCCAAAAATAGAACGCGAAAAATGTAAAACCCATGACTAATGCAACAGTAATAATTTCGATATTTTCTTTTTACAGCACAATAGCAAAATGAATAGAGAAGTAATAAAAAATTACTAGTGTAGGTTATAGTTCAGTAAAGTTATATGTACCTATCTTTTTTTGTTTGTTTGTGGGTTTTTGTTTTGTTTTTTTTGAGAGGGAGTCTTGCTCTGCCACCCATGGAGTGCAGTGATACTATCTCAGCTCACCAAAACCTCTGCCTCCAGGATTCAAGCGATTCTCCTGCCTCGGCCTCCTTAGTAGCTGGATTGCAGGTGCCTGCCACCATGGCCGGGTAATTTGTGTGTGTATATATATATATATATATATATATATTTTTTTTTAGTAGAAAAGGGATTTCACCATTTTGGCCAGGCTGGTCTTGAACTTCTGACCTCCAGTGATCCGCCCACTTCAGCCTCCCAAAGTGTTAGGATTACAGGTGTGAGCCACTGCACCCGGCCTGTACCTGTCTTTGGATACTTCCTCAAAAATGTTTCCGAAAACTCACATCACTTTTTTACAAGCTCCCAGCACACCAGCATCTGCAGCAGTGACTAACTCTGTGCATCATGTGATAACATGTACCCTCAGGAGGCAGAGATGTGTGAAAAATCAGACCTAGATGATGACCTTGAGGAGTAAGATATAAATAACTCCCAAATGCTAGGCTTTCCAATGATGGAACACCAGGCATAAGTTTAATGGCTAGCAGGCTAAAGAATACTTCCAACTTCATGATAATATATTTGTTCAATTTAATTTTAGGACATTATTCTTCCTTTCCATACTTTGTGACTATTATTAATATGTTTTCCTTTGTTATATATATATATATATATAATATATAACAAATATGCATATAACATATATAAATAATATATATAACATATAAATAATATATATAACAGGATGTATACATTATATAGATATACTTGTTTAACAAGTATATATTTAAAAATATAGTGTTTTACTTTTTTCTTTTTTTTTTTTTAGACGGAGTCTTGCTCTGTCGCCCAGGCTGGAGTTCTGCTGTGGCGCGATTTTGGCTCACTGCAAGCTCCGCCGGATGAGTTCACGCCATTCCCCTGCCTCAGCCTCCTGAGTAGCTGGGACTACAGGCGCCGGTCACCACGCCCAGCTAATTTTTTTTGTTTGTTTTTGTATTTTCAGTAGAGACGGGGTTTCACCGTGTTAGCCAGGATGGTCTCAATCTCCTGACCTCATGATCTGCCCGCCTCGGCCTCCTAAAGTGCTGGGATTACAGGCGTGAGCCACCGCGCCAGGCCACGTATTCTTAATTCATTGTTTTATCTAAGCTGAATGAATTAAAATCTCAATTTTTTACTTTCATGCCTTTCAAATACTTCATCTTAGTTTCTCTTACATTTTTTCCAACGCTTAAGACTACACATCATGAGGGAATCAATGATTTAAAAAGATGTAAATTCTTAACCAATTAGGAACAACTATTTCAAATTTTATAGAGAAATTATATTATTGGCTTTTAAGATGTTTTGCTTATATATAGCTATAGTCTAAAGAATAAAGTTACATAGATGAGGAGTATTATTTCTTTCATTGATATGTATTGATGTAATCTTCAAATGATTCTAGCCTGTTTGCTTGCTAAATATTTCTAGCTTTTTAAATACTTATGACTGCATATTCAAAGAAATTAGAGGATTTTTACAAATTTTTTTAGTTTATTGATGTATATTTGACAGTTAAAAATTATATATATTTAAAGTGTACAATTTTATCATTTAATGTATAAATATGTAGTGAAATAATCATCACAAGCAAGTTAAACATTATTTCCATGACTTCGGATAGTTAACTTTTTTTACTTTTTTATTCTTGTTTTTATGAGTACATTTAAGATCTATCCTCTTAGGAAATTCCACGTATGAAATACAATATTATTAACCACAGTAACCATGCTGTACATTAGATCTTAAAAATTTATTTATCCTGTATAATCAAAATTTGTGCCATTTCTCCAGTCTTTCTCCTTCCTCTCACCCCCAGCCTTTGGAAAACTCTATGAGTTTGTTTTCTTTTAGATTCCACTTACAAGTGAGATCATGAGGTATTTGTCATTCTGTGCCTTGCTTATTTCATTTAACATAATGTACTCAAAATGTCCTCCAGTTTCATCCATGTTGATGCAAATAATAAGATTTCCTTCATTTTAAGGCTAAGAAATATTCCAATAGGTATACACATGTATATGTATATATACATATGTATGTTAATATCCTTTTAACCACCCATCGATGTACACGGGTTTTTCAAATCTTGACTATTGTGAATAATGCTTCAATAAACATGGAGGTGCATGTTCAGTATGCTGATTTCATTTCCTTGGAAAATATACCAAGCAGTAGGTCTGCTGAGTCATATGGTAGTTTTATTTTTATTTTATTTTTATTATTATATTTATTATGTTATATATTATATTTATTATATTTGTATTTTATTTTAAGTTCCAGGATACATGCACAGGATGTGCGGGTTTGTTACATAGGTAAATGTGTGCCATGGTAGTTTGCTAAACCTATCAACCCATTGCCTAGATATTAAGCCCCACATGCATTAGCTATTTATCCTAATGTTCTTCTTTCCCCTGCCCTCCTGACAGGCCCCAGTGTGTGTTGTTCCCCTCCCTGTGTCCATGTGATCTCATTGTTTAGCTCCCACTTATAAGTGAGAAGATGTAGTGTTTGGTTTTCTGTTCCTGTGTTTGTTTGCTGAGTATAATGGCTTTCAGCTCCATCCATGTTCCTGCAAAATACATGACCTCATTCCTTTTTATGGCTGCATAGTATTCCCTGGTACATATGTACCACATTTTCTTTATCCAGTCTATCATTGATGGGCATTTGGGTTGGTTCCATGTCTTTGCTATTGTGAATAGTGCTTCAATGAACGTACATGTGCATGTATCTTTATAATAGGATGATTTATATTCCCTTGGGTATATACTCAGTAATGGGATTGCTGGATCAAATTGCATTTCTGGTTCTAGGTCTTTGAAGAATCATGACACTGTCTTCCACAACGGTTGAACTAATTTACATTGCTCCCAACATATAAAAGTTATCCTATTTCTCCACAGCCTTGCCAGCACCTGTTGTTTCTTGACTTTTTAATAATCGCCATTCTGACTGGCATGTGACAATATGCCTTTGTAGTTTTGATTTGCATTTCTCTAATGATCAGTGTTGTTGAGCTTGTTTTCATGTTTGTTGGCTGCATAAATATCTTCTTTTGAGAAGTATCTGTTCATGTCCTTTGCTCACTTTTTAATAGAGTTATTTTTTTCTTGTAAATTTAAGTTTCTTGTGGATTCTGGATATTAGACCTTTGTCAGACGGGTAGATTGCAAAAATTTTCTTCCATTCTGTAGGTTGTCTGTTCACTTTAATGACAATTTATTTTGCTGTGTAGAAGCTCTTTAGTTTAATTCGATCCCATTTGTCAATTTTTGCTTTTGTTGCAATTGCTTTTGACGGTTTCATCATAAAATCTTTGTCCCTGCCTATGTCCTGAATGGTATTGCCTAGATTTTCTTCTAGGGTTCTTATAGTTGTGGGTTTACTTTTAAGTGTTTAATTCATCTTGAGTTAATTTTTGTATAAGGTTTAAGGATGGGGTCCAAAATCAATTTTCTGCATATGGCTAGCCAGTTTTCCCAGCACCAATTATTAAATAGGGAATCCTTTCCCCATTGCTTGTTTTCGTCAGATTTCTTGAACATATATGAAGGCAGCATCATCTTGATATCAAACTCTGGCAGAGATACAACAACAACAAAAAAACCTCAGGCCAATATCCCTGATGAACATTGATGCAAAAATCCTCAGTAAAATACTGGCAAACTTAATATAGCAGCACATCAAAAAGCTTATCCAACATGATCAAGTCATCTTCATCCCTGGGATGCAAGTCTGGTTCAACATATGCAAATCAATAAATGTAATTCATCACTTAAACAGAACCAAAGACAAAAATCACATGATTATCTCAATAGACGCAGAAAAGGCCTTCAATAAAATTCAACATCCCTTCATGTTAAAAACTCTCAATAAGCTAGATATTCCTGGAACATATCTCAAAATAATAAGAGCCATATATGACAAACCCACAGCCAATGGCAGCAGCTGGAAGCATTCTCCTTGAAAACTGGCACAAGACAAGGATGCCCTCACTCACCATTCCTATTCAACAGATTATTGGAAGTTCCGGCCAGGGCAATTAGGAAAGAAATAAAGCATATTCAAATAAGAAGAGAAGAAGTCAAACTGTCTCTGTTTGCAGACAACATGATCCTGTATCTAGAAAACCCCATTGTCTCAGCCCAAAACCTTCTTAAGCTGATAAGCAACTTCAGTAAAGTCAAGGATACAAAATCAATGTGCAAAAATCACAAGCATTCCTATACACCAAGAATAGACAAGCAGAGAGCCATATCATGAATGAACTCCCACTCACAATTGCTACAAAGGAAATAAAATATCTAGGAAAACAGCTAACAAGGGAAATAAAGGTCCTCTTCAAGGTATTTCTATTTTTAATATTTTTGAGAAACCTCCATACTGTCTTCCATAATGGCTGTACTAACTTACATACTTACCAAGAGTGTACAAGACTTCTCTTTTCACCACATCCTTACCAACGTTTTTTTTCATGCATCTCTCTGATAGGAGCCATTATAACAAGTTTGAGGCATTATCACATTATGGCTTTGCTTTGTATTTTTCTGATGATTATTGGTGATGAGCACTTTTTCATATACCCGTTGGTCATTTATGTACCTTCTTTTGAGAAATGTCAGTTTAAGTCTTTTGCCCATTTTGTAAATAGAGTTATTTGTTTTTTTGCTATTGAGTTGTATAAATTCCCCACATATTTTCTATATTAACTCCTCATTCAATATATGGCTTGCAAATGTTTTCTCCAATTCCATAGGTTGCCTTTTTACTTTGTTGATTGTTTCCTTTGCTGTGCAAGAGCTTTTTAGTGTGATGAAATCTCACTTTTCTATTTTTTTTCTGTTGCCTGTGCTTTTGTTGTCAAACAAACAAACAAAAATATTGTGTAGACCAATGTCAAGAAGGTATTTCCCTTCCTCTAAGTTTTCTTCTGGTAGCTTCACAGTTTCAGATCTTACATTTAATTCTTCAATTAATTTTGAATTAATTTTGTATATGGTGTGAAAAAAGGAAACAATTTCATTCTTCAGCATCTGAATATCCAGTTTTTCCAATACCATTTGCTGAAGAGAGTATATTTCTCCATTTTGTGTTCTTGACATTCTTGTTGAAGATTACTTGACCTGAGATACACGGATTTATTTCTGGGCTACCTATTTTGTTGTATTGGTCTATATGCTGTTTTTATGCCAGTGCCATATTATTGGGATAACTGCAGTTTTATAATATATTTTGAAATCAGAAAGTTTGATGCTTCCAGCTTTATTCTTTTGTTTAGGATTTATTTAGCTATTCAGAGTCTTCTTTGGTTCTTTATGAATTATAGGTTTGTTTTTTTTCCATTTCAATAAAGAATGACACTGGGACTTTGATAGGAATTACACTGACTCTGTAGATCATTTGGGGTAGTATGGATATAAAAAGTAACAAATTTGAAAGCAAGAAGTAAAATTATCTGTCTGCAGACAATATTATATACATAATAAACCCTAAATACTTGCAAGGAACTGTCAGAACTAATAAACTAAGTTAGTAAAATTCCAGGATACAAAATTTGTATATAAAAATCACTCACATTTCTATACAAAAACAATTAACTATCCAAAAACAAAATTAAGAAAGCAGTCCCATTCACAATAGTAACAAAAAGAATAAAACACTCAACCAAAGAGAAGAAAGCATTAAACATTGAATATTATAAAACATTGATAAAAGAAATTAAAGAAAATATAGATAAATGGAAAAACATCCTGTGTTCATAGACTAAAAAACTTAATATTGTAAAAGTATCCATACTATGCAGCTTGATTATTTCAAATGGAACAGAAAATATTTGAGCTGTAGAATTCATCACTCAATCTAGAAAATTAAGTTGTGGAGCTTTGCAAAACAACATTGATAAAAATAAATCATTTCAACATTCATATGTCCTTTATATATCTGAATGTTAATAGTTAATAAATATAGGCTATATTTCATGGTGATGTGATTTATACACATATATTTATATACTATTTATTAATTGCTTCAATTTAGATGGACAATTATTTTTGCTGTGGTAGAAGTATGTAGTTTTCTAAGAATTGTATTATAATTCTATGAAAACAATTCCTGGTTTTGGACCCTATTATGATTGCTAAGCTATAAATAGGTAACAGATTTGGGGTAAATGTAATTATTTTTATCTGAAGGTCTTGGTTGTTTTAAAAAGTATAATAATAATTATTGGTCAAAGAAGTAATATGTGAGTGTGTTTGTGTTATAGGCTATAATTTGCTATTTAGAACATTGTATAATCAGTTTTTCCAGTGCAAGAAAGCATCCCAAACACAATGTCTTTTTTAAAAAAGCATTTATTTGGCTCATGATTCTGTACTGACAATTTGTGCAAAGTTCACCTCGGCTTAACTGATAACACTTTGGGGGGTGAGTCAACTGGGGATCACTGTTATATGGGGCCCTCAAATGGGATAGTGGTGACAACCAGGGTTCCAAGAGCAAAAGAGGAAGCTTGCAATGGTTCTTGAAGCCTGTCTTAGAAATGTCATAAAATTGCTTCTAAGAAATTCTATTTGTCAGAGGAAGTCTTGAGATAACCAAATTAAAGGGCAAATAGATTTCATCTCTTGATGATTGAGCAGCAATGAATTATGACTGTTTTTATAATCTAATATAAACATTAATCTGAATTTTTAGATAGGCTATCAAGTATACACAAACAAATGAAGTAGTATCTCTATCAGCTAAGAAAATAATTTACTTCCAGATGTTTAATTTGTATACTAAAAGAAAGAAGTCAAAATTTGTTAGATATCACTACCATCTTAAACATAATAAGCAAATAATTTTGATCTGATATTGTGAAGAAGGCTTTACATGTCATTTATTCACTTTTTAAAAAATGATAAATATATAGGCACATGCCTTTTGCAACATTCAGTGTGAAAAACATAATACAACGTATTTGTCACCATTATTAAAAAGAATAATGCATTGGTTGAATTCACTTAGTTAACTTCAAATAATTTTAGAGTAATGTGTAAACTAAATGATCGTGGAAGATGAGTAGCTGGATAAATTGGTGAAAGTAGGCAACTTTGTCTAGTGCCAGTTCTTAGGAGGGATGCTTTCAACTTTTTCCCACTTAGTATTATGTTGGCTGTGGGTTTTTTAATGTATAACTTACATTATTTTGAGGTATGTTTCTTCTATGCATAGTATGTTTAGGGTTTCTATCATGAAGGGATACTGATTTTTATCAATGCTTCTTCTGCATCTATTGAGATAATCATATGGTTTTTGTTTTTTAATTCTGTTTATGTGGTGAATCACATTTATTGATTTGTGTTTGTTGAGACGTCCTTGTATCCCTGGAATAAAATCCACTTGATCATGTTGTATTATCTTTTTGATAAGCTGTTGGATTTTGTTTACTAGTATTTTGTTGAAGACTTATGAATCTATGTTCACCTGTATATTGGCCTGAAGTTTTCTTTTTGTTGTTGTTGTCTCTTTTTCTGGTTTTGGTGTCAAGGTAATGCTGGCCTAATAGACTGAGTTTGGAAGTATTTCTCACTCTTCAGTTTTTTTTAAGGAGTTTGAGTATAACTGGTATTGGTTCTTTTTTAAATGTTTGGTGGAATTCTGCAGTAAAACTTTCAGGCCAGGTCCTGGAATTTTTGTTGATGGGAGACTGTTTATAAAGGTTTTGATCTCATTATTCATTATGAGTTTGTTGAGATATTATATTGCTTTATGGTTCAATCTTAGAAGGTTGTGTATGTCCAGATATTTATCTATTTCTTCTAGGTTTTCCAATTTCTTGTGTATAGGGGTTAATAATAGTCTAGTAATTCTTAGTTGTTATGTTTATTTTTTCATTTCTGCTTTTATTTGGGTCTTTTCTCTTTTTTTCTTAATCTAGCTAAAGTCATGTTGCTTTTGTTTATTTTCTCAGAGAAACAACTTTGTGTTTTGTCAATCTTCTGTGATTTTTCAGTATATATTTCATTTAGTTATGCTCTGATAGTGTGAAAAGGCTGGTTAAGGGTTTTCGCCCAGAACATCTGTGGTGTGAACCTGCTTACTGCATGGTGCTGCTGAAGAGCTGCTCAGGTTTGGCATTGCCTCTAATCTAGTCACAGAGCAGAGATTTCAGGTCTGAGGATGGTTTTGCCTTCCCACTTTGACTCTGGCTATTTTTAGGGATATTTCCCCCTTCAGGCACTCCCAATGCTTCGCATGGGTTCATGCAGCAGTAGGTATCCTGCCAGGGAACCCAAGATAGTGGAGTAGCTGGTTGTTCACTTTTTCCAGTATAAACACTACCATTCAGGGACATTTTTTCATGTGCTTGGTCCTGGGCAGATTGTGGGGAGGGATGTCATATATGTGGAAGTTTGATTTTCTTTTTTTTTTAATTTTATTATTATTATACTTTAAGTTTTAGGGTACATGTGCACAACATGCAGGTTTGTTACATATGTATACATGTGCCATGTTGGTGTGCTGCACTCAGTAACTCGTCATTTAGCATTAGGTATATCTCCTAATGCTATCCCTCCCCCCTCCCCTCACCCCACAACAGTCCCCGGTGTGTGATGTTCCCCTTCCTGTGTCCATGTGATCTCATTGTTCAATTCCCACCTATGAGTGAGAATATGTGGTGTTTGCTTTTTTGTCCTTGCGATAGTTTGCTGAGAATGATGGTTTCCAGTTTCATCCATGTCCCTACAAAGGACATGAACTCATCATTTTTTATGGCTGCATAGTATTCCATGGTGTATATGTGCCACATTTTCTTCATCCAGTCTATCGTTGTTGGACACTTAGGTTGGTTCCAAGCCTTTGCTATTGTGAATAGTGCTGCTATAAACATACGTGTGCATGTGTCTTTATAGTAGCATGATTTATAATCCTTTGGGTATATACCCAGTAATGGGATGGCTGGGTCAAATGGTATTTCTAGTTCTAGATCCCTGAGAAATCGCCACACTGACTTCCACAATACTTGAACTAGTTTACAGTCCCACCAACAGTGTAAAATTGTTCCTATTTCTCCATATCCTCTCCAGCACCTGTTGTTTCCTGACTTTTTAATGATCGCCATTCTAACTGGTGGTGAGATGGTATCTCATTGTGGTTTTGATTTGCATTCCTCTGATGGCCAGTGATGATGAGCATTTTTTCATGTGTTTTTTCGTTGCATAAATGTCTTCTTTTGAGAAGTGTCTGTTAATATCCCTTGCCCACTTTTTGATGGGGTTGTTTGTTTTTTTCTTGTAAATTTGTTTGTGTTCTTTGTAGATTCTGGATATTAGCCCTTTGTCAGATGACTAGGTTGCAAAAATTTTCTCCCATTCTGTAGGCTGCCTATTCACTCTGATGGTAGTTTCTTTTGCTGTGCAGAAGCTCTTTAGTTTAATTAGATCCCATTTGTCAATTTTGGCTTCTGTTGCCATTGCTTTTGGTGTTTTAGACATGAAGTCCTTGCCCATGCCTATGTCCTGAATGGTATTGCTCAGGTTTTCTTCTAGGGTTTTTATGGTTTTAGGTCTAACATGTAAGTCTTTAATCCATCTTGAATTAATTTTTGTATAAGGTGTAAGGAAGGGATCCAGTTTCAGCTTTCTACATATGGCTAGCCAGTTTTCCCAGCACCATTTATTAAATAGGGAATCCTTTCCCCATTGCTTGTTTTTCTCAGGTTTGTCAAAGATCAGATAGTTGTAGATATGTGGCATTATTTCTGAGGGCTCTGTTCTGTTCCATTGGTCTATATCTCTGTTTTGGTACCAGTACCATGCTGTTTCGGTTACCGTACCCTTGCAGTATAGTTTGAAGTCAGGTAGCATGATGCCTCCAGCTTTGTTCTTTTGGCTTAGGATTGACTTGGCAATGCAGGCTCTTTTTTGGTTCCATATGAACTTTAAAGTAGTTTTTTCCAATTCTGAGAAAAAAGTCTTTGGTAGCTTGATGGGGATAGCATTGAATCTATAAATTACCTTGGGCAGTAGGGCAATTTTCATGATATTGATTCTTCCTACCCATGAGCATGGAATGTTCTTCCATTTGTTTGTATCCTCTTTTATTTCACTGAGCAGTGGTTTGTTGTTCTCCTTGAAGAGGTCCTTCACATCCCTTGTAAGCTGGATTCCTAGGTATTTTATTCTCTTTGAAGCAATTGTGAATAGGAGTTCACTCATGATTTGGCTCTCTGTTTGTCTGTTATCAGTGTATAAGAATGCTTGTGATTTTTGCACACTGATTTTGTATCCTGACACTTTGCTGACATTGCTTATCAGCTTGAGGAGATTTTGGGCTGAGACGATGGGGTTTTCTAGATATACAATCATGTCATCTGCAAACAGGGACAATTTGACTTCCTCTTTTCCTTATTGAATACCCTTTATTTCCTTCTCCTGCCTGATTTCCCTGGCCACAACTTCCAACACTATGTTGAATAGGAGTGGTGAGAGAGGGCATCCCTGTCTTGTGCCAGTTTTCAAAGGGAATGCTTCAAGGTTTTGCCCATTCAGTATGATATTGGCTGTGGGTTTGTCATAGATAGCTCTTATTATTTTGAGATACATCCCATGAATACCTAATTTCTTGAGAGTTTTTAGCATGAAGGGTTTATGAATTTTGTCAAAGGCCTTTTCTGCATCTATTGAGATAATCATGTGGTTTTTGTCTTTGGTTCTGTTTATATGCTCGATTACATTTATTGATTTGTGTATGTTGAACCAGACTTGCATTCCAGGGATGAAGCCCACTTGATCATGGTGGATAAGCTTTTTGATGTGCTGCTGGATTCGGTTTGCCAGCATTTTATTGAGGATTTTTGCTTCAATGTTCATCAAGGATATTGGTCTAAAATTCTCTTTTTTGGTTGTGTCTCTGCCAGGCTTTGGTATCAGGATGATGCTGGCCTCATAAAATGAGTTATGGAGGATTCCCTCTTTTTCTATTGATTGGAATAGTTTTGCTTACCAACCAAAAAAAGTCCAGGACCAGATGGATTCACAGCCGAATTCTACCAGAGGTACAAAGAGGAGCTGGTACCATTCCTTCGGAAGTTTGATTATCTTACCATCTCCTCAGATGTTTTACTTCTATGTGGCCTGGGAACAGTCTCATCCTCATATTTGAGTTCTAGCATATCTGGTGATAATGTCAATGTTATATATTTGTTTTTGGTTTTCTGTAGGGAGGAGTAGAGTTATCTTGCTTCTAAGGCACCATTTGATTACCAGAAGTCTGTACTAATATTCTATTGCAGGGTAAAAAGTTAGTGCAAACTTTGCAGTTGACTGCCACACTCATTTATCATCTCACAGTTTCTGTAGCTCAGATGTCTGAGATAGGTTTACTGCTCAGGGTTTCACAAGGCTATGCCAAGTTGTGGGCAGTGGCAGCAGTCTCATCATTAGCTTGGAGTTCTCTTAATCTCATTCAGGTTGTTGGTATAATTTGTTTCTTGTGGTTGTAGGACTGAAGTCACTGTTGTTTTCTTGCTGTGCTTTGATTGGAGATCACTCTTAGTTCCCAGAGGCCACTCTTAAGGTACTAGCTAGGTAACTTTCTCCAGAAGAAAGTCCACTGGTTCATAGTATGCCTATTTCCTTTCTTCATGCCAGGAACAGAGCATTTTATGCTGCTACTTGTCTCTTTTAAGAACTAATTGATTAGGTCTGGTCTATCCAAGATAATATTATTTTCCTTTTATTTCAAATTTAGCTGTTTAGGGATCTTCATTATATCTGAAAAATTCCTTAGTCCATATATTGCAATATAATCAGTGGAAAGGGTTCCATCATATTCACAGGCTCTGCTTGCACTCAAGGAAAGGGATTATATAAGGTATGTATATCAGGCAGTAGAATCTTGGGAGCCATCTTGGAATTTGCCTATCATAATATTCATAGTGACTGAAGAGGAAACTATAAAGAGTAGGCAGAAATAACAAGTAATTAACTTGGAAGTCAAAGAAATTGTTATGGATAAGAAATATGTAGGAAAGAAAATCTATTGTTCTCAAAAAGAACTCAATGTCTATTTAGTTTATTTAGGGTAATTCCAGTGCAAAACTAAATTATTGTAGCCTTGGAAGATGGATACTAATATTACTTACTCTTAAGCTCTGCTCTCCAGTGTTTCAAAGCCATCCTTATTATAATTAATGGTTTCTGTTATTAAAAAAAGAATGAAAGATAATTATCTCATACAACCCGGGTTTTCTCAGGTAGATTAATGTGATGTAAGAGACCAAAAAACTTTAAATATTTTTAACTGTCTCCCATTTCCTTGGTAACGTGTGCTTTCATGTAGGAAATACTCCTCTTATTGTGAGTTAGTTCAGTCAGTTAGAATGTCACCTTGGAGTGTTTTAACAAAGATTAATATAATCGTATTATTATTTCTATTTCTTTTTTTAAACCAAATCTTATATATATTTTAACAAAATGTGATTCTTGCCACATTGCCTAGGCTGATCTCGAACTTCTGGGCTTCTGTGCTCCTGGGCTCGAGCAATCCTACAATGTTGGCCTCGCAAAGTGCCAGGATTACAGGTGTGACCCACCCCATCCAGCTGATATGATCTTCTCTAAGGCATTAGGAAAGAAAGTCTTACAAATGTAGAAGCTTAGACTCATGACAGAAGGAAAAAAAATGTGATTTTAAAAAACAAATTGGCAAACCTAGGGTAATTAATCAAAGTTTCTTCCTACTCTTATTAGTCACATATGTGTACCTCACATTATTAATATCCACTGCAAAGCGGGGAATAATAGAGAAAAAGCAGAAAAGGATTTAAAATCAAATTTATCATTGTTGCAAAAAGTTATAAAAATGAACTAACAATTGAAAATGTAAAACACTGATAAAAAATTTAAATTATTTTTGCTATTTCTGAATATCTAGAAAACTTGGAAAATTTAGGGAAATTTAAAAATGTAGTGTGGTTATGTGCATGTGACTTCTATCTATGTTTAAATAACACATAAGAAAATCCATTTTAGAGTTAAGCAGCAACAGATACAAACTTTATCAGTATCTTTTAAAGATGACTTCAGATTGTGATATTCAGTGTAAGTTTTATTTTTCTTCTATTCATTTAATCATATTAATGTTAATTCATTAATTCATTTATCCACTTACGTAAAGGTATTTCTTGGGTAGTCTTATATACAAAGGACTAAATTAGTTTTATTTTTTATATTAATTATCATATAATAACTCTAGGTCATAAATTTATATTTGTAAATATTAACTAAACCTGCTGCTGATAGAGATTACTTATTATCTAAATGTTATCTGAATGATTTTCAACTGAGTGAAATTTTGTCACCACCAACACTACCTCCCAAGACAGTTTGAAAATGTATGTGGTCATTTTTGATTGTCATGACATGAAGGCAGGTATGCTACTAGCATCTAGTTGGTAAAGACCAGAGATGTTACTAAACATCCCATAATACACACCCTGATCTGTCTGTACATTTTTAAAATTTCAAAGTTTTTGCATGCATTATTCAGAAATTGGGAGCAGTTTCCTAGTAACTATAGAAAAATCTATTATCCTCAGATGTGAGAATTTACAAAATGGAACACATTTTTCAAAGTGTAGTGGAAGAACATTGATGCATATGGGCATGCACGTGTACGTATGAATTTAATGTATTTGTTGTAGTGCCAGAGATCTTTGTCAATAGAGCTGAGTTCACAGTGTAAACAATGGCCTGTTTTACTCTGAAGTTTGTTTTTGCTTTGAAAATATGAAAATTTTCTCACAACACTATGTTTACTTGCTGTATAAAGCAGCCTTGAAAAGTTCTTGACTATTTAATGTAGAAATGAAGTGTTGATATACTTCAGGTAGGCAGTTATATAAGTAAACTACATTAGAAATTATTCAGATATTAAGATTTTCTACAAAAGTGTTGTATTCCCAACCTCAGTAATCCATTTTTAGTATATAACAGAGTTAATCTGTGCTTTCAAAGCAATCCTAAAACCCAGAATATCTAATTTCTTAGTTTAATTTTGTTTTATCTTGTTCTAAGTGTAGAAGAAAAACAGCTGGTATCCATCTTCTAAAATACATCTATTCACACTCTTGAATTCTATTATTAAATTTAGTTCAAACTTCTTTTATTTAAAATCACTCACTTTCTCAAAACTGCATGGAGAGGTTGGCATGTCCTCCTACGTGTGAAGATTAGAGGTAGACTTGATATATTAAAAAGCCCCTCAGAAATTCAGCCATCTGATTTATCATTAAAAAAAACTTTCTTCTTAATGGAACTAGTCCCTTTGATTAAAAGCCCTGCTTTCCGAAATGAAATCATTTTCTAAGCCATGAACATTCTCTGCAGATGTTGTTTCTAGTGGAGTTGAAACACTTTTCCCTATACTGTACTTCTAGTAAAGATAAATCCAAGAATATAAACAATTATCAATAATAGAATATTAATGTAGTTCCCTTCATATGTAACACAAAAGTGTAACAAATTCAAATATATATAGACAATTTAAATCAAATTGATTAGCATTTGGATATAATCAGTCATGGACATGAAATGCTATTTAATCAGGTAATGACTTCATTAAACATGGTTAATCACACACCACTTTGAACTCATTTTCTAAACATAGAATTAATTATTCAAATTATAGCAATTAAAACACACCAGTCAATGCCTGGATTCATTTTTAAAACTACCTAGGCAAGCCTGCCAAGAAAATCTACTCATCATTTGCAGAAGTTGGTGTGTGTGTTGAATATCTAGTTCAATAAAATAGACTTCTGAATCAAATGGTATTATAGAAACAAAATATGGACAACGCTGGGTAGTTATTTTTAACCAAATCACATGATCGATTTAGAGAAGTAAATAGTAGATAGAGAATATAATTGAATATTGAAATTTACCATTCTTTCCTCAAATATGGTATACCTCTTTCTTTATCGTAGGACCATACTCAATTCAAATAAAGTAGAAATACATTTTCCTTACTTCACATGTATACATGTGAAGTATACATGTATCTATAACCCGTATGTATATGTTCATTTTGTGTGGAGTAATCCACACCATACAAAGCTGGAGTGGATTATTTCATTTAATGGTGTACATAAAAAAAATTCTTGCTTGAGAGATCTCACATCTAATTTTGGATACCGGATATAAAATGAGGAGAATGAATCACAAAATCCTCTAAGCATAGTCAACTATGGAAGAGGCTATTGGGCTTTCTGTTTTGAGGCATACACTTGGAAAACATTTATTGCGTCTCAGCTTAGGAAATTGTTGGATTCTGTTTCATGGCACTCTTTACATGGTCGTTCTTGACCACTCTGGCACTGGAGGGGAATAGTTTATTTCCTGACTATGCACACTTATGTACTCACTAATGTTCCAATAAAACTTAGGGGATGCAATGGGTAACATTGCCTTAAATTTGGCCTGTGTCTCAGGATTATTATTCATAGCAATTTAAGATGGTAATTCTCTTAAGTAATTCTTTTTCAAAATGTGGCCTACTATTTAATTATTCTACATTTAATTCAACATTCCAACTGTTAATGGGCATTATAATAATATACATCCAGAATTCTAACAAAACCTTTTCAAATATTACTGAAAAGTGTTAGCATATTTGAACAATTACCAAGGTCATCATTTACTTTCTCCCATCAGTTGAAACCTACTATATAAAGTTTTCGTGTGAAAATAATTCTTACAATTCCACATAGATAAGGTGAGCACTGAGTATCTGGACATATTTGTGACATAGTTCTTAACAATTTTCCTTTCATTACAGCAATTCTTTCCTTTTAAAATGACCAAACAAGGTCAAATAATGATTATATTAATATATGCTTATGAAGAAGTTATAACTCTTAGTAACATTATGTAAGAGAATAAAATGTAGGACTTACTTCTAAGAAACATCTAAGTTCCATGTATTATTTGTAGTATAGAAAATAGGATAGAAACACCAGCACGTTCTCATCGCAGAATGTTCATTTATAGACATGAACTATTCACACACTGTGATTCAAAGTGAACAGCTGTTAATAAAGAAGCTACTTAAAAATAACAATAATTTCAACTTCATTCAATTTTTACCTCATATTCTAGCATCAAGTATGAGTTTTCTCAGAATTGATGTGTACCTGCTGTTATTCTAAAACTGTATTTATAGCAAATTGAAGTAATATTATTGACCTAGTAATTTAGTTTAATGAAAATTATGCCTCATTATCATAAATTTATAAAATAATACTGAATACTTTTATTGGAAATTGCTTCTGAAATTATGCCATTATAGTAACTCAACAAGAGGAAATTATATTGGAAAATTCCATCTTCTTGCTTAGGTAAAACTACATTTTAAAGGCTAGCTGACATACATTGAATTTTTATTGAGGTTTAAATATATGATCAAATGATAGTGAAAACAAGCAACACATGTTGAAAATTCAACCTAAAATATAATACATCTTATACATATATTTGCTATATATAATAAAAATGCACTTTGTTATCTATCTACTGAATATTGTTTAGCTGCACAATCAGTATCTGAGTATCCCTTGATGAATATACACAGTGTGCTTCTGAGTACATCATTGTCTTCATATTCCATTTAAAATGCAGTAACTGGCTTGACAAATATTTCTGTGAATAGAATGCAGCTATTTTACTGTTTATTTATTCATTTTCTTATTTTAAAATTTTATGGTAGTCCACGTTTTATGGTTCAACTCAAATGCTGCCTCTTCTATGCAGCATTTCCTGGTCTAATATAATGAAGAGTTTCTTCTTCCCTGAGTTTTGCCATATTCCTTGGCCCCTGGCTTGTTAAATGAATCACTTTCTTTTTTGAATCATGATTGCGATCTAATTTCTTTTTTTCAGAAGTGGTTCAGATGCTGACATGTTAAGGCTGTTGTAAACAGCTTAAATTTTCAGTCATTTAAATTCTGCAACTTTGCCTTATTGACCCAGGTATTGGAAATAAGTACTGTGATGATTAATTTTATGTGTCAATGTAACTAGGGTAAGGGATACTCAGATTTGGTAAAACATAATTTCTGGGTGTTTCTGTAAGAGGGTCTCCGGAAGACAGTAGCTTCTGAATCAGTAAACTGAGTAAAGAAGATCTATCCTTACCAATATGGGTGGGCCTCATCCAGTCCTTTGGGGGCCTGCCAGAATAGGACAATACGATAAGGAAAGGTATGTTGTTTCTTCCTGAGCTAGGAGGTCCACTTTCTTCTGCCCTTGAACATCAGAGCTCCTGGTTCTTGAGTTTTTGAACTCCAGCACTTGCAGCAGCACCCCCTCAATTTCATAGGCCTTTAGCCTCAGACTGAGATTTATGCCTTCAGCCTCCCTGGCTCTCAGGCCTTCAGACTCAGACTGAATTATGCCACCAACTTTCCTGGTGCTCCAGCTTGCAAACTGGTGGGGCTTCTTGGTGTTCATAATTTCAGAAACCAATTTCCATAATAAATTTATTACATATGTAATGGTTAATACTGAGTGTCAATTCGATTGGATTGAAGAATGCAAAGTATTGTTCCTGGGTGTGTCTGTGAGAGCGTTGTCAAAGGAGATTAACATTACAGTCAGTGGACTGGGAGAGTCAGACCCACCCTTAATCTGTGTGGGCACTATCTAATCAGCTGCCAGTGCAGCTATGATAAAAGCAGGAAGAGGAACGTGAAAGGACTTGACTGGCTAGGTCTTCCGACCTTCCTCTTTCTCCTATGCTGGATGCTTCCTGTCCTGGAACATCGGACTCCAGGTTCTTCAGCTTTTGGGCTCTCAGGCTTTACACCAGTGCTTTACCAGGAGCTCTTGGGCCTTCAGCCACAGACCAAAGGCTGCACTGTTGGCTTCCCCACTTTTGAGGTTTTAGGACTTGGTCTGGCTTCCTTGCTCCTCAGCTTGCAGATGGCCTATTGTGGGACTTCACCTTGTGATCGTGTGAGTCAAAACTCCTTAATAAATTCCCCTTCATATATACATCTATCCTATTAGTTCTGTCCCTCTAGAGAACCCTGAGTAATATGACACATAATATATTATATATCTGTATAGGTCCTATTGGTTTCATTTCTCTAAGAACCCTGAGTAATACAGATGGACACATGACTAAGTATAATATAATATGGTCATGGCCCAGTATATGCTGTGAGAATGAATACAGTGGAAGTCAACCAGGTGTGGTCACGGTGGAGCAGGCTCAGAACAAAAATCTTGCCTGTCCTGCCTATATCATCCTTTCACTTGACAGATGGATAATCAGTGGTATAAAGGAGCTCTATTATTAATTAGATCATGTGTAATCAGATGAACCAGAAAGAGTCATGGGAATTTCAATATTGAAGGTGTTAGAGGTAGCTGGAATTCAAAATATTGTAAAGCCTAGAATATTCACTACATTGTTTTACATTCTCTTATTTTAAAATCACTTAATTTTATATATATTTTTTTCTGTTTTTCCTCATTAGCCTTCTCAAGCTTCTTTTATTTTTTAGGCTTCTGTAATTAGCAGCTATAAATTACTTACATTTACATACTATCAACACTCTTGGTTAAAATAAATTATGAAGTGAAATATGGTATGTCTGCAGCTTACTATAAGCCAGTGGGTAAGGTACAATTTAAAGAAAAGTTATTTCCTTAAAATGTGAAACATAGACATTATGCTCGTAAAAGTGAACAATACTTTTAGATATCATGTTCATTCATTTAGTTTTTTTAACTCTTAAGAATCATGAAATGTACAAATTCAGCAGAGGAATATTAATTTTAATATACAGGTCATTTTTAAAGGAAAATATTCTCCCTTTCTTGGATATAATTAGCAATGGAAAATTTAAAATACTTTTTTTTTTTTTTGAGACAGTCTTGCTCTGTCACCCAGGCTGGAGTGCAGTGGCTTGATCTCGGCTCACTGCAACCTCCGCCTCCCGGATTCAAGATGTGCGCCACCATGCCAGCTAATTTTTGTATTTTTAGTAGAGACAGGGTTTTTCCATGTTGGCCAGGATGGTCTCAAACTCCTGACCTCAGGTGATCCACTCGCCTTGGCCTCTCAAAGTACTGGGATTACAGGCGTAAGCCACCACACCCGACCTTAAAATACTTTTTAATACATGACTAAAATCATCAAACAAAATGGATAATGATTATATCAAAATGCCTAAGGTAATATTCTTACAAACATTGCTGATTCTTATTTTCCCATTCTTTCAGGATGTGAATTAAGGGTCAAGAAATAAAGAGAAAAAAGTGAAATATAGATAGGCAATAATAACAAAAATAATCAAGACTGTTGAAAACATTTGGAAAATAAGAATTGACTGATAAATGTACGATAATTACACAAAGTTTGTCATTGAGGACTAACAAAGACAGGCAAGTCACCTAGTCTGTCAGCTTCATTCACATTATTTTTTCTATATTTTACACCCACTTGCTGTCATAAAACATCATTGTCTAAATCTTATTTGCTTTTCTACAGTAGTATCAAAACCCTATAATAATCATAAAACTCTGAAAAAGCTTTGTCATATTTCAATCATTCCTAGAATTTGGTTTCACTAGAACTGAGAAGTAAGTACCTTTTCAAGAAAAAAAAATCAAGCTGCTAAAATTGGTAACTATAATTCTACATTTTAAAATATGATTTGAAAACCAGAAATTACAATTTTAAAATTTTAAAATAAAATTTGCTTCCTCTTTGATAAATTGAAGTGTTGGTGTCATTTTAAATATTTCTTTCCTCTCTACACACTGGGAATTGATTGTTCAATTCATGATTATTCGTAGTACATCTCTAGGCAACCTCATTAGTTCATGAAAGATCCTTTTTCTCCTCTTCAAATGTATTTGCAGTATTGCACTAAAACACTTCTTACTTTCTCTAGAAATTTTCTTTCATTATTTTTGACTTGGGAGATAAAGTTTATATGTGTTAGGCAAGGCAAAAACCCTTTTTTTTAATCTGCCTATTAGGAATTTTGTCTATAAATAGCTACTTATTTAGATGGAGGTGGATCTTTCACATTTGGTTATAGTATCACAGAAGATACTATTCCAAGATATTCAGTATTTCCAAGTTTGACAGTAATGATGATAGTTCTCACTGAATTTTTCCTCCCTAATTTGGTGGGCAGTAAGTAGGTATGTGCTATGGGACAAATTGTGTTTCTCCCCATAATTAATATACAGAAGGTATGAAATGCCTCAGAATGTGATTTTTTGGAGATAGGGCCTTTAAAGAGGCAGTTACATTCAAATAGGGCCCTTACAGTGAGCCTTAATCCAATAAGACTAATCCAACAGGGCAGATAAGAACATACAGAGACACCGTACAGAGACACCGTACATAGACACCGGAAAAAGATAGCTATTACTAGAGAGAGGCCTCAGAAGAAACAACCTTGCCAACACCTTGGTCTATTACTTTTATCCTCTAAAACTGTGAGAAAATAATTTTCCCTTTTTAAGCCATGTACTCTGTGGCAGCATAACAGACTTTGTTATGGCAGTCCTAAAAACCTAATCTACATAGGAAAGAGGAGGAAAATAGTCTCTGTGTTTAATTACCACTCCTAGATAAATTCAGCCTTGTATGTTATAGGGTCTACAAGATCATCCACATTATGTCTTGTGGCTTTGCCTTTAATACCAAAACAATCAATTAATGTAGAAATTAGGCTTCCCCAAAAACACAGATTCAAGCAATTATGGTTCAAAATTGCATTGTTTATTTTTGTATTTAAATAACAAAACTTAAAATAGGAATATTTGATTAAATTTAGGTAATGTAAGTATTTACAGGCAATATATAGCAAGATTAATAATACAGTACATTTTTTACCTTTTATCTATTACCCTCTTCCATCACCCAATGGCTCCGTCCATGAAATATATAGTTTGAGCTGAATCCCACTCTGGAATAACATAGGCAATTTTGAATCCTGTTTTATGTTTCAATCAAATAAGGCAGGATCATTTTAAGTGGGCATTGCAAATTTCAGGCTTCACCTTCAATTAAAAGAACACAAGGAAAGGCTCTTTTCTCCTAACAGTCCAAAGCCTAGGACTGGAGGCATTTGGATTTCCTCCTGTACATCACTTGCCATTGCACATTATCTCCCAGCAACAGCTGGTGACACACAGACACTGTGCCTCTAGGAAAACTCTCTTTTCCCCCTTCCATCTGTTTCAGTCCATTTACTTCAGAAATAAAACACTGCTTTAGCTACTGTGCTTACAACATCTTATCCACAATGTAATTTAAATCCCTTCAGTTAGAGGAAGCAGATTTTGCATTTTGAGGCTAGTTTTACTTAAAAAAAAAAAAAAAAAGAAAGCTGAAGTTATAGGTCTTCACAACCAGATTATCACATGGAAACTTTTTATAGTAGGACAGGAAAATACACGATGCTTATGTTATCAAAAGAATATAAAGGTAATATGTAAATATGTTTGAAAATAAAATATACTGACTGTATTTCCGAGGTTGAATTTAAACCTAAGTGACTTTTATTTATTTTCACTACAGAACAGGAAGGATTTGCAATTTTATAAGGGCTGCTATATCAATGTCTCTATGCTCTACTGCTCTTTATTGGGAAGCAGCAACAAACATCAATGAAAGTAGAAGTAACCACAACTGCTTCTTCACACCCTCACACCTGCTTTGAATGCCTAGACCATGGCTATAGTAAGGTTTTTTTTTTCTGTTTTTCTCTTTTTGAATTTGTGTGTGACCTCTTCTCCAATGTCTGAAAAAAATCACAAGCTCAGAAATCAAATGGCCAAAGTCTGAACAAAGACTACAATGTTACATATGAAATAAGCAAGTTATTTAACATATCTTTCTCTGTTTATCTAAAAAATAAGGTACCTATTTCATAGAGTTACTATGAAGATTAAATGATAGGTTTCATTTAAAGTGTTTAATACAGTGCCTGTCCCACTGTAAGGGATCAAATGTAAGCTAACATAAATGTTGCAGAAATAATAATATGAAAATAAAATATATTATTTTCCTTTGATTATGTGATTCTTCCTCATTTTCAAGAAAAGAGAATGTCATTAGTCTTTTGAATCAATCTCTTTGTTTTTGGTTTGAGGAGATGAAAAAATACAAAATCTTACTCCCGATACTGACGTTGCAAGAGTTATACCATTTCTTCCTAAATACATTATTGCAACAAAGCTAATTCTGTTCAGCAGAACATAAAATCAATATTTATATTGATGTTTTCTAATGTACTAATTTATTTGTTACTTATTTAGTAGAATTTTTTATTTTAAAATAGTTTTTTTTTATGTTGTGATTTTTTTCTGTGTGTATTTCCAAGTGAACATTTTTCACCTTTGGACTGTAAAAGCAGAAATGCATGTTAACTTTATGCTTTTTTGTTTGTTGTTTCTGTTTATTATTATAAGATATAATAGGATATTTTTGTCATAAAACAATATATGAGTTTTAGGTTTTAAATTTAATTTTTAAATTTTAGGTTTTAAATTAGGTTTTAAAGCTAGGTTTTAAATTTTATTTATTAATTTCCAACTTGAATCAGCAGTAAATATGGCTTTACCCTTTGTTTCTCATAGACCATTATGAAAATTGTTATTCTGTTCCACTCTGGGACTGTCTACTTTTAAATCACCATGTGGAAATCTATTGTAGATCTCAAAATTAATTGTCCAAATGGAACTATTGATTTCACTTCTCCTCACAAAAGCCCCCAATTTGTTCATCCTCAACTCTCACACATCAATAGTGGCATTATCACTGAGCCAGTTGCTTAAGCAAAACACATGCTTTATCTTTCCGTTTTCTTCACACTTCACATCTGATCTCTCAGTAAGTCTTTAGGTAGTATATTTAAAATACACAAAAATTTAAATTACTTGTCACTATCTCCATCTCCATAAGCCACCATCACCCTGTAAATGGTCTACTGTGATGGCATTCTATATTGTCAATGTGGGCTAGTTTGTTAGTCTTGACAGGAAGTTCATTAATTTTTATTATCTAAAAAAACACGTAATACTTAGCTCATTATAATTCTCAGGTCAATCATGAAGTACAAAAGTATATGAGAAAATTGAAAGTCTCCTCCTCTTACCCTTGCCACTCTCCCCTTTATCTCTTTAGAAGTGACCATAGTTAACTGGTTAAAATAGGTATTCTTCAGTCCTGTGCAATTATATGTGTAGTTCTTAAGTGGGGTTGATTTTCCACCTAGGGGACATTTTGAAGGCATTTTTGGTTGTTATTACTGCATGAGGTTGCTACTGACATATAGTAGGTAGGGGTCAGGAACACTGCTGAACTTCCACAATGCACAGGCAACCCTCACAGCAGAGAATTATTTGGACCAAAATATGAATAGTACTGAATTTGAAAAACCCTTCTTTTTTTTGTTTTGTTTTGTTTTTTGTTTTTTGTTTTTGTGTGTGTGTGCGTGGTGATGTTGGTGATGTTGCTTTTTCTTTAAACAATCTACTGTTTTAATATAATCACAGAGTTGTCCAATTATTCAATTTTAGAATACTTTTATCACTCAAACAAGAAACCCCATATCCATCATCAGTCATATCTCATTTGCGGTAATCCTCCCAGCCCTAGGCAACCATAATCTACATTCTGTCTCTACAGATCTATTTTGAACATTTCATATTAATGAAATTACACAATATGTGGTATTTTGTGACTGGGTTCTTTCACTTAGCATAATGTTTTCAAGGTTCATCAACATTTCGTATGCATCTTTACTTCATTTCTTTTCATTGCCAAATAATATTGCATTGCATTGATATCCTACATTTTATTAATATTTGTCTGTCAGTTGACGGAAATTTGGGTTGTTTCTATTCTTTGGCTATCACTAATAGAACTTCTATGGATATTTCTGTACAAGTTTCATGTGAATATGTTTTCATTTCTCTGAGTATAAACCTAAGAGTGCAGTTGCTGAATCATATGGAACTCTATATTTCACATTTTGAGGAACTATCAGACTATTTTCCAAAGTGGCTGCACCATTCTCACCACCAATGTATGAGTTCCATTTTCTCCACATCTTTGTCAACTCTTATTACATGATTATTATGATATTTTGATTATACCCATCAAAGCAATGAAAAGTGGTATATCATTGTGATTTTGATTTTCATTTCTCTAATGACTAATGGTTTTTACCATCTTTTTATGTGCTAATCATTTGTATATCCTCTTTGGAGAAATGTCTACTTAGATTCTTTTTTTTTTTTTTTTTTTTTTTTTTTTTTTTTTTTTTTTTTGAGATGGAGTTTTGCTCTTGTTGCCCAGGCTGGAGTGCAATGGCGTGATCTCGGCTCATTGCAACCTCTGCCTCCTGGGTTCAAGCGATTCTCCTTTCTCAGCCTCCCGAATAGCTGGGATTACAGGCATGCGCCACCACACCTGGCTAATTTTTTATTTATTTTTATTTTTTAGTAGAGATGGGGTTTCCCCATGTTGGTCATACTGGTCTTGAACTCCCGACTTCAGGTAACCTGCCTGCCTTGGCCTCCCAAAGTGCTGGGATTACAGACGTGAGCCTCCACGCCCAGCCTACTTAGGTTCTCTGTTATTTTTTTATTTGGATTGTTTGTTTTTTTATTATTAAGTTGAAGAATTATTTGTATTATATATATGAGTCCTTTATCCAATATATGATTTATAAATATCTTCTCCCATTCTATGCTATTTGTTTCCACTTTATTTATATTAATTTTTTAAAGCAAAAGAGTTTTAATTTTGACATACTTCAAGTTTTATATTTTATGTTTTGTGACCTACCTGAAGCTCATGAAGATATACTCCCATATTTTCCTCTAGGAATTTTATAGTTTTATTTTAAATATTTAGGTTCATGTTCTGTTTTAAGTTAGTTTCTGTGTGTGATATGAGGAAAATATCCAACTATATTCAGTTAACTTTTTAAATTGATAAATAAAATTTGTGTATTTCTATGGTAAACAGTGTGGTGTTTTGGTATATGTATAAGTTGTGGAATGATTAAATCAAACTAATTAACATATCCCTCATTTCAAAAACTTTTTTTGTAGTGAGTCCATTTAAAATCCATTGTCTTAGCAATTTCCAAGTATACAACACATTGTTAACTATAGTCATCATGCTGTACAGTAGACCTCCAGATTTCTTTTTCATGTGGATATCTAATGTCCAAGTGATGCAGGCAAACCCCAAAACTGGGGCTCAGCCTGGTAGGGTTTTTGGCTTCATACAGGAAAGAATTCAAGAGTGAGCAAACAGAGTAAAGTAAAAGCAAAACAACTTTATTAGAGCAACAGAGCCCAGGAAAATGGCTGCTCCATAGAGCAGGGCTTCACCATAGGCAGAGTAGCACTCATAGACTGCTGGCTAGCTATATTTATAGCTATTCTTAATTATATGCTAAATAAGTGGCAGGTTATTCACAAATACTCTAGAACAAGGATGGGGAGTCCCCAGAACTGAGGGTTCCTCCCCTTTTAAACCATATATTGAAAATTCTGGACATTGCTATGGCACTTGTAAATTGTCATGGTGCTGATGGGAGTGTCTTTTAGTTATCAATGCATTATAATTAGCATATAATGAGCAGTGAGGGCAACTAGAAGGTTGCTTTTATCACCATGCTTGTTTTAGCTGGTTTGGGCTAGTTTCTTTACCGCATCCTGTTTTGACCAGATCCTATTTTGATCAGCAGGGTTGTGATTGGTGCTCAGGAAAGAAGTTCTGCTAATCTCCTTCCCCACATGCATCACCTGTTGAAAAGACTATTCTTCCTCATTGATTTGTCTTGGCACTGTAGTCAAAAATCAAATAACTGTAGATGTTAGGTTTTTTTTTTTTTACTGTCAATCCTATTGCTTTGGTCTATGTGTCTAGCCTTATGACATAACCACATAATGGATTGGTGTAGCTTTGTAGTAAGTATTGAATTTACATGTGTGAGTTCTCCAACATTGTTCTTCTTTTACAAGATTGGTTTCTCTATCCTCTCCATTATTAAAAATAAGATATTAAAATATCCATTTGTTATTGTTATTTTTCTATTTTCCCTTTCAATTTTTTCAGTTTTTATTTTGTGTATTTTGGGGACCTCTGTTAGGTGCATAGGTGTTTATATTTTGTGTATCTTTCTGATGGATTAGCACTTCTTATTATGAAATGTCCCTGTAGATCTCTATTTTATTATAAAGTCTGTTTTACCTAATATAGGTATAAACACACCAGTTTTCTTGTGTTTGGTGTTTTCTAACCTTTTATTTTATTTTATTTATTTATATTTTTTGAGATGGAGTCTTGCTATCACCTAGGCTGGAGGGCAGTGGCACAATCTCGGCTCACTGAAAGCTCCACCTCCCAGGTTCATGCCATTCTCCTGCCTCAGCCTCCGGCATAGCTGGAACTACAGCTGCCCCCCACCACACCTGGCTAATTTTTTTTTTATTTTTAGTAGAGATGGGGTTTCACTGCATTAGCCAGGATGGTCTCGATCTCCTGACCTCACAATCCACCTGCTGCAGCCTCCCAAAGTGCTGGGATTACAGGCGTGAGCCACCACACCTGGCCTCTAGCCTTTTATTTTTAACCAACTTGAATCTCTGATTCTAAAGTGAGTCACCTGTAGACTACATGTAGGTGGATTTTGTTTTTTTGTTTCTGTGTCCAGTTTTGCAAACTCTGCATTTTAATTGGATTGTTTAATTCACTCATATTTAAATGTTATTATTGATGGAGTTGTATTAGAATATTACTATTTACTTTTTGTTTTCTATGTCTCATATGTTTTTGTTTCTATATTCCTATTTTATGGCTTTTTGGATTACCTTAATATTTCCTAGTGTAACATTTTAATTTCTTTTTTGATCTTTTAGTATATATATATAAAATATGTATTTTTTAGCAGTTGTTCTGGAACTTACTATATATATTCTTACTCATCAGAATCAACTTTATATTTATACTAACTTAATTTCAATGAGATATGAAAAAGTTGGTCCTACATAGATCTATGTTTTCTTTCCCATTCATGTGCTATTATTATTGTATATATTGCATCTATATTTTACTAATCCAACAATACATGTACAATTATTGCTTTATATATATATATTTTGTTTTTTTAAAAGAGAGAAGAGAGAAGAGCAATTATAGAGAGAGTACATTAATATGAAACTTTCTACTTACTATTTCTGGCTCTCTTAATTCATTTTTGTGTTTTAAGTTACAATTTAAACACAACTTCAGTTTTTTTTACTTACTCAACTTCAGCTTTGTTTCCACATACATTCTTTGTCCTAACTTTTCTCAACTATATTACATTTCTTTATGCTGTAGCCGTGCTGTAGTTTCAATGTCTGCTCCCAAAACTCATGTGAAACATTGTCTCCAATGTGGAAGTATTGAAAGGTGGAGCTTTTTCTGCACCCATTCACAGTCAAATGTCTCAGGAATCAGGTAGGAGTTTGTGAAACCCTGGTAGAGCCTAAGACTTAGGAAGGTAGTTTTGAGAGAGCAGATCAACACCAAAGTGGCTGATCTGCCCTACTGAGCTTGCTTACAGGTTCAAGACCAGAAACAGGAGAGTTCCCCAGGAGGCTTGGCTATAGCCCCACTTGGCCTTGAGCTTTTAAGCAAAGCCATCTGTCAAGGGGTCCACAAGGAATGATGCAGATTAGTGCCTTGGTGGAAGGGCTTATTAGCCCATTGACATCAGTCTCAGCAGTGAACCTGAATGTTGTCCTGTGGTGCTTCTTCAGCTTTCCTTAGCTGAGTTCCTAGCTCAGAGTCACTCTCACAGGGACCCGGAGGGAGACTCACCCATATCTCCCAGTCTAAGATTCTAAGCCTTCCAGACAAGCTTGCCAACCTCCATCCCACAACAGATCCCAAGGAGGTCTAATCACAGCTCTGGTCCCTTTTGCTGCAACTGGAAACTATCCCATCTGTGTAGGGATGTGCTAACAGCCTCATACCTGTCTGGGACAATGTGACAGGCTCTCTAGCCTCTGTCCCATAGCAGATTCCAAGGGGGCCCAGTTTCAGTCTAGTCTCTCTCTTTGCAGTCAAGAAAATGTCCTATCTGTGTAGGAACTTGCTGGGTAATGCATACCACTCTTTGAAGAGACCAGGCTTTCAGCCTCTGTCCCACACCAGATCCCAGGCTCAACTCTAGGTCCCCTACTATAGTTGAGGAACTATCTCATCTGTGTAGGAACCTACTGGGAGATGCACACCCATCTAAGCCAATGTGACAGGCATGCCAGTCTTCATTCCACAGCAGATCCTGAAGGGGCCTAGTCTCATCTCTGGCCCCTCCTGAGAAATACTCTGTATGTGCAGAGTAGGACCCATCCTGTTTGTGCAGAGACCTGCAGGGATACATGTCCATCTGGGACACTGAGACAGCCTTTTGAATTCAGGTCCCTGGCCAGCATTCCTACACAGCCTTAGTACCCTCACTGGGCCTTCCCCAGGTCCATCAGGGCCAGAAAGCCATGTCAACGCTACAACCTTTGCAGCTCTCCTAGACTTGGGCTAAGAATGTCCTCTAATGCTAAGATAGATGCAGTAGATATAGGCTCAGGGCATACAACAGTCAGTTTAGAATTCCTAGATGCTCCTGTGAAGAAGGACAGGCACAATCAAAGTCAGATTGTAAAGACTAAAATACATACTTAATGGGCAGACATCATCACACTTCCAAATGGGCAGACATCATCACACTTCCAAAGGTATCAAGAACATACAGGAAAATAGGATGTAACCAAATGGACAAAATAAGGCACTAAAGACTGGCCCTATAGTGATGAAGATGTGTAATCTCTCATACAAAGAATACAAAATAGCTGTTTTAAAGAAGCTTGATGAACTTCAAGAAAACACAGATAATTAATTCAAAAACTTGCCAGAGAAATTTTAACAAAGATATTAAAATTAAAAAAAGGAAATCCTGGACCTACTAAACACAATGAATGAAATAAAAAAAATGCAATAGAGGGCATCAAGAGCAGGACTAATCAAACAGAAAAAAGAATCAGTAAACTTGAAGATGGACTATTTGAAAATGTACAATCAGAGGAGGAAAAAAGAAAAATAGTGAAAAATTAAACCAAGCTTATGGGTCCTATGGAACAACATCAACATGGCAAGTATCCAAGTTATTGAAGTTAGAGAACTGAGAAAGACAAAGTGTAAGTAAGCTTATTCAAATGAATAATAACTTTAAACCTTTGAAAACCTGGAGAAATATATAAATATCTAGGTACATGAAGGCCAACATTCACCAATCCAATTCAACCCAAATAAGAATACTTCCAGAAATTATAATTGAATTCTCAAATGTCCAAGACAAAGAGAGGATCCTGAAAGCAACAAGAGAAAAGAAGCAAATAACATGTAAGAGAGATCCAATGCACCTGGTGGCAGACTTTGCAGGAGAAACCTTACACGCAAAGAGGAAGTGCAACAATGTATTCAGAATACTGAAGAAAAAAATTATATCAAGAACACTGTACCCAGCAAAGTTATTTTTCAGAAATGAAAGACAAATAAGGACTTTCCTAGAAATAGAAAAGCTAAGGGGATTTATTGCTACCAGACCTGTCATACAAGAAATGCTAATGAAAGCTATTCAAATTGAAAGAAAAGGAAGCTAATATGATTGTTACTCTAATATTTTAATTATTGTACTTAAACCACTTATATTGTTAGTAAGAAGACTAAAAGACAAAACTGTTAAAAAAAAAAACAACTCGATAAAAGTTAAGTGATACAAAATGTAAATTGTGACATCAAAAAATCAAAATGTTGGTGGAGAAGGGAGTTAGTTTGCACAGGATTTTTAGAGAGTTGTTTGTTTGTTTTATTTTTTGTGTGATCACAGTACATTGGTATCAGTTTTAAATACTTGTAATTATAGAATGCTTTTGGTATGCTTCTTAGGTTACCACCACAAAGCAAAAATCTATAATAGGCACACTAATAATAAAAAGGAATAAATTAATGCATACTACCAGACAAAATTATTTAACCACAAAGGAAGACTGTAAAATGAAAGAGAATAAGAGAAGAGTTACAAAACAACCCACAAAACAAGCAAGAAATGAAAGTAGTAAGGCTTTAACTATCAATTATGACATTGAACATAAATTGACTAAATTATCCAATTAAAAGTGGCTGAAAGGATTAAAAAACAAGACCCGCTTATATGCTGCCTAGAAGAAACTCACTTCATGTGTAAAGACACACAGAAAGTGTGGGGATGGAAAAAATATTTCATAAAAATGAAAACCTTAAGAGAGCCAGGGTAACTGAGCTTATATCAGATAAGATAGATTTCAAGTCAAGAACTGTAAAAAGACCCATAGAAGGTTGTTATATCATGATAAGTGGGTCAATTCAGCAAGATATAACAATAGTAAACAAATAGGCACCCAAAACTGGAGCCCCCAGTTACATAAAACAAATATTAGATTTATTGGCAGGGATAGTCTACACTACAATAACAGTTAGGGATTTCAACACCCCATTTCTGGCAATGAACAGATCATCCAGGCAGAAAATCAACAAAGAAACATGAGAGTTAACTATACTCTAGAACAAATGGACCTAACATTTATAGAACACTCCATCCAACTGCTGCAGAATACATAGTCTTCTCATTAGCACTTAAAACGTTTTCAGGATAGACCATATGTTAGGCTCCAAAAACAACCTCAACAAATTCAGAAAAGTAAAAATTATACCAAGCATATTTTCTGACCAAAATGAAATGAAACTAGAAATCAATAACACAAGGAATTTTGGAAATTTTACCAATACATGGAAATTAAACACATATTCCTAAATGACCAATGTTCAATAAAGAAATTAAGAAGGAAATAAAGGGCCGGGCATGATGGCTCATGCCTGTAATCCCAGTACTTTGGGGGCTGAGGCAGGTGGATCACAAGGTCAAGAGATCGAGATGATCCTGGCCAACATGGTGAAACCCTGTCTCTACTAAAAATACAAAAATTAGTTGAGTGTGGTGGCACGTGCATGTAGTCCCAGCTACTCAGGAGGTTGAGGCAGGAGAATCACTTGAACCTGGGAGGCAGAGATTGCAGTGAGCCAAGATTGTGCCTCTGCACTCCAGCCTGGCAACAGGGTGAGACTCTGTCAAAAAAAAAAAAGAAGGAAAGAAAGAAAAAAAATTAAATGGAAATGGAAATGGAAAGAAAACATAGCAAAACCTACGGGGTACAGGAAAACAGGTTCTAGTTGTCCATTCTCATGCTGCTATGAAAAAAATACCCAAGACTGGTTAATTTATAAAGGAAAGAGGTTTAATTAACTCACAGTTCCACTGGGCTGGGGAGGCTTCAGGAAACTTGGAATGATGGTGGAAGGGGAAGCAAACATGTACTTCTTCACATGGTGGCAGGAAGAAGAATGAGAGTCCAGCAAAGAGGAAAATCCTTTATGAAACAATCAGATCTCATGAAAACTAACTCAGTATCACAAGAACAGGATGGTGGAAACCACTCCCGTGAAACAATTATCTCCACCTTGTCCTTCCCATGACATGGGGATTATGAGAACTAAAATTCAAGATGAGATTTGGGTAGGGACACAGCCAAACCATATCTTTCCACCCTCGCCCATCCTAAATCTCATTTCCTCTCAATTCAAAACACAATCATGCCCTTCCAATAGTCCCCCAAAGTCTTAACTCATATCAGCATTAACTCAAAAGTCAAAGTCCAAAGTCTCATTTGAGACAAGGCAAGTCCTTCCACCTATGAGCCTATAAACTCAAAAGCAAGTTGGTTACTTCCTAGATATAAAGGGGCTAAAGGCATTGGGTAAGTACATCCATTCCAAATGGGAGAAATTGGCCAAAACAAAGGGGTTACAGGCACCATGCAAGTCCAAAATCCAATAGGGCAGTCATTAAACCTTAAAGTTCCAAAATGATCTCCTTTGACTCCGAGTCTCACATCCATGTTATGCTAATACAAGAGGTGAGCTTCCATGGCCTTGGTACACTCCACCCCTGTGGCTTTGCAGGGCACAGCCCTCTCCTGGTTGCTTTCACAGGCTGATATTGAGTGTCTGTGGCTTTTCCAGGTGCACAGTGCAAGCTGTCAGTAAATCTACCACTCTGGGGTCTGGAAGACAGTGGCCCTCTTCTCACAGTTCCACTAGGCAGGCCCCACTATGGGCCTCTGTGTGGGGGCTCCAACCCCACATTTCCCTTTTGCACTGTCCTAGCAGAGGTTCCCTATGAGGGCCCCATCCCTGCAGCAAAGTTCTGCCTGGACAACCAGGCTTTTCCATACATCCTCTAAAGTCCAAGTCGAGTTTCACAAACCTCAATGCTTGATTTCTATGCATTTGCAAGACCAACACCATGTGGAAGCTGCCAAGGCTTGGGGCTTGCCCAATCTGAAACAACAACCTGAGCTGTACCTTGGCCTCTTTTTGGTATGGCTAGAGCAGCTGGTATGCAGGACATCAAGCCCTGGGGCTGCACACAGCAGCCCTGGACCCAGCCCAGGAAAGCATTTTTCCTTCCTAGGCCTCCTGGCCTGTGATGGGAAGGGCTGTTGTGAAGGTCTCTGACATGCTCTGGAGATATTCTCTGCCATTGTCTTGGTGATTAACATTTAGCTCCTTGTCACTTAACGCAAATTTCTGCAGCAGGCATAAATTTCTCACCAGAAAGTGGGTTTTTCTTTTCTATCACATCATCAGGTTGCAAATTTTTCAAACTTTTATGGTCTGCTTCCCCTTGAACATTTTGCCACTTAGAAATTTCCTCTACCAGAAACTCTGAATTATCTCTCTCAGGTTCAAAGTTCCAAAGATCTCTAGGGCAGGGGCAAAATATTGCCAGTCTATTTGCATAGCAAGAGTAACCTTTACTCCAGTTCCCAAAAAGTTCTTCATCTCCATCTGAGACCATCTCAACCTGAACTTCATTGTCCATATCATTATCAACATTTTTGTCAAAGCCATTCAACAAGTCTCTAGGAAGTTCCAACCTTTCCCACATTTTCCTGTCTTCTTCTGAGCCCTCCAAACTGTTCCAACATCTGCCTGTTACAGAGTTCCAAAGTTGTTTCTACATTTTTGAGTATCTTTACAGCAATATCCCACTCTCTGTTGTACCAATTTACTGTATTAGTCCATTCTCATGCTGCTGTGAAGAAATACCAGAGACTGGGTAATTTATAAAGGAAAGGGGGTTAATTGACTCACAGTTCCACAGGGCTGGAGAAGCCTCAGGAAACTTACAATCATGGCAGAAGAGGAAGCAAATATGTCCTTCTTCACAGGCAGCAGGAAGGAGAAGAATAACAGCCCAGCAAAGGGCAAAGCCCCTCATAAAACCATCAGATCTCATGAGAACTAACTCACTATCATGAAAACAGGATGGGAGAAACAGCTCCCATGATTTAGTTATCTTTACCTGGTCCCTCCCATGACATATGGGGATTATAGGAACTACAATTCAAGATGAGATTTGGGTGGGGACACAGCCAAACTGTATCAGAGGTACTAAGAGGAAAGTTTATAGCAATAAAACATAGAAAAAGTCTAAACATACAATCTAACAATACATCTCAAGAAACTATAAAAGCAAAAACACCCAAAAATAGTAGAATAAAAG
The DNA here is from genome assembly GCF_000001405.40 of Homo sapiens. NCBI lineage: Eukaryota > Metazoa > Chordata > Mammalia > Primates > Hominidae > Homo > Homo sapiens. The sequence continues at coordinate 43,552,264 of NC_000004.12, read as the reverse complement.
AAATCATAAAGATCAGAGCAGAGATAAAAAGTGAGACTAAACAACATACAGATAAAAAAAGGAAAAGTTGGCTTTTTTCAAAAGATAAACAAAATCGTCAAACATTTAGCTAGAATAATAAAAAAGAGAGGACCCAAATAAAATCAGAGATAAAAAGGGAAATATTACAACTGATACCACAGAAATACAAAGAATCATTAGATTCTATTACGAACAACTATATAACAACAAATTGGAAAACCTAGAGGAAATGAATGAATTCCTGGATGTATACAATCTTCCAAGACTGAACCATGAAGAAATAAAAAACTTAAAGAGACCAGTGACAAGTAGTAAGATCAAAGCAGTAATAAAATGTCTTCCATCAAATAAAATCTAAGGAACTTAACGGATTCTCTGCTAAATTCTACCATGTGATCCACCAATCCCACTGCTGGCTATATATCTACAGGAAAGAAAATCGATGAATCAAAGAGATATCTGCATTCTTATGTTTATGAGTGCTCTATTCACAGGGTGCTGATTGGTGTGTTTACAATCCTTTAGCTAGACATAAAGGTTCTCCAAGTCACCACCCAACTCAGGAGCCCAGCTGGCTTCGCCTAGTGGATCCTGTGCCAGGGCCGCAGGCAGAGCTGCCCACCAGTCCCAAGCCATGTGTCCGCACTCCTCAGCCCTTGGGCAGTCGATGGGACCGGGACCGGGCACCGCGGAGCAGGGGGCGGTGCTCATCGGGGAGGCTCAGGCCACGCAGGAGTCCACAGCAGGGAGGAGGCTCTGGCATGGTGGGCTGCAGGTCCTGAGCTCTGCCCCATGGGGAGGCAGCTGAGGCCCAGCGTGGATTCAAGTGCAGCCCCAGTGGGCCGGCACTGCTGGGGGACCCGGCGTACCCTCCGCAGCTGCTGTCCCAGGGTGCTAAGCCCCTCACTGCCTGGGCTGTTGGCACTGGGCGGCCGCTCCAAGTCTGGGGCCCAATGAGCTCACGCCCACCTGGAACTCACGCTGGTCCACAAGCACCGCGTGTAGCCCCGGTTCCCGCCAGCACCTCTCCCTTGACACCTCCCTGCAAGCAAAGGGAGCCAGCTCCAGCCTTGGCCAGCCCAGAGAGGGGCTCCCACAGTCCAGATGCAGGCTGAAGGACTCCTCAAGTGTGGCCAGAGTGGGCACCGAGGCTGAGGAGGCGCCAAGAGTGAGCAAGGGCTGCCAGCATGCTGTCACCTCTCAATCATGTTAAGTGAAATAAGCCAGACACAAAAAGACACACATCACATGTTCTCACTTATTTTTGGAATCTCAAAACCAAATCAATTGAACTCATGGACATAGAGAGTAGAAGGATGATTACCAGAGGTTAGGAAAAGTAGTGGAGGGTTGGGTAAAAGGTAGAAAACGTTAATGGTTACAAAAAATTAGAAAGAATGAATAAGACTATTTGATGATAGCACAATAGGTAGACTATATCAATAATAACTTAATTGTATATTTAAAATAACTTAATGTAATTGGACTGTTTGTAACTCAAAAAATAAATGCTTGAGGGGATGGATATCCCATTTTCCATGATATGCTTATTTCATGTTGTATACATGTATCAAAATACGTCAAAATATCTCATGTACCCCATAAATATACACACCTACTATGTATTCATAAAAACATTAAAAAATAAAAAAATTAAAAAGAAATAAGGTAGAAACTTTGTGAGCTAATGACGCTATAGTAGTAGTATTATTAATGATACTTACTAAAATAGTTAGCTTAATAGAGGATTTGATCATATTTTTCAACAGCAACCAGGATCAGAATAGAAAAAAAACATATGTCAGTAGTAGGCAAGAAGCTGAGGGAATGTATGGCCTCTATTTTCTCTGTGAGGTAAGAGTATTGAGAATGAAGGAGTGCTGGAGTTTGGGCCTCCAGGCATCTCTAAAGAAGTGAACAGCCATTGTGCAAAATATGAAAGAGTACAGATGGAATGCATGCAAAATCCTTCCTCATCAGTAATAAGGTTTTAGTAAAAGTTTCTAACATTACCTATGTGATGACCCTTATGAGCGTTGTGTGATTTCCTCAAGACGTGCTCAGCAGGTCAGCTGTAGAAGACAAGAGAATGTATTGTACTGGTGAGTTTTCCAGGTGAGTACTAAAGAAGGAAAAGGAAGCAATTGAAAACCCTCTCTCATCATACATATCTTTTTCCTAAGGGATGTACAGTTTAAAAGAGAGAATCCAAATCACTTATTTGCAACCTGCTATGGGGTACTAATACATAATTTCTACTGAGAAGGCATCAGATAGAAGTCTTTAGAAAAGAGTAGGAGTGATCTGCCCTTTAAGGCAGATCCAGGTATCTGGTAGATGATGAAAGGCAGAGTCTCCTGGTGGTGGATGACTTGTGCCTTCAGCCCAGGTCTGGAGTTGATTTGAGGTGGAATGCAACCCCATCTAAGCCCTTAAGCAAAATAGACATGAAAGGAGAGCAAAAGAAGAGTAGTTAGCTTATTTATAGCAATTATTAAGAACACATGTACCTAGGCCAAGTGAAGATGAGAAAAATGAAGTTTCCTATAGCCACTTTGGCAGGAATAGGAGAAAGCATCATTGTATCCTTTTGGCCTATTTCAGAGGCACAGAGCTCTTTTCACCTGTATTGTCAATTGTTCTGCCAATGGGATTTCACTTTGCCTTTTAAAAACATCTCCTTTTTGTTTTCTTTCTCCTTCAGCATATAAAACACTGTTATTTTTCATCCTAACTCTTAACTTCAACTAGTACCAATATGCTTATAATTCCTAAAAATTCCAATCTTAATATCTTCAGGACTCCAGTTTTAAATTTACTCTATCTGGCTGGGCATGATGGCTCACTGCTGTAATTCCAGCACTTTGGGAGGCCAAGGCAGGTGGATCACATGGTCAGGAGTTCGAGACCAGCCTGGTCAATATGGTGAAACCCTGTCTCTACTAAAAATACAAAAATTAGCCGGGTGTGGTGGCAGGCTCCTGTAATCGCAGCTACTCTGGAGGCTGAGGCAGAAGAATCACTTGAACCCAGGAGGCAGAGGTTGCAGTGAGCCGATATTGCACCACTACACTCCAGCCTGGGCAACAGAGCGAGACTCCATCTCAAAAACAATAAAAATAAATATATTTACTCTACCGGAGTATCACATGTATTTACTCAAACCCAGAATATTTCAACTGAACATACATTCTCAAATGTGTCCCTTCTCCTGTTTTCTTATTTTGCGGTCCATAGAAATGAATCACTATCCATCTAGTCATTCAAACTTGAAGCCTGGAAGTCCTAATTTCTCCTTTCTCTCTCCCAATTTCCAATTGACACAAACTATCCATCTTTCATTTCCATTACTACTTCTACAGCCGCCTTGCCACTACAAAGGGAGGCATTCATCTTTGCCCAGGGCCTCTATTCTTTCCTCCATTCCTTCTATCCCTAAGCGCAAAACAGATTATTCTAAGTGTTTAGTAGCTCACAATCCCCAGAACAAGAAATTTGAAATTCTTTAGCATGGTCCTTCACTATTCACTCCCTGAACACTTTTCAAGATTTTCTACCAGATTATTGAACAAAACATTACTGGTTTTGCCTGAAGTGAGAACAAAACAGATGCAAAGAACAAAACAGGAAAAAATTCCTGTATTCATAGAGTTTACATTCTAATGGCAGAGCGAAGAAACGTATTAAATAATAATAATAGGCTGGGCGCAGTGGCTCATGCCTGTAATTCCAACACTTTGGGAGGCAGAGCAGGGTGGATCACCTGAGGTCAGGAGTTCCAGACCAGCCTGGCCAACATGGTGAAACCCCGTGTCTGCTAAAGATACCAAAAATTAGCCAGGCATGGTGGCACACGACTGTAATCCCAGCTACTAGGGAGGCTGAGGCGAGAGAATCACTTGAACCTAGAGGGTGGAGGCTGCAGTGAGCTGAGATCGTACCACTGCACTCTAGCCTGGGTGACAGAGCGAGACCCTGTCTCAAAAAAAAAACACATTAATAATAGCAATAATTGCTATGCAGAACAGTGTGCAAGTTTAGGTGAACTTAGTCTAAGTTACAGAAGGGAGTGCAATTTTAATAGTGTGGTCAGACATGGTATCAGCAATGATTTTTCTAAGGACTGGAAGTACATGTAAATTCTAACTCATAGTTTCCCTTATCTTCCACTATTTTTCCACAGTACCTCTTATCTTCCTCTATATGTATATTACGTATTTATTATGATTATCTCCCCCACAACTAAATGAGAAGCTTCACAAAATCTGGATATTTGTCTTAGTCATTGATTCCTAGTTCTGGGAATAATGCCCAGCCCATAGTGGTGTCTGAATAAAAATTTGAAGACTGTATGTATCTCATTAAATGGAACTTCAGCCACTGTTGAAATCTTTCCAGGCAATAACCAGATTTGCATATTGTGACATAAAAGCTTGTTATATAATCTGCTGTGAAAAAAATTAAAACATATTCTTGGCTCCGTATATCAGAGTCTCACAAGTTAACACCAATGTGGAGAGCCTAAAGCAACAGCAGCTGGAACAACATATGCATCTTTGCTCTCTGCAGTTCAGAAGAATAGAAACACTACAGAAGCAGAAATGAGAGCAACAAAGATTATACAAATATCCTGGCAACATAATTTTCTTTATTTTGTAATGAACACTTGAATCATGGCTATCATTCTAAATATCAGAGGTCTGAACATTTAATTTTGTAAAGTGATTCTAATTGGCTCGAATGTTAAAACAATTTCAAGACCAAATATCTGAGTTCCGTTTAAGTCTTCGTAAGCATATTTCTGAAATACCTTTTCCTCTTTTAATGATATTGAAGCTATTGGTTGTTAATGGCATGCTATACATATTTCATATTTAATCTTAATGAAATTTCTGCAAGTTACATATACTTATTTCTATTTTGAAAAAAAAAAAAGGAGAGAAAAGATAAATAACTTGCCTCTAATTACATAGTAAATGGTATAGTGGGACTTTGAAGCTGCATCTGCCAGCATTCAAACCTCATGCTTTTAGTCATTATTTTATATATTTACTTTCAAATTGCAAATGGAAGAGTAGCATATGAAAATTATTTATTATATAGGATTGCTTCCTACTTAGTTTTTTTTTAAATATAGAAAGTAATGTGATTGTGTTTATGAGAAAAATTGGCTTCTTTAAATTCTATAATTTTCCAAAAATTAAGAGCAACTTAACTTTTTATAACAAATTGGAAGAAACTGAATTTAAATGTTAAAAAATTCTAGATTTTTAAATTTATTTTATTTTATTTTTTTTTGAGATGAAGTTTCAGTCTTGTTGCCCAGGCTAGAGTGCAATGGTACATTCTCTGCTCACTGCAACCTCCTCCTCTTGGGTTCAACCGATTCTCCTGCCTCAGCCTCCCAAGTAGGTGGGATTACAGGCACCCGCCACCATGCCCGGATAATTTTTTTGTATTTTTTTTTTTTTTTTTTTTTAGTAGAGATGGGGTTTCACCATGTTGGCCAGGCTGGTCTTGAACTCCTGACCTCAGGTGATCTTCCCACTTCGGACTCCCAAAGTGTGGAAATTACAGGCATGAGCCACCACGCCTGGCTTTTATTTCTTTTTACTTTGTTTTATTTTATAATTAAAGAATGCATGCTAATTATAAAATTTTAATGGTAAATTTTAAAATGCAAAAATAAAATTATCAAATATAACAACATCTAGAGACAACTACTGTCACTATTTGGTGGGAAATGCCTACAGTATCTTTCTCTGCCTGTGCAGAAATATATCCACATAGACACCATTGTAAATATAGCTGTATATCTGAACTTTTAAAATGAAAGTTGTATTTGTTTAATTTCTCTTTCTTTTGTCACATTCATACATATCAAATGGTTAACAGGGAAAAATTTAGAAATTCTATTCTTGAAATGATTCTTCCCTGAAGGTTTTATTTTCCCCTCGATGAGTGCCACAGTCACTTTTCCAAACTTGTTTCCTTTCATATGAGGAAAAGCTCATAAATAGGCTGGTCAGAGAAGGCAAAAATCCTCAGCTGTGACTTCTATTGAATGTACCAAATGCTCCTGAATGTATCAATGATGGGATCCAACTTGGCATTGGTGAAGCTGGCTCATGTCCAGGATAATGTGTTGCACACTTGCTAACAGAGTGGTCAATAGCAGGGGTTAAAATAAAAAAAATCATGTGGTTGACTGAGAAAAAATTGAGCTTTTATTAATTGCATTCATCCACACATAGGGAGTGTAATAATTTGGCTTTCTGCTATTTACAGGCAATTATATATTGACTGATTGATCCTATCAAGGCTTCTTAATGGAGAATTCAGACTGTCCTTTCTAGTTAATGTTTATTTCTATGTTTTTACCTAATTTAGAAGAACAATTTTAATAAATAAATCTGCATGAGCATGTCACATGTTTTTACCTTGTAAACTTTTGGATCAAGTTCTCTCTAAGACTTATCTCGGTTATATGATCATGCTACAAATAGAGAGAAAAATATGTTTGTCCACTGTGAAGACTGATATGCTCATAAGTGTTTAACTCTTGATTCTTTGAGGGAAAATAAGCCCGGCTTGTAGCATTTGCCAATTTTCTTGTTGTAAATGCTACCACCATGGTACATTTCATGCTATAAAGTGATGTCACTTAAGACAAAAATGGAAAGAAATGCACAGCAATATAGTTATAAAGTATGTTATAAAGTATATTAGATATACAATATAGTTATAAATTATGTTATAAAGTATATTAGATATACAATATAGTTATAAATTATGTTATAAAGTATATTAGACCATTCACAACCTGAGGATCAGAGATGGTATAATGTAATATGATGATTTGGAAGTAATGAATTTTGAATGTTTATTATATTTGTTTGTAGTAGAATTCATTTAATTTTAAGTTTATACAATTTAATTGTTCAATAATGTCTCTCATCTTTCCTGAAAATTGAGCAATTCGATTGCGTGAGCTGGTAGGGACCAGCTTCACTGCTCCACTGTATTATATTTGTTTGTAACTTCACCCAAGATCTTGGTTTTATAGCAAATCAATTCAAATCTACTTACTGGATTACTATGATATGCTAAGTGCTGTGTGGAATACTGCAACCATTAGGCTGAGTGTAAATTCAGGAAAATCAGGAGACACAGAAGAGTAACTCAATTGTTCTCTGTAACCCACTGTGTATTGCTAAAAGGACTACAGAGTTGTTTAAAATTTTTCTCTTAACATTATTGCTCTATTTTCTCAGTGATTTATTTCCCAAATCCTGGTTTTGAAATAATAAAAACTTGTCTAAACTCAACCTTGTCTCTAGAACAAAATTAGTAAATACTTTTGTTTCTGTACTGATTTATTATTCGAGAAATCACACATTTTACTGATGTTTATAATGTGATATTTCTGTTTAACTTATATTTTATAATCCCATCCTTACCATACTTTTAAATAAAAATAAATAAAGGTAATAGTTTGTATTGAGGCCAGTCCTAGGACCAAAAGCATTAATATCAAAATCATTATTAGCAATTAATGAGTAATTAAATTAACAACATGAAATCATCATCGAAAAGAAATGATGTTCAGTACACCACATTTATTAAAGTAGCAAAGTGGATAAAACACTTGTAAAAATATTCATCAGAAAGCATTGTAACTAAAATATATTAATTACTAAATTGGCAGCCATTATGAATCTCAATATATTTGGTAACTATTTCATACAAATTATGTGATACATTATAAATATGTGAAAAGAAAAAAATACAGCTTTATGATCTGCTTGACTCTCTTTCCCACAGAGTTGCTTCTTTAATAAGTAAAGCAGTAAGCAACTGCTAGGTGTCAGACTCTGGGCTGACTTCCGTGAATCAAAAATATCCTTTTTCAAGGGATGGGACTTGATCCCCACTTTTAGGGGATCCCAACTTGCAGGCCACATGATCCCCACTTGTAGGTTCAACTCAAGGCATACTTTGAAGCCAATTCTGCTCCACCAAGGAAAACAAAGATTTCGAGACCAGCAGATAGTCAGAGATTTAGCATGATTCTCTTGTGTTCTCATGTCCAGTTGCAGAACTGGGACTTCTGAATTTCTACTCTGCTCCAATTCCTGCCGTGTATCCCTCTTCTGGTGGTCTCTGTCTTCTCCCTTAAGTCTGAATCTTGTCATGATTTTCTCTTTGGTAACTTTATGACTTCAGGTCTGATTTTCTCTCTAACAAGTCCTTACTGCTCTTGGTGGTCTGATTATCAGAACTTTTTTCTATCCATTCATTTAATATTTATTTAGTATCTTCAGTACCAAGGATTCTTCTAAACACTAATTACACATTAGTGAGTAAAATAAACCATAATATTTGCCTTCCTCAGGTCAGGCTTTTTCCCTTTGCAACCAAGATTGCTTAACAATAAGTATTATTGTAGGTTAAGTAGAAATTATAATAGTACTTGGATGCACATATATGTAATAACTAGGAAATCTTTGTACTGCTTGTTCATGTTCAATTATATATTGATTCATAGTGATTTTAAAGAGATTGGGTTCACACATAGAAGAATGCCACTAGGTTGATAGACACTAATTTCATATTTATTAAACTTAAATTCAGACTTTCATTGTATTCAGCACTAATGTGTTAATAGAATCATTAGTTTGGTAGTCATTTTGACAACAGGACCAGCAGTAGCATACAGTTTGGAATTTTTGCCACTGATTGTATTTGATCACATGAAGACAAATAATTCTTTAGAGAAAATTTTAAGAACCTCTACTAACCTCATATAAAATAAATGATGTCTAATTTTCTTCAGTGGACTGTAACATATGCTCTAGGTCATTGATTAGCAACTAGGCTAAACCCATGTGTCAAATCTGATACCTGGCATACTTTGGTATGGCCCTTACACTAAAAATTGTTTTCATATTTTTACAAATTTTTAACAAAATTCAAAGAAGAATATATGATTGAGACCACACATAGCATGCAAAACCGAGATATTTACTCTCTAACCCTTTAAAAAAAAGATTTGCTGACTTCTAACAGAAACTTTGAAAAATACTTACTCAACAATTCAGATATCTTATACAATTGACCCTTAAACAATGTTGGGGGTTAGGGGAGCTGGGCACCATGCAGTTGAAAATCCATGTATAACTTTTGATCACCCAAACACTTAACTACTAATTGCCTGCAGTTGGCCAGAAGTGTTACTGATAACATAAATTTGATTAACATATATTTTTTGTGTTATATGTATTATATACTGTGTTCTTACAATAAAGAAAGCTAGAGAAAAGAACATGTTATTAAGAAAATCATAAGGTAGAAAAATATATTTATTATTTATTAAGTGGAAGTGAATCATCACAAAGGTCTTCATCTTTATCATCTTCACATTGAGTAGGCCGAGGAGAAGGAGAAAGAGAAATGATTGGCCTTGCTCTCAGGGGTGGCAGAAGTGAAATAAAATTCACGTATAAGTGGACCCATGCTATTCAAATCCGTGGTGTTCAGGGTCAGTTGTATTAGTGTGTGTCTAGATGTTAACAAATGCAGATTTATTAAAAATAGAAAAATGGGACAGGCATGGTGGCTCACTGACTAATTAATCCCCAAATTTTGGGAGGCTGAAGTGGGCACATCACTTGAGGCCAGGAGTTTGAGACCAGCCTGGCCAACACGGCAAAACCCCATCTCTACTAAAAATACACAAATTAGGCAAGTGTGGTGGTGCACACCTGTAATCCCAGCTACTTGGGAGGCTGAGGCATGAGAATTGCTTAAACCCTGGAGGGGGAGGTTGTAGTGAGTGGAGATCACACCACTGCACTCTAGCCTGAGTGAAAGAGCGAGAGAGTGAGAGAAAGAAGGAAGGGAGGGAGGAATGGAGAGAGGGAGGAAAGAAGGAAGGAAGGAAAGAAAGAAGGAAGGGAGGGAGGGAGGGAAGGAGGGAGGGAGGGAGGAAGGAAGGAAGGAGAAAGAAAAAAAAGAAAAAGAAAGAAAGAAAGAAAGAATAGTTTCCTTGTCTTCCTTACTAACGTTTGCTTATATATTAAAATTCTTACTCTGACATTGGTACATTTCTGTAGGTAGCCAAACAACAGACTTATGAACACAAAGAACATAATATATCTTCTAAGTTTTTGAGGAATTATTTTAATTGTTGTTTTTTTTTCTCAGAAAATTGTAGCATGATAACTCAATCCAAAGAGAGGTTATTAATTAAACCATGTTATTTCTTTTATCTTTGTTGCTATAATATTAATAGTTTAAGTGTTTTAATGAATATTTCATTTATTTCTATGGCTCACAGAATGTGCCTAAGAGCCTAGAGACTCATTAATAATGGAAGGGACTCCTTTGGTTTTGTTGAGCTTCCTACAGCAACCTGGCAAATGTGTAATACAACATATGGGTTTCACCACAAGCATTTAAATTCAAACTACTCTATTTTCTGACACAGCCAAAAGTAGTAAAGAATTACAAAATTCTAGAGACCTTGATGGAAAACACACTGTCTTGAGATTACTAAAACACACATCTTCACATTTATTACAAACATGCATAACCACTATCAATTGCTGTTCAACATGGTTTGCCGTAAAGGAAGCCATATGTAGTAAATCTTAGAGTTGTTCTTTACTAAAATCGAAAAAAATCTATGTAATATCTCTGGTCCCCAGTCTTGGAGCCAAATGCCAATATGCATGTTTCCTTCATTAGTAAAAATGTAGCCTATCAGTAACTTTGCAGTCTAGGGTTGTTGTGAAAATCATATGCAGTAACGTCCTGATTTTAACAATTATACTATAGTTATTAAATATAAGAAAATGTGTGCATGAGATTGTCTGTAAGATAATTATATTGTTTTTATGAAAGAATACTGGAGTATTTAGAGGTGAAGGGGTGTCATGTCTGTTTCTTACTCTGAAACATTTCTGAAAAAAGTATAAATATACACACATCCACATGCATATATATGTGTGTAGATGTATGCATGTGTATGTACATTTGCTGTTTTGAACCCTATATGCCATAATTGTGCTATTGCCAAGACCCATATATACACACATTGACCAAGATGGCCTTTCAGTTCCCTTCAGCTTTGCCAAACTTTAAACAGATTTCTTCCTGACCATAGGTGCCTAAATTCACTTTTCTTAGGGCACTTCCTTCAGAAAACTTAAAATTGTAAATTGTTTCTGCCCATTATGTAAATCATCTAGTTTCTTGCTAGTTTTACAGTTTTACAACTCAAGAATGTCTTTCTCAAGAACCTGGAAATGATCCCTTTGAAATGTAATTCATTAAGAAAGATAACACTCTTAACTCTCAGTTTCCTTGCGGGGGTAGGATCCCAACTTAGATAAACAAGCATTAGCAAACACAGATGGTCTAAATACTTTGACCAACCTCCCCCATAATGTGCTTCAGTACTTTCCCACTAGCTCACCTAAGCATTTAAAAATTCTCCAACCTTTTGTTTCTGTAAAGTTGAATTCAATCTCTCTTTCCTATTGCAGTATTCTTGAACAAAGTCTTATTTGTTTTTTGAATTTATTAATGTAATTTTTCTTTAATAATACATACCTACTCACATGAACACACAGAGAGAATGAAAATAATGATTAATCAAATATAGGAACATATTAACTATTTGGAAACTTGAGCAAAGGGTAATCAGGAATTAGTACTGTATTTCAACTTTTCTGTACTTTTGGAATTACTTTAAAAAAGCCAAATAATTATGCAAAAAAAAAGTACAGGAAATATTCTTTTTTTTCTTTTTTGAGATGCATTCTTACTCTGTCACCCAGGCTAGAGCGCAGTGGCATGATCTCAGCTCACTGCAAGCTGTGCCTCCCGAGTTCACGCCATTCTCCTGCCTCAGCCCCCCCAAGTAGCTGGGACTACAGGCGCCCGCCACCACGCCTGGCTAATTTTTTGTATTTTTTAGTAGAGATGGGGTTTCACCGTGTTAGCCAGGATGGTCTCGATCTCCTGACCTCGTGATCCACTCGCCTTGGCCTCCCAAAGTGCTGGGATTACAGCCGTGAGCCACCGTGCCTGGCCAAAATATTCTATAATATCTAACAATCTATCTGAATGAAAATTAAAATATTCAGTTTCCAAAGCCAATAGCCACATCAAGCTGAAATATACCTGTCAACACCATAAATACTAAGGAAAGCAGTAAGAAATAATTATGATATGTCATTACACATAAATAATTATTTTCAAGAGGCTGGAGGCAAATTTTGTTCTTCTGTACAAATGTAAAATTGCTTTCATCTTGAAGGCCAATTAGCAATGTAAACTATATAAACTACTTTACATGAAATTCAACGGCAGAGATCAAAGCACTATGGAGACCTAGAGTGAGAGTTACTCTCAGCAGTTATGTGGTCCAATCTCACACTCAAACAGAAATTTGTTCTGTGTTATCCCTAGGAGGTGACCATCTCATTCCTGCACGATTACTTCTAGTAGCGAAGATTTTGCCCATTTTAATTTTGGATTTCTCTATATTGAAAAAAAAAATCCTGTGTTGTCATAAATTTTACTCAATAGTATTTGTTCCATCATCTAAAGTAAGATAAAATTAGTCAATATGTGTCTTTTAAAGACTTAAAACATCTTCCATTCATCTTCTCAAGTAAAATACTTCAAAGAGCCCCTCTTTAACCACTAAAGCCTGATACAATAAAACGTTTAAATTAACAGAACATCTGAGACATGGTCAGAAAAACACCTGTGGCCAAATTGTGGTATTCACATCCAGCTTCTAGGAACAAACGTGGGAATGGTGCTACTTGCAAAGTTAGATGTTCAGCATGGGTCATGGTGATGGGCAAGCTATGGTATTTGTCATTCAAAATAGTGGCTATGGTGTCTCCATGGAGCTCATCCTCTGGAACCATTCTGTGGTTCTCATTTCCACCTAGTCTTTTTTATTCCTACCCATTATATAAGTTTCATTTCCCAACCTCTTCTGCAAATCTTTCAGTGTATTCATTTGCTGCTTGTATCAACCAGAGATAGCTTTTTTGTTTAGCTTTATAAACTCTGACTGCCACTGATATTTCTTTTCAAATAATCACTTGATTATAAAACATCTATTTTATGAAAGCTATGAGCTGTGTCAAATGCTATAAATATCAATAAGACATGTACTTGGCCATACTGTTATATGGCCTTAAAATCAATCATAGAGTTATCATTCTAGGATTTATTGAAATGGTTTGTTTCTAGTTTCATCTTGTATCTTGGAAAATTACATTTTGAGATGTCTTAGCTTATATTCTGTGCACCACAGAAATGAGAGCTCAAACTAGAACATCGTACTCTTGTTCTGGGGTTAGTGTGATGGAGATAGAAGTGTTAGCAGTCCTAATATGAGTGCCTATGGTTGATGAGCAGCAAGGAGGAAACTAGGCCTAGTAACTACTGGGGTTTAAACTAACAACCTAATCACAGAAAAGAAGTAGTATGAGATTGTATTATCAATCAGAGATCAGAACTGGATACGCAGAAATGATACGCAGTGTAATACGTTTCTGAAATAATTTTTGTAATTCCTGGCCACTTGATTTCCTAATCAAAGTTTGCAGTCGAATTTCTCATTTGTGTGAGATGACTCATATCTTCAGCCTCAATTTTTTTTCTTCTTAGCACCTTTTTAAAATTTCAGTAACTTTAGGGATACAAGTGGTGTTTGGTTACATGGATGAATTGTATAGTGATGAAGACTAGCATTTCAGTGCACCCATCAACTTAGTAGTGTACATTTTACCCAATAGGTAGTTTTTCATCTTTCACCCCTCTTCACTAGCCTCTCCCTTTCTGAATCTCCAGTGTCCATTATATGACACTGCATGTCTTTGAATACCCATAGCTTAGCTCCCATTTATAAGTGAGAACGTGCAGTATATGGTTTTTCATTCCTGAATTACTTTACTTATAATAATGGCCTCCAGTTCCAACCAAGTGGCTGCAAAAGACATTATTCCATTCCTTATTGAGGCTGATTAGTATTCCATTGTATACACACACACACTCTCACACACACACCACGTTTTCTGAGTTCCATATCTTTGCAATTATGAATGGAGCTGCAATAAACATACATGTACAGGTGTCTTTTTGATACAGTGACTTATTTTCCTTTAGGTAGTATCCAGTGGCGGGATTGATAGGTTAAATCAGCCTCCACTTTAGAATGCTGCTGCTACATTTAAATATCCCAGACCTACTGGGAGAATTCTGATGTTAATGAATGGCAGCTACATTACACCAAGAGTGGTTTTACAGTAGAAATAAATTGAGTGCTCATGAAGTAAGCTTAATCCTACCTCAAAGAGAATTTCCTAACTCTAGTATGTTGAAATGAGCCCACTAGAGCTGAGTTTATTTGGATTTTCCTTGATTTTCTGAAATTTTATCATATTCTTATTTGCTTCTAGATCAAGAAGAAGATAGGGTTGTTGTTTCTTTTAAACGTCTTTTATGTTTGTAACATGCAAAACAAACCTAACCAGGTGGGTTGGAACTAGTTAAAGAAGTGCAAATAGTAGCAATGATAAACTAGCAATACAAATATTGGATGTTATATTTATCCTTTCATGTTTTAAATCAACTACAACCTAATAGTGTGTCCAGAATTTATTCCTTCCGGTGGGTTCTTGGTCTTGCTGACTTCAAGAATGAAACTGCAGACCCTCGTGGTGAGTGCTACAGCTCTTAAAGATAGTGTGTCTGGAGTTTGTTCCTTCAGATGTTCAGATGTGTCCAGAGTTTCTTCCTTCTGGTGGGTTCGTGGTCTTGCTGACTTCAGGAGTGAAGCTGCAGACCTTCGCAGTGAGTGTTACGGCTCTTAAAGGTGGTGCATCCGGAGTTGTTTGTTCCTCCCAGTGGGTTCGTGGTCTCACTGACTTCAGGAGTGAAGCTGCAGACCTTCACAGTGAGTGTTACACCTCTTAAAGGTGGCAGGTCCGGAGTTGTTTGTTCCTCCTGGTGGGCTCCTGGTCTCGCTGACTTCAGGAATGAAGCTGCAGACCCTCCCCGTGAGTGTTACAGCTCATAAAGGCAGTGTGGACCCAAAGAGTGAGCAGCAGCAAGATTTATTGTGAAGAGCAAAAGAACAAAGCTTTCACAGTGTGGAAGGGGACCCCAGCGGGTTGCCACTGCTGGCTGGGGTGGCAGCTTTTATTCTCTTATTTGGCCCCACCCACATCCTGCTGATTGGTCCATTTTATAGAGCACTGATTAGTCCATTTTACAGAGTGCTGATTGGTGCATTTACAATCCTTTAGCTAGACACAGAGTGCTGATTCATGTGTTTTTACAGAGTGCTGATTAGTGCATTTACAATACTTTAGCTAGACACAGAGCACTGATTGGTGCGTTTTTACAGAATGTTGATTGGTGCATTTACAATCCTTTAGCTAGACACACAGTGTTGATTGCTGCATTTTTACAGAGTGCTGATTGGTGCATTTACAATCCTTTAGCTAGACACAGAGCACTGATTGGTGCATTTTTACAGAGTGCTGACTGGTGCACTTACAATCTTTTAGCTAGACACAGAGTGCTGATTGGTGCATTTACAATCCTCTAGCTAGACAGAAAAGTTCTCCAAGTCCCCACTCGACCCAGGAAGTCCAGCTGGCTTCACCTCTCAATAGGTTGAATTTGGCTTATTAATCACTTTTAATTTTACATCCTCTAGATAGCCTAGTATGTGGAAAGCAAGCAGGCTTTGAAAACAGTCTGAACTATCTCAGCTACTTTCTGAAACTTACAGAAAGTAAATGGAGCTCTCTGAAATTCCAGTTCTCATCTGTTTATTGAAATTATGCCACTTCTTACTGGATTTGAAGATAATAGATGACATATAAAAGAATCAAACATAACACAGAAACTGGAACAGAGCGGGTAGATAGGAAATAACATTATTTCCCCTTTCTATCACCATTTCCTTGCCTTTCCTACCTTGTTTTTGACAATTTCTACATTTCAGTCCCTGCTTGCTCTTTTCAAGGGAACTTCCTAGCTGTGACTCACAATTGTTAGAGAGTTGTTTGAAAAATTTCATGATAATTTGTATAGTTTTTTTTCTGTGAAATAACATTACTAAAAAAGTACATGAATATATGTAAGTAAGCCCCTGCAACTAAAAACTAATACATCCAAGATTTTCTTATGATCACATTTCTGACATTTACATTAATATTATTTAGCTTTTTAAAAATTTATTCTGTTTCCTGTTAGGAAACAGTAGTAGATATCAAAAGTTGAAAAGGAAAACTTTTCCTTTTATTGAGCAGGGAAACTTAAAACTGAGAAATTTCATTAACATTTGTTTTCATTTTTTCTGTATTGGTGAATTGGGAAAACTTGATATTATTTGACTTTTGTGTAAGTATACTACTCAGTATTCCATGTTTGCAGAAACTAAGATAAAATGATGTGATTCTGTAACACCTTGATTTGTCACAGTTCTGCACGGAAATATTTTCCAGTTTCTGAACCACATCTATAGACTCTAGACTCTACTTCTCAAATTCCATTCTATTTAATGCATAATATATTTGCTAAATATTAAGATCATTGTCTGTCATGCTATTTTTTTCTCAGTGACATTTACCTTTTAATTCCTAAGTAGAAAAACCCTGAAAATATATAGCTTGAGCTGATATCATTAGCGTAATCCCAAAGGCAATACTTTACTTTCAGATAGGTCTGTAGTCTATGTTTTTTTATTATTTTATTGCTAAGCAGGCCTTCATCTCAAGGAGATGATATCAACTTACCCTTTTTTGTGATACTCAAAGCATCTCAATGCTACTTCAAAGGGGTCTCTTGAATGCCACTATTTGTTTTCCATTCATAATGCTACTGCCTAGTTCAAGCTTTATTAACTTTCATATTAACTATTACAATTTCTTCCTATATCGTCTATTTTCCTCATCTCTAAATTCCTACTTCTTTCTTCAGTGAGTAGAGAAAATAGATAAATAGTCAAAGATTTGTTCATGTCAGGCCTTATATAATTTCCCACACATTCGTGTTTAAGCAATGGTGCACGGTAAAGAGGCTGTTTATTGATATAATAAACCAAAGCCAAGAATCACAAGTTACAGTTACAGCTGCTTCGGTAGAAAATAAGAGATGTTAAGAAAAAAACATTAGAAGATTTAGAGATTGATTAAATCGAGATATGGGAAAAGATTAAAGGGTGGGGAAGGAATTTGAAGCCTCTCTAGCTTCTTGTTTGGCTGGTTGAATAAATAGTGATGCTGCTCTTTAAAATATGAGATTCAAGAGAATAACCAAATTTGGACTCAAAATAGCTTATTCATTTTGAAACAAGTTGAATATTATTAGTTTTCTATGGGAAGATATGCTAAAGCATCTAAAAAATTTAACATTTGGATCTGGAGCTCAGGGATTCGTTTTATGGTACGGATGTGTTTTTCAGAATTATTAATTAAAAGTGGTAGTTAAAAACATGTAAAAAATCTGAGTGCTCACCAAGAGCACATTGAGTTAACAGAGAAGAGAACAAAGGGCACCATGGGAAACATCAGCAACTGTGATTAGGACAGAGACTAAGGAACTAACAAAATCCAGAATGAGAAGAAAGAGTTAAGAGTACCAATGAGAAGAACAAAGAGAGGGTGATGTCTCGGAAGGCAAGAGCAAAAGATGTTCACGAAGGAAGCGGTCAACAATGAAAGAAAATAAGATAAGGAATAAAAACATTCATTGAAAATGGCAATAGAAAGGTCATTAGAAATATTCAGAACAATTTCACTGGGGTTGTGGGTGTGGTATCTGGTAGGTTAAAGAGTAAATAGAAAGTAAAGAAATAGTTGGGGTTTTTAAAATATTATTTTATTTTTGGGGATCCTTTTCATGAATTAAAGTGACAGTAAGATATAAAAGAGAGAATTATTGCTGTTCCTTTTGTTTTAAATGGACATGTGGGATGATAATTATGACATGAACTAAGAGCCAGTTGTAACCTAAAAATTAAAAATATGCAGAAAATAGAAAATGATTAATTAAATATTATCTTAGACAAGGTAGCAAGGAAACTTGATCCAAATATCAACTAGAAAGTTGGACTTTGAAAAAGAAAAGTCTCTTCTAAGAATGGAAGAAAGAAAGTCAATGTATATATAACATACATATTTGTAAGTTTGGGAATGGACAGTTGAAACTGTCCTACAAGATTATCTATGTTTTCCCTCTGAATTAGGGAAAAATCTACTACTAAGAAAGATGAGAGTGGATTGAAAGAGTAGATTAATCTTAAATTAGATTAAAAAAAAAGAAAGGTTTAATGCAGGATTTCTCATGACTTCATGGACACTTGGAGATCGTTCACAATTTTTACTCATCTTGTGCCCCTGTGTACATCATACTCTTGTTTTCTTATCCAAAAATTAGCTTGCATGGAGGCCTTGTCTAAAACCCCCAAGGAAGTTGCTTTATTTTTTTTGTACTTCCTCAATCCCTTGTTATATCACTAAGCTGTTTAATTGCAATGTTTTGCTTCTTTTGTTTATAAAAGTAGTCATTATTTGTTGAGGATCTATGAAATGTCAGGAATTATTTTAAGTGCATACATCTGAAAACATATAATAAAGTGCCTACTGAAGTCATTATTTTACAAACATGAAAACTCAGCAAAACAAGTTAAGTAACATGGCTATCATGAGTGATTAAACAAATAAATCTCCAGTAGCCATGACTTCAGTTATTTTGATATTCCGTTCTCCTCCGTTCATGAGCTGTAAATTATTTAATAGTAGTGGTGGAATAATATTCCTTTTATATGTTCCATGCCTCCATCAGTAGCTGGTTTACTGCTGGTGCTCAGTAATGTTAGTTGAAAGAAAAATGAATAGATATCAATTATTGCTTACCTTTGTTTCTTTTCTCTCAAGTACACAAGCGATTTTTTTTAAAACTATATTTTTAATTATGGAAAAGCAGCCTTTTTCTTCCAATAGTAGTTGATTATTTTAAATAAAAATCAAAAATATAAATATTAATAAATCATATCCTTAATCTTCTTTATCTACAAAGTACTTTTTATTGATACATAATATTTGTACATTTCTATGGGGTACATGTGATATTTTGTTACATGCATAAAATAGGTAATAAGTCAGAGTTTTCAGGGTATTACCTTGAGTATTTACTATTTTTGTTTGTTGGAAACATTTCATCCTTTTTTCTAACTATGGTTTGTCATGTTTACTCCTTTAACTTACATTGCCATTTCCATCTTAGGCAATATTAATATTTCCTTAAGTATTATCAATTCCATCACATTTCTACTAGAAAAGTGAGAACTGCTAGACTACTTCCAGCTCCCCTTTTGCTTATTGATTTTTGTATGCTTAAAATATGACCAATATGGACACCTACTATGTACCCACAAATTTAAAAAAGAAAATAATGCTACTAATTTTTAAGGCCAATTGACTATGATTGTTTCATTTATGTTATATACTAATAGTTAGGTATATTTTATATATATGTCCATATCTACATCTGTTTTGCATAACAACTCTTATCAAACATTCCCTATCCAGTGACACATAAGCATTTTATAGACCACTTAACATATTATAGTACTATGTACTTTTCTTTTAAAAATGAAATATGCTTAGACCTACAAACTCTTCAAACTTATCAAATATCAAATATTGCTTAAGAAATTACCAAAAAGAGTGACATACATTTTGAAAAAATAGTTACTAAAATTAGGTAATCTCAAAAGCCTAAATGAAGGAATTTTACATAAAATATTCTGTACTAATATGTCTGATGGGTGTTAAACTGAACTAGCTTTTAAAAGTGTCTGAAACAAAAGAATTAAGTGAGGTGAGGAATAAAAAATTAGACAATTACATTGTATTTAGATATGCAATTAAGAGTTGACACCTAAAAGCATAAGGGAAAAGTCAGTTGTTAACACATGAGAAGTAAAAATGGGAAGAAATGGACAAAGTCACCAGATGCACAGGTATAGATGGCAATGGTAGACAGGCCATGGGGAATAGAAAGGTCAATAAGAAACATTTGGTCAATGGCAACCCTAGCTTCATGGCTATTAATTAGACCTTCTGACATTTAATAAATGAGTTAGATATAATTTACTTCATTTAGCAAATTATATACAAATTATAACTATTAAAAAACTAGATTTGGCTTTGATAAATTAATTTAATGAATTTTCATGTCAACATTAAAAAAATTCTGGTAGGGAAGTAAAAACTATCCTCCACAGCAAATTAATTATAAATATCTTTAAATAATATTAAAATAATGGTCAAAAAATTGTTTTCACATATTATCTACCTGTTAAGGACGATAATTAAGTATTATTAAAATAATATAAATTAGAAGTGAATATATAAAAATATTTAAATCAATTTTGGCATAACGTAAAGAAAAATACTTCCTCTTGTTATCAAGGTTTTACCCTCTGACTTCCTCTTGTTATCAAGGTTTGACTCTCTGTTCATACACAAGATTTTGAATTTGTTCATAGCACCTGTAAATACATATGAAAAGACATTCTGCTTCCTTTTTAATTAAGACTTAAATCCAAATCCAAAAACATATTCCAACTTTTTTGAGGTTGGACCATAAAATGCATACAATAAAATATACTTCAAACATACTTACCTATAAAGTTTTCTAAACTATTGTGTTTTATCTTTTTAATGGTAATTGTTAACTGCCATCTCCCCCGGTTTTCAAGCTTAAAATATTTCAGATAGTTTGAGGTATGCATGCTTATCTAAATGGTATTTTTTAAAAACAAGAGTCTCTATACCCTTGGTGTTTTGCAGTTTTCTAAGTCTTCATTTTAAGTGACCAGAAAATAGTGTTAACTTATTTTTAAAAATTGACAACATTTTAAAGGCACTGTACCTGTAAGCCAAGATACATTAGAGCTTTTTATGAGCAAAATATATTAAGACATAGAGTAAAATTTACCTAAGGGGAAAATATAAAGGTTCTGATATCATTTATGTTTTTAGTGTCTAGTGCTGACATACTTACATCTATGGTTGCCCGACATTGCCTCTGGTTGACAATTACCATGTCTGCTTTTGAGAGTATAAAAAATCAAATTAGAAACAGAATGAACTTCTTATCCCAAAACATCCTAGTAATAGTTGAAGTGCTATGATAGATTTTGCTACTTTAAGTAATAGTTGCAATTTCAACTCAAGTACATACGATAAGTTTTAAAGGAGTTGGATTATGTTTTCTTTTCTATATAAAAAGTACAGCTACCATGTTGTCCTCATTTTATACAATGCGAATAATTGCCCTTTAGTATTATTCAATAAAGTGGCTGTTCCATATTTTGATGATTTTTCCATGCCAATAATATTTCCACACTTTCCTATAATTGCATCTCATAGATAATTTTATTAACCCTTGCCCTTTTGATAGATTATTTTTACAATCATACAATGCCACCAATTATATTTTCTGTTTACATGTTTTCCACATTGAAATTTCAATGGTACTGAAATTTCTAGGGGAATTTTAGAGGACAATGGTATAGATATTTTTAACAATCATAATAGATATTGTGGTTTTGCTCTCCAAAAATCTAAACAAATTTACACTTCCACTAAAAGTTAATAAGAGTGCATATTTTTTCACTCTCTTGCAGAGTATATTCATAATTTACCAATACCTATGAGATATATAAAAGTACCTTGTTATTGTTTCAAACTACATGTCTTTATTATCTGGACAGAACATTTTATACATGTATTGGACTTTACTTTGCCTTTTTCTGATAACATACCATTTGTCCATGATTTCTATTCACTTATTTGCCTTAAAAGACATTTTTCAGAAGCTAGTTTTGTTGCTTTTTTTTTTTTTTTTAAGACAGGTTCTTGGTCACTTGTCCAGACTGGAGTGTAGTGACACAATCTCCACTCATTGCAACCTCCGCCTCCCGGGCTCAAGCAATTCTCCTGCCTCAGCCTCCTGAGTAGCTGGGACTACAGGTGCTCACCTAATTATTTTTTTATTTTTAGTTGAGACAGATTTTCTCCAGGTTCCCCAGGCAGGCTGGTCTCCAACTCCCGGGCTCAAGTGATTCACTGTCTTCGGCCTCCCAAAGTGCTGGAATTACAGGCATGAGCCAGCACACCTGGCCATTTTGTTTCTATTCTTACTGGTGAATTTCAAAGGATGGGAAATAAATAATAATACCTTCACATTGCCTTTTTTAAATAGAACTTTCAATAATTATCTTTGCATCTGATTGTTTTTGCTTTCTAAATATTAAAGATATGGTATTTTCTTAGATTACCTAAATTATAAAGACCTTCTTGTTTCACCTTGGTGAAACGTAGCTTTTAGAAGAGCTGGAATATAATTTTAGAATAGAGTAATATAATTTTTAATAGCAGTTGTTTCATCATTTAATACGCTCTCTTTTTAAAATTCTACTTTGATATAAAGAGTCCTTCTTCTTTTCTTCTTTCGTTAGTGTTTGCCTGATTTATCTTTTTCTGTATCTTTGTTTGCAACCATATGTGCAGACATATGAATTGAAGTTTATTCCTTTTAAAGAGCCCATATTTAGGTTTCTTTTGTTTTATTGTAGTGAAATTAGTTGTTTTAAATTTGATATAATTCTTGTTCTTTTAAGAAAGAAATTTAATCCATTCATATTAGTTTAATAATTTATACATTAGAATTATTCATGACATTTTCTGTTTAACATTACTATGCCCTTCTATGAATTGAGATTTATTTATATTTAATTGAATTTCTTCTGAATAAAGATAAACTCCCTTTAAAATTTAAAAAAGCACATGAGAAATTAAAAACAATTAGTCATGAAATATCTGCATCGAAATTTTTAGTGATTAATCTTATAAATATTAATAACTTTCTCATACCTTGATGATTTAACACATTCTGAGTCTCACATTCCCCAGATAGAATTTAGGATAATTATTCTCCAGATTATTTTAAGGTGTAAGCATGTGATTAAAGGTCTGTCATCAGATAAACTATCAGGAGGTTATATTTTAGAGAAAAACTATGTGAGAAAATATGCTTTGTAGAAGCTTATGTTTTGCTGTTGCTCATAGTGACAGGTATCTATCCTACTTTCAGTGTAGCAGAAATAGTTGCTTGTTGTGTTCCATGCATTTATTATATAGGTAATATGGTAGTATTAGTGGTGTTCTCATCAAGCCAGTTTAAAGCATGTATCTAGGTATAGTTCAAGAAGCATATTTGGAAGTCTATTTCTCCTAGCTCTCTCAACAATCCTTTGAGTTAACTAACATCACTTAATAAAACATTTTTTCTGTAAATTGTACAGAATGGTAGTAACTTCAATGCAAGTAGCAACTCCAACCTATACAGTACATTTTATTTTTAATTTTTATAAAGAAAGAGAACTACAACATGACTCAGTGCTAACATCAGAGTATTTTATCCCATTGATTCAACAGAATAACTGTTCAGAAACTATGTAACAGTACTAGTCTTATACAAGAAGCTGTTCAACATAAAAATTCAACATAAACATGAGTTTTGTTGATAGTTTATCATTCTCCCTAAATTCAAAACACAGGATAGGTCCCTAAGACCTCTTATTACTTTTCATCTTAAATACTAAATAACTAAATTACATTATCTTGAGGATAAAAAAACTGACAGCATATACAAAGAGAGTATTAAGCAGCTTCATTTTAACACGCTTGACTCTACTATGCTAGCCACTTCCTACACATAGATAAGATGGAATAATCTGAGGAAATTGCCAAATTAATTATTGTAGCTACCCTCTAAAGAGAACAAGAGATGAGCTCAATTGTGTAGATTTTTTTTTTAATTTTATTATTATTATACTTTAAGCTTTAGGGTACATGTGCACAACGTGCAGGTTTGTTACATATGTATACATGTGCCATATTGGTGTGCTGCACCCATTAACTCGTCATTTAGCATTAGGTATATCTCCTGATGCTATCCCTCCCCCTTCCCCCGACCCCACAACAGTCCCTGAAGTGTGATGTTCCCCTTCCTGCATCCATGTGTTCTCATTGTTCAATTCCCACCTATGAGTGAGAACATGCGGTATTTGGTTTTTTGTCCTTGCGATAGTTTGCTGAGAATGATAGTTTCCAGTTTCATCCATGTCCCTACAAAGGAAATGAACTCGTCATTTTTTATGGCTGTATAGTATTCCATGGTGTATATGTGCCACATTTTCTTAATCCAGTCTATCATTGATGGACATTTGGGCTGGTTCCAAGTCTTTGCTATTGTGAATAGTGCCGCAGTAAACATACGTGTGCATGTGTCTTTATAGCAGCATGATTTATAATCCTTTGGGTATATACCCAGTAATGGGATGGCTGGATCAAATGATATTTCTAGTTCTAGATCCCTGAGGAATCGCCACACTGACTTCCACAATGGTTGAACTAGTTTACAGTCCCATCAACAGTGTAAAAGTGTTCCTGTTTCTCCACATCCTCTCCAGCACCTGTTGTTTCCTGACTTTTTAATGATCACCATTCTAACTGTTGTGAGATGGTATCTCATTGTGGTTTCGATTTGAATTTCTCTGATGGCCAGTGATGATAAGCATTTTTTCATGTGTTTTTGGGCTGCAGCAGAGAGAGAGCCAAAGCATGAGTGGACTCCCATTCACAATTGCTTCAAAGAGAATAAAATACCTAGGAATCCAACTTACAAGGGACATGAAGGACCTCTTCAAGGAGAGCTACAAACCACTGCTCAGTGAAATAAAAGAGGATACAAACAAATGGAAGAACATTCCATGCTCATGGGTAGGAAGAATCAATATCGTGAAAATGGCCATACTGCCCAAGGTAATTTATAGATTCAATGCCATCCCCATCAAGCTACCAATGACTTTCTTCACGGAATTGGAAAAAACTACTTTAAAGTTCATATGGAACCAAAAAAGAGCCCGCATCGCCAAGTCAATCCTAAGCCAAAAGAACAAAGCTGGAGGCATCATGCTACCTGACTTCAAACTATACTACAAGGCTACAGTAACCAAAACAGCATGGTACTGGTACCAAAGCAGAGATATAGATCAATGGAACAGAACAGAGCCCTCAGAAATAATGCCGCATATCTACAACCATCTGATCTTTGACAAACCTGACAAAAACAAGCAATGGGGAAAGGATTCCCTATTTAATAAATGGTGCTGGGAAAACTGGCTAGCCATATGTAGAAAGCTGAAACAGGATCCCTTCCTTACACCTTATACAAAAATTAATTCAAGATGGATTAAAGACTTACATGTTAGACCTAAAACCATACAAACTCTAGAAGAAAACCTAGGCAATACCATTCAGGACATAGGCATGGGCAAGGACTTCACATCTAAAACACCAAAAGCAATGGCAACAAAAGCCAAAATTGACAAATGGGATCTAATTAAACTAAAGAGCTTCTGCACAGCAAAAGAAACTACCATCAGAGTGAACAGGCAACCTACAAAATGGGAGAAAATTTTCGCAACCTACTCATCTGACAAAGGGCTAATATCCAGAATCTACAATGAACTCAAACAAATTTACAAGAAAAAAACAAACAACCCCATCAAAAAGTGGGCAAAGGATATGAACAGACACTTCTCAAAAGAATTGTGTAGATTTCAAGACATTTTATTGATTATGGTGCTGTTGAAAGAAGTTTCTGTAGGTTAAGAGACAGGACATATGTGTTTCTACAATTATTATACCAAGAGTCATTAGTGAACGAGTGAGAAACAGCAACAGCCTAACTCTCTACTCTTATAAACTTCAGTGATTCCCCTTTTTCTATCCAGCAGAAGGAACTTGGTAATGCTCTAGTATGAGAAAAATGCATTGAAGTATGGACTAGGTCAGCTTTATGATGTATTTTCCAGCTATTTAACCCCTTGTACCTTGATTAATCAATGTGATCCTTACCAATTTGGAGTAATAATGTCTGAAATTCTACTTTTTATTTGGATATAAATATTTTAAGCTGAGTTGTATCACACATATCAGAGCTCTTCAGTCTAATAATTTAATATTGGGATTTGGGGTCAAGGTCCATGCTTATAGTGAAATACTAAATTATCCTGTTTTGTTGACCACTCTCCTGTGTATATTTCCCTTGGGACTGTCACTGGAAATGTTTGCTCAGAATGAGAATTGAATTTTTCCTGAGCTGCCTGGCTAAGAACTACGTAAACTATTATAACATCAACAAAAATCACTTCAGCAATAATCTTTAGAACCATAGTAATGGTTTAAATATTCATTAGTTTGTACTGTTTACATTGTGTCATGATGACTGTGCAAATTTTGAACCCTAGTTCAAAGAAATTTTACATTTTTGTTTCACTCCTAGACATCTGTGAATGTTGAAATTAACTAAATAATTTGTGTTTTGTTTTATTCTTACTTCACCATTTTCGATTCCAGTCTGGGCAACAAGGTAAGACTATGCCTCAAAAAAAAAAAAAAATGTAGCTTAAATTTGCATATGATAAATTTATCTGTAAACCAATAATATAATTAATTCATTTGGTGGACAATTCTGTGAATTTTGACATAAGGTCATGTAATAATCATTGCAATCACAATAGACAACAGTTGGATTATCCACCAAAATTCCATCTTTATGCTTATTTGTAGTCAACCCCACTCCAAAGTCCAAATCTCTGTCAACTGCCCACATATCCTACGTTCTTATAGACTTGCATTTTCAAATATTTCATATCAATGGGATGTATAGTGTGTAACCTCTTGAATCTGGGTTATTTCATTTAAAATAATGCATTTGAGATTCATCCGTGTTACTGAGTATGTACATAATTTGTTCCTTTTTCTTGGTGAATAGTTTTCCATTGTGTACATTTATTGCATTATATGTATAAAGTGTTTATTAATTTACCAGTTAACAGACATTTAGGTTATAAGCAGATGTGGTCTGGATCAGCAGAAGAATAAAGCCATTATAGACCTTCACTTAGGGCTTTTGAAGGTAAGCATTTAAAATATAACTGCATTTGGACTTAGGGCCTTTAAAATGGTAATTTAGGTTAAGTAAAGTCATAAGGGTGAAGCTATAAGCCATTATAATTGGTAACCTTCAAACAAGAGGAAGAAACATTAGGGAGGTACATACACAGAGAAAAGGCCATGTGAGGACACAGTGAAAATGCAGCCATCTGCAGCCAAAGAGAGAGGCTTCTGGATAAACCAACCTTACCAGCACCTTAATCTTAGACTTTCAAACTCTAGAATTAGAAAAAAATAAGTTTCTGTTGCTTAAGCCACCCACCCAGCCTGCAGTATTCTGTTATGACAAGCCTAGCTGACTAAACACTTGGTCTATTTCTAGTTCCATTTATTTCGTGTCTATCTTTTTGCTAAAATCACACTGTCTTAATTACTGTAACTTTACCGTTAAGTCTTGAAATCAGGTATTGCGGGTCCTTCAACTTTATTAAAAAAATTGTTTTGGCTATTCTATTTATATTAATGTTTTGTCAAAATTTTTAGTTTCATATTTTCACATCTAAACAAATTCTGTTGAGATTTTTGTTGTAATTGTATTAAATCTGTTGATCAATTTGGGGGGAATTCACATTACTCTAAGTTTGAGATTTCAAATTCAATAGTATGGAATTTCTCTTTATTAATTTAGGTGTTCTCAAATTTCTCCTAGAATTGTTTTGTCATTTATAGCATCTTCTAGCAACATATCTATAATATCTTGTTATGTTTATACCTACATTTTTGCTGCAATTATAAATGGTACTTTTAAATTTTTCAGTTTTTAATTGCTAATTGCAATTAATTTTTATATATTGACCTGGTATTCTGTGAGTTAGCCAAGCTCAAACTCACTTACTGGTTCTGCAAGTATTTTGTCTTTGTTTCAAGATTACATAGCATTTTATACTTTGACAATCATGTTACCTGCAGGTAGAGACAGTTTTATCTTTATTTTTTCCACTTTACCTGTCTTTACTTTCTCTTACTTGCCTTATGGCACTGGCTATGAGTTGCAATTTATTTTAAATAGGAGTGGTGTGGTAGGAGAACATATCGCTACCTTATTTCTGTTCTTAGGCAGAAATACTCAGTCTTTCACCATTGGATATGATATTAATTGTGGATTTTTCATATATGTCTTTTATCAGGTTAATCAAGTTCTCTTTCATTTTGACTTTTCTGAAAGTTCTATTTTTTAATTATGAATGTATGTTTAATTTTGTTGAATACCTTTTCCACTTCTATTGAGATGATGATAATGATTTTTCTTAGTTTGACTGGTAATACAGTGAATTACATTTATTGTTTTCTTTGTTAATATAAAGAATTACATTGATATATTTTCAAATTCATTTGAACAAGTCTTGTATTCCAAGGACAAACTCTACTTGGTCTTTTTGATATTTCGCTGGATTTAATCTGTTAATATTTTGGGGGAATTTTGTGTGCATATTCCTGATAAATATTTGCCTGTGGTTTTTTTTTCTTTTAATATCTTTAACTGGTTTTGATATGAAAATAAAATGAATTGTGAAGTCTTTATTCTCCCTTAATTTTCCTGAAGAGATTGTATGGAGTCAGTATTATTTCTTTATTAAATAATTGGGTGGATGTGCCAGTGAGTTTTATTTGTTGAAAAGTTTTTAATGATGAATTAAATTTCTTTATCATATATTGTACATTAAATTACTCAGGATATCTATTACTCCCTGAATAATTTTTGGTGATTGTGTCTTTCAAAGATTTGGTCTATTTCATCCAAGTTTTCAAATTTACTGCCAGAAGGTTGTAGAATTCTCTTTAAATATTTCTATGGTCTGTAGTAATGCCTCATGTTTCATTGCCGATATTGATCATTCATATCTTCTCTCTTTTTTCTTACTCAGTCCAGCTAGAAGATGTATTGAGCTACACAAATAAGTATTTTTTTGTTTCATTGACTTTAATTATTCTGATTTAAGTTTTAAAAATTCTACTCTTATTTATTGTTTTCTTTTGTTTGATTTGTTTTTAGTCTTTTCTGAATTTATGGTTTCTTAAGGTGGAAGCTTAAATGATCAATTTGAGGTCATTATTTTCTGATACAAGTATTTATTACCATGAATGGATATATTTATGTTAACATATCCATTCTTGAACCAATATCTGGATTAGAAAAACAAACTGAAAGACCTTATATTGTTTCTAGCATTGAATGCCCCCCTTGTTAGTGGTGTGCTGTCTGTAACACAGGAACAGAAAACCAAATACTGCATGTTCTCACTTATAAGTGGGAGCTAAATGATGAGAACACATGGACACACGGAGGAGAGAAACACATGATGGTGACTTTTGGAGGGTGGCAGGTAGGAGGAGGGAGAGGATTAGGAAAAATAACTAATGGATACTAGGCTTAATACCTGGGTGATGAAATAATCTATACTGCAAACCCCCAGGACACAAATTTATCTGTGTAACAAACCTGCACTTGTACCTCTAAACAAAATAAAAGTTAAAAAAAATTATGGAGTACTTACTATGTAGTAGACCAAATATGCAAATAGGAATTATTTGATGTTCATGATTAGATAGCTAAGTATAAAGTAGCATTCTGTTCCAGAGGTTACACACAATTTTTCCATAAGATGCAAAAAGTAAATGATTTATTGGCAAAGCACAGTGGTGCTGAAACCCTACCACCAATCAAAGTTACCTAGATAGAGAGTTAAAACATCAATTTCTGGGTACTACCTTCCCATTGTAGTAATAAGTTGACATTTTTTCTGTTTACCTTTTTGTTTCAAACTTCAGATTGCTTCCCTAGACAATTGGCTCTATGATAGCAAAGACTATATCCATATTGTTAAACGGCCTAACAGCAACACCTGACACTCGGCATACTGTGACTTTGTTAGGAATTGTTTGTTGATTGAACAAAACACTATACTTTAAATGATTAAACAACATCAAAATTTTAAAATCCACAAAGAAATTTCAGAATATGTCCTTTAGGAAAATGTATTTAGAAAGGCAACTTTACCATATTGCATTATTTTAGCTTCAGGAAATCCAAGATATGTCCATCAAGTATCTATTATGTATGCAACTATCACTTCACTAGGCATTGTGGTGGTTATATAGTGGCTAAAAATAAAGTGCCAATGTTTTCTGTGCATTTAATTCATGCCTGGACTAGCTATCGGAATTTTGTACCTAGTATATAAATTATTTTTCCTAACACCATGGTGGGTTAATATATTATTATGCCTATTTAGGCATGTGAAAATTAAGACTCAAGAGGTTAAGCAACTTGTCTAATACAAGATACTAAAAGTGGAGCCAGATTTAACAAGCTCTTAAGGCCTAGGTAAGGTGGCACAAATTACAAATAGGAAAAATGTCTTAACAGACTATATTTTAAAGACTTATAATAACTAGAAATTCCATAGCAGTAGACACAAGATCAGAAGGGCTAGGGTAATAAGATAGATATCTTAAAGATGATAGGATTTAATCCAGGCCTGGAAACACAAGGAGATTTAGTAGATTGTGGGAAAATATTATAATTTTTTAGCATGAAGATACATGGGCAAAATGATGGAAGTGGCAGTGATCATAGAGGGCTTTTGCAACTAATACGGACTGTACTGGAAAGGCAAATTTCATGCACTGTCAGGGAGTAGGCACTTATTTTGTTTAATTAACCAACATTCATTTTCTCATCTATAGGCAAAGTCATTTTAATTTTCATTCATGTGTTCAGACTTTTTCTTTCAGTTAAAATATTTCAGAATTTGATTTCACCAGAGAAGTTACTACTCTTGATTCTGCTACCAGGGAATGTGATTCAAGCCTAAATCAATATTGTCCATGTTCCCTTATTAAGTGATGGGCATCTGACCTCTTTTGGTCCTTCATAAATACCTTAAACATAGTTAATTATGTAAACATGTAAATAAGTCCAGCAACCATCATGGGACTATCAATAGAGAATGCTGTCAAGAAGGGAATCAATGCTGAAGAAAAAGAACTGAGGAATGAACGGCAAGAAATTAGGTCCCAAACACATGGAGACACTGCCATTTCTTTGTCATTTAATCCAATTTTATTATCGTTTTCCATTACAACTGAGAGCATTCTAATGAATATAGGCCATTATATAGAAAGATGGTAATTGAAAAGCATAAATTAAAAATGAACACATTTTAGGTCAAATTATGGCTTCATCGTTTTCTACATGAGTAACATTTCCAAGATATCTAACTTCTCCACCAATCTTAGTTGACTTACAGAATAGAAATAACCTAACAAAGCATTTAACACAGAAGAATTGACAGGGTAGGATTAGATGGGGTAAGACAGAATGTGTATCTGAGGAATTCAAATTTAATAAAGTTGTTAGAATGACCTTAAAAGCGTTGGCTTAATGAAATGGCATGACTAGAGGAGTTAGTACATTTGTTCGATCATTATTTTGTGAAAGAACTTCAGAAAAAGAAGCTAAAAGTCTTCATGATAATGTGAACATTAGAGTCTTTGTTAAGATATTGAATAAAGGAGTAAAAATGGGAAGACCACTTCAGTCATATTACAAAAGCCAGAAAAGTAATTGATTCTCTAGTTCAATAGAAAAAAATATACTGGTTGGTTCTACTTAAAGCTGAGATTTTACTCTACAAAAAATAATAAAAGTTCAATTCATGGTTCGGCAACAAAGTTAATATTTGAGTTAGACTTGCTTTGGAGTTTTGTAAATTTGTGCTTTTCCATCTGGATTGCAGTTCACAGTTCAGTTAAAACTCTGCTAAAACATATAACGCTTTGCTGCACATCCAAGGCTTACAGAATAGAATAATATATTAAAATAAATTATTAAATTTTTATTTGGTAGAACTGTGCAAAAGATTTGTAGAGTTTAGGTCGGGTTGAGAGTAAAATCAGGGAACATGAATTTGAAATAAACAGTAACCCAAAAATACTCATGGCCAGGAGCGGTGGCTCACGCCTGTAATCCCAGCACTTTGGGAGGCTGAGGACAGCAGATCATAAGGTCAAGAGATTGAGACCGTCCTGGCCAACATGGTGAAACCCCGTCTCTACTAAAAGTACAAAAATTAGCAGGGCGTGGTGGCACGTGCCTGTAGTCCCAGCTACTTGGGAGGCTGAGGCAGGAGAATCGCTTGTACCTGGGAGGTGGAGGTTGCAGTGAGCTGAGATAGTGTCACTGCACTCCAGCCTGGAGACAGAATGAGACTCCGCCTCAAAAGAAAAAAAAAAATGTTTTTTTTGTCATGTTCATGTACCATAAAAAGTGATACCTCAAGGTGTTACGTTTTCCTCTAGCCAGTAACTATGTTTACAAAGATAAAGAAAACTGAACAACTGACAATTATTTGTATCTGTTATATAATAGAACCACTAGTTTCTGAGAAACAATAAGTTGAGGGAATGACTAAATTACCTAGAAAAATAATTTTATTAATCATATTGAGTTGGTTGTGTTTAGTAGGTTCTTGTTCAAGTTTTCATACTTTTAGAAATAACTGAAACGTTGAGCTAGAATGTGGTTGGAACATTGAGTGGATTCCTATTTCTAAGAAATACCAATTTCATCCCTTATATTCCCACCATGATTGTGAACTGCTGGGTTCCCATGTTGTTTTATTCCTCCTGTGAATAAGTGGAAAAAAGGGTAATAACCTGAGTTGATTTACAGGTGTGTTCTTTAGCAGCAACTAATAAAACACAGGTTGTAAAGCATTTGGAAGATATAAAATTTAGGGCTAATGCATAATTATTTGTGCTGAAGATACCATGCTGCAAAAAGCAACTTGAATATTCCAGGTGTTTATAACCGAAAAAGGCTAATGACACCACAGCAGCTATAATTCATAAACAATAAAGATCTCAGTTCTGCAAGCCAGAGAAGAATGCAGTACACATTATAGGACATTATTCATTATTATAATATACAAAAAGTAAATAACCTGGGCCTCAAGGCAAGGAATGCTGTGGCACTATAAAATTGATTGCAAAGTAGTTTTTTAGTTTATGCTGACTTTCAGGAGAAGTAAGCTATGACTTATCCTGAAACATTTTTCATTTTAATTTTTACCAAGATCTGTAAGAGCCAAATACCCACACCAAAAAGAAACAGATGATTGTCAATTCCAATGTGTTTTATTGGCTCTATTCCTTCTTTTTTCAGCTTTTTGTTTGTTTCACTGACACAACCCCCTTAATGCTTTGTACTGACCCAGTTCCTGGGCCAATTCTGATTAAGCCAAGAAATATAGCCGTACTTCAATCAGAGGGCTTATAAAATCAATAAGGTTCTCACTTTACAGTCTATGTGATTGCTTTATGTATTATCTCTCACAGTTCTTCCCTTGAGAGAGTTCACTTCAGAAAATTTATCTCCATTGAGCCTTGATTCCATGTTAAACAGAATATATGCCCTATAATTATTTTAACTTTAAATATAAAAAGATGAGTTAATCATATGCCTCAGTTCATGGTACCTAATCATCATTGGTCACTGCAACACTCTTTGTAAGATTATTTCATTAATTATTTTGTTATCCCACAGTCTCATTTCCTAAAGTCTTCCCCAGCTCTTAGGGGAGAAATGCTTGCTACTGCACAATACTAGTAGGAAGGAGTACACGAAATGCTGGAGTCTCTCTTGGTCGTCTCTTTGTACTCATATGTCTTATAATAACAGTAAATGAAAAACTACAACTCAAATAGACAGGACCCAATGTAATAGACTTTTCAGAAATGAATTTTGAACTCATCATACCAGTCAAGAAACCATAGTCATCTGAGGCACTTTCTGATGCCAAAGAAAATATGAAATGGATTGTGGAAAATAGAATTTATTAATACCAGCTATGATTACATTATAATATGCTGGAAGGAGGACTAGCAGTTACAGGTTTCTTTCTTATTTGAGTTTGTGTGTATGTGTAAGTTTATGCATATGTGTATGTATCTGCATGTGTGTGTATATATATGTAAAATATTTGTGTATGTGTATATGACAATTGTTATTCTTTTTATTTTTTCACTCTAATTCCTCTATTATTAAAGAGAAGATGTGCTAAAAATGGTTAAACTTATATTTCAGTATTTAAGTTAGACGCTATTAAAGTTAACAAATATTAAAGAGGAAGTGTGACTTAGACAAATGAACATCACCTCAAGATATAAAAAGTAAGACTTTGTGTATCCTGTTTAGGAGAGTGGGGTAATATTTGGGAGGAGGGATTTTTACATGACACAATTTTATCTTGTCAGATGGAAACTTAATATTGCTATTGTGTTTATTTGGAAGTTAAATATGGTTAAAATGATGTGTATGGATACCAAGCAGACAAGGTGTAGACCATGGTGGACTGTTGTCGATTGACTTACCACACTGAAAACTATTTTTTCAAGAATTCCTTTTCCTGTATGGTTCTTAATTAGCACTTTCCAAAACAAAAAACTCACATGGGATTTAGAACGCATAATAGAAGCAGTAGACATATGATATGGTTTGGATTTGTGTTCCCACCCAAATCACATGTCGAATTGGAGGAGGGATCTGGTGGGTGGTGATTAGATCATGGGGGTGGATTTCCCTCTTGCTGTTCTCGTGATAGTGAGTGAGCTCTCATGAGATCTGGTGGTTTAAAAATGCATGTGACTTCACCCTTCTCTCTCTCTCTCGCCACCATGTGAAGAAGGTGCTTGCTTTCCCTCCACCTTCCACCATGATTGTGTTTTGAGGCCTCCCAGTCATGCATGCTGTTAAGCCTGCAGAACCATGAGTCAATTAAACCTCTTTTCTTCACAAATTACCCAGTCTTAGGTAGTTCTTTATAGCAGTATGAAAACAGACTAATACACCATAACTGTTACACTATACTTGTGTTCAGATGTGGTAACTTACAGATTTGAGGATAAATGATGAATTTCTGTCATCACTGTGCTCTTCTCCATGCTCAACTCTTTCCTAAACGCTGGTCCTTCTGATCAACCCTGACCCTAGGCTTACCACCACCATATACCTGGCTGTTAGTCCACAGAGACAGTAGTTACACAGATGCAAAAAGATGTACACATAACTCTCCATGAGTTCTCCACTCGTGATCTGCTTCAGCAGCTGAGTAGGTTTGGCTTCCTATATTGAGAGGTTAGTGACATTCTGCTAGAGCTTCTCCCCATGAACTCCAGATTCTATCCAACAGACAGCTAGCTTATTTTGATGCTAATAGACATCAAACACTTTTTTTGATGTATATGAAACTCACAATCTCAAAATGAACAATACCCAATGGTTGATCATTCCACATAAAACTTCCTCCCCCAGCTACCACATCTTCATTATCTCACTAAATGTTAACTTTATCTTTCTAAGGTATTGGTGTTATGTGTTTCTCTCTCAGTCTGTAGTTAATTTATCACCAAATCCTATTGGCTATTCTTTAAAATTCTTACAGAATTAGACAATATCATCTTAACGCCCTGACTTAAATCAGTACCATCTTTTACCTGGATTATTGCAAATAATCTCCTAACTGATATTTCTGCTTCTACTCTTAATATCCCATTGTCTACTTTCAACTGAGCATTAACAGTAGTTATTTTCAAATACATGTCAGGACTATGAAGAATATTGAGCTGTAAACCCTGTCAGAGATAGTGAAAGGGGCTTCAAAATATTCCTCATAAGGCTCTTTTACTCAAAACCTTGTAATAGCGCCCTGTTTCAGTATGAAAGATAGCATCCTATGATTTCCTACAATACCTCACATTGGTGGTTGCAAATGGAAAAGATTCCACACCCTGCACAGCATTTAAAATTTAATTTAGAAATATTTTTGTATTTCACAATGATTCAATGGTCACTGTGTGGATAGAAACAGTGATAGTTTACATCCTGCAACATAAGGGACAGTCTTATGCAACAAAATATTTGCCCTTATCTGGATAGCTTGACTCTCTTATTGGACAGTACTCTGGGTTAAAAGGTATTTATAATTATCTAAAACTGGAAACCATTTTGCATGTAGACACAAAGACTTCTGTGTTACTACATACACTGATGTTATAAGAATAAAACTACCATATTAATCAGTGGCAAATTATACATTGTTTTGTTCATATTTTACAAATAAATATTTATTTTATTTTGAAAATCACATTATTGATGGCAACAGTGCTTGTAATATTTAAATCACAAAAATTATAAAATAAAAATTATAATGGACACATAAGTCTTCAACTCTGCCATTATTCTTGAATTGCCGCTCTCTAGGGAAGCATGAGTAATTTTTTTTAGTTTTTAATTTTTAAAAATATATTTTGTGGGTAAATAGTAGGTGTATATATTTATGGGGTACATCAGATATTTTGATGCAGGCATGCAATATGAAATGAGTGCATCAATGAAGAATGGGGTATCCATTCCCTTAAGTATTTATTCTTTGAGTTACATACAATCCAATTACTTTCTTTAAGTTTCTTAACAACATACAATTAAGTTATTATTAACTAGAGTCACCCCATTGTGCTATCAAATTGTAAGTCTTATTCATTCTTTCTATTTTTGTTTGTACCCATTAACCATCCTCACCTTCCCTTAAAATCCCCCACTACGCTTCCCAGCCTCTGGTAACCATCTTTCTACCCTCTGTGTTCATGAATTCAATAGATTTGCTTTTTAGATTCTATAAATAAGTGAGAACATGCAAAGTTTGCTTTTGTATGCCTGGCCTATTTCACTTAACATAAGGCTTTCCAGTTTCACCCATGTTGTTGCAAGTGACTGGATCTTATTCTTTTTTTTATGGCAGAATAGTCCTGCATTGTATGTTAAGTACCATATTTTCTTTATCCATTCATCTATTGATGGACACCTAGGTTGTTTCCAAATATTAGCTACTAAAAACAGTACTGCAACAAACATAAGAGTACAGATATCTTTTCAATATACTGATTGCCTTTCTTTTGAAGGTGGAAGCAAAATCCAGAATGCTCAAGTTCCTTATATAAGATGGTATAGTATTTGCATATAACCAATGCACATTCTTCTGTATACTAGAAATCATCTCTGGATTACTTATAATACCTAATACAATGTAAATGCTACATAGTTGTTATATTGTATTTTTATTTTGTGTTGTTTTATGCTATTTTGAATAAGGTTTTGCTTCGTTTTTAATATTTTTAATTCCTGGTTGTTTGAATCCAGGAATTTGGAGCCATGGATTTTGAAGGCAATTGTATTGAGGAAACAAAATGTTTCCACTTTATCAACTAAGTTGATAGTACAAATGTAGAAGAAAGCATATTTTTACTAATCGGTATAAATGTCAAATTTTTTATAGGACTTGGAAGGTCAAGGAGGCCTTCCAAGTCACATGAAAAATGGCCTATGAGGTACAGAAAAGGAGGTAGGTCTTTTGACCTAGGCAATCCCAAACAGAATCTAAAAGGTAATTTTTCTTTGTCTCTTTCTTAAAACTCTTCCTTTCCACTTTGCTTTCCACTATTGCATTATTTGTTCTGGTAGTTGGAAATGGCAGAATAATTGTCATGTTATTGAAATTTTGACACTTGTAAAATCTTAGTGAAAACTTCTAGTAGTTTGAAATAATTTAATCAGGTTTCATTGCTTGACAGTCAGTACACCAGATATAGAATGCACTAACAGGTACTATTTACCTGTTTTCTGTACCATAATGCAGCTCTCTCCCTTCTCAAATCAGAGTATTTGTTATTTGCATTTTGGCCATGATTGTAGTATATGAGACAAATGTTATAAATGATATTTGATAAGAAGACTTAGAAATTAATCATAATCTAAGCTGAAAATCAATTATTATAATAGAGAAATATTTTGTAAATGTTCTTCAAATTCCAGAGGTAATAAGGAGTAATGAATAATTTAATAACACTAAACATGTTTTTATATGGCAAAATTCTTTATAAGCAGGAAAGGACAGCTGGGAAAATCTTTGAATTGTAGTGAAAACATTCATTTTCTTAATATAAAAACCTTATAAAAGAAGATAAGAGAAATATCCACATCAGTATAGAAAAACAAGAAGCACTGAAGTTCATTGAAAAATAAGTGCAAAGAGTTTTTAAACATGTGAAAACTTTCAACATCATTGATAAGAAAGATAAAAGTTCCCTATTTAATAAACACAGTTGGGAAAACTGGCTAGCCATATGCAGAAAACTGAAACTGGACCCCTTCCTCACACCTTATACAAGAATTAACTCAAGATGGATTAAAGATTTTAACATAAGACCTAAACCCTTAAAAACCCTAGAAGAAAACCTAGGCAATACCATTCAGGACATAGGCATAGGCAAAGACTTCATGATTAAAACATTGAAAGCAATGGCAACAAATCCAAAATTAACAAATGGGATTTAATTAAACCAAAGAGCTTCTTGAACAGCAAAACAAGCTATCATTAGAGTGAACAGGCAACTAAAGAATGGGAAGAAATTTTTGCAATCTATCCATCTGACAAAGGGCTAATATCCAGAATCTACAAGGGACATAAACAAATTTACAAGAAAAAAAAACCCATCAAAAAGTGGTGAAGGACTTGAACAGACACTTTTAAAAAGAAGACATTTATGTGGCCAGGAAACAAATGAAAAAAAGCTCATCATCACTGGTCATTAGAGATCTGCAAATCAAAACCACAATAAGATACCATCTCATGCCAGTTAGAATGGTGATCATTAAAAAGTCAGGAAATAACAGATGCTGGAGAGGATGTGGAGAAATAGGAATGCTTTTACACTGTTGGTGAGAGTGTAAATTACTTCAACCATTGTGGAAGACAGTGTGAGGATTCCTCAAGGATTTAGAACTAGAAATACCATTTGACCCAGCAAGTCAATTACTTAGTATATACCCAAAGGATTATAAATCATTCTACTATAAAGACACATGTACACGTATGTTTATTGCAGCACTACTCACAATAGCAAAGACTTGGAACCAACCCAAATGCCAATCAATGTTAGACTGGATAAAGAAATGTGGCACATATACACCATGGAATACTATGCAGTCATAAAAAGAATGAGTTCATGTCCTTTGCAGGGACATGGATGAAGCTGGAAACCAACATTCTCAGCAAACTAACACAGGAACAGAAAACAAAACACCACATGTTCTCACTCATAAGTGGTAGTTGAAAAATGAGGACATATGGGCACAGGGAGGGGAACATCACACACTGGGGCCTGTCAGGGGTTGGAGGGCAAGGGGAGGGATAGCATTAGGAGAAATACGTAATGTAGATGACAGGTTGATGGGTGCAGTAAACCATCATGGCACATGTATACCTATGTAACAAACCTGCATATTTTGCACATGTATCCCAGAATTTAACATACAATTAAAGAATGGACAAAAAGACTTATATGGACAGACTTCTATTGGTGTTGTACATAAAGAATGGCACAATTTGTGCAATTAACAGCAAAATTACATATGCATCAGGACTTTATTCAAGCAATTCTACTCCTAGGAATCTAACCCCAAAATACACTTGCAAAAACATAAAAATAAGGTATTTATATGGCTAATCAGTACAGTCCTCTGTGCTATGGAATGGTTTGAACAGATGACTAATTGAAAACAATAAAAAACTAAGGTAAGCCTCCCAGTGGAATACCATACTACTGAGAGAGAAGAAAAAAGATCACTATGCACCACGATGATTAATCATCTTTGCAATATAGATTTAGGTAAATATATCAAGTTACAAAAGAGTATCTGTAGCCTCTTGCCTTTTATCTAAAAATAAAGACTACAAATATGTGTCTATGTATGTCTGCACATAATTATATTTTAGACAATAAAAAAGGAAGTGTCAATAAAAAAATATGTGAAAAGAGTTTTCTATTGTGGAAAGGAGAGTGGAGAAGACAACTATGAAATTTAAGCTTACTTGACTATACATTGTTTTGTCATTTTGAATTAAGATTCATGTAAATGTTTTATAAAAGTATAAAAAAATTAAATTTAAATATAAAAAGCAATCTCTCAAAAATCAAAAACAATGTAAATGCAATAAATTCTCTTATCTTAGCATTGAGTATTCAACTTGTTTAATATATTTCTTTTATCTCTCTTTGTTTTTACAAATCCTGAGTAATTAAATGGAATAAAAGAGAGAAGAGCAGTAGGTTCTTTTATTTTAAAAAATGTAACTTGCATACTCAGTATATGCAAGACAATCATTATCTGGGGATAATGAGATAAAAGACAGTGTCCCCTTGTAAAAGAACTTATATTTCAATGGCAAAGATGGATACATATATTACAAGATGATATAAAATGTAAAACAGCAAGAAGTGGGAAACAGTATCAGTCACCTAATTCAAAACAGGTGTTGCATTTTTCTTTCTTGTATTCCTGTTCTGTGGTTAATTTGTTTATTTCTTTTGATCTCAATTCCAATTATTCCACAGATGTTTTCCCATTGTTTCTATTTTCTACTGTATTTTCCATTATCTACTCTAAGGAGGTTGGAGTGAATAGGAGAGAATGAACAGAATAGCTAAGTATTGCAGAAGAATACTTAACATATGCAGTCAGAATATCTGTGCAATAAATGTACTCTAAATGTATTCATCTTGGAAAAGAGTAATTTGGAAAATAGAAATTTCAGTTTTATTAAGAAGAAAAGATGTATTCCAATTATCTGTCTCTATGGGATATGGTTTGGCTGTGTCCCCACCCAAATCTCATCTTGAGTTGTAGCTCCCATAATTCCCACATGTTGTTGGAGGGACCTAGTGAGAGATAATTGAATCATGGGGGCAGTTTCCTCCATACTGTTCTCATGGTAGTTAATAATTCTCACAAGATTTTCTTTATAAATTGCCCACTCTGGGGTATGTATTTATCAGCAGTGCAAAAACAGACTAATATAGTAAATTGGTGCCAGTAGAGTGGGGCACTGCTGAAAAGGTACCCAAAAATGTGGAAATGACTTTGGAACTGGGTAACAGGCAGAGGTTGGAACAGTTTGGAGGTCTCAAAGAAGACAGAAAAATGTGGAAAAGGTTGGAACTTCCTAGAGACTTGTTGAATGGCTTTGACCAAAATGCTGATAATCATATGGACAATAAAATCCAGGTTGAGGTGATCTCAGATGGAGATGAGGAACTTGTTGAGAACTGGAGTAAAGGTGACGCTTTCTATGTTATAGCAAAGAGACTGGTGGTGTTTTGCCCTTGCCCTAGAGATTTGTGGAACTTTTAATTTGAGAGACAAAATTTAGGGTATCTGGCAGAAGAAATTTCTAAGCAGTAAAGCATTCAAGAGGTGACTTGGGTGCCATTAAAAGCATTCAGTTTTAAAAGGAAAACGAGCATAAAAGTTTGGAAAATTTGCAGCCTGATTATTTGATAGAAAAGAACAACGCCATTTTCTGAGGAGAAATTCAGCTGGCTGCAGAAATTTGCCTAAGTAATAAGGATGAGGAACCAAATGTTAATCACCAAGACAATAGGGAAAATGTCTCAAGGGCATGTCAGAGACCTTCACAGTAGCCCCTCTCAACTCAGGCCAGGAGGCATAGGAGGAAAAAAATGGTTTCATGAGTCAGACCCAGGGTCCACCTGCTGTGTGCAGCCTAGGGTTTTGGTGCCCTGTGTACCAGCCACTCCAGCTTTGGCTAAAATGGACCAATGTACAGCTCAGGCCATGGCTTCAGATGGTGGAAGTTCCAAGCCCTGACAGCTTCCACGTGGTGTTGAGCCTGCAGGTGTACAGAAGTCAAGAATTGAGGTTTGGCAACCTCCACCTAGAGTTTAGGGGATGTGTGGAAACACCTGGATGTCCAATCAGAAGTCTGCTGCAGGGGTGGGGCCCTCATGGAGAACCTCTGCTAGGGTGATGTGAAAGGGAACTGTGGGTTTGAAGACCCCAAACAGAGTCCCCACTGGGACTAGTGGAGCTGTGAGAGGAGGGTCACCATACTCCAAACCCCAGAATGGTAGCTCCACTGACAGCTTGCACTGTGCACCTGGAAAAGCTGCAGATAATCAATGCCAGCCTGTGAATAAAGCCAGGAGGGAGGTTGTAGCCTGCAAAGCCACAGAGGCAGAGGTGCCAAAGAGGTGGGGAACCCATCTCTTGCATCAGTGTAACTTGGATGTGAGACATGGAGTCAAATGAGATCATTTTAAAGCTTTAAGATTGACTTCCCTGATAAATTTTGGACATGCATGGGGCCTTCAGCCCCTTCCTTTTGGCCTATTTCTCCCTTTTGGGATGGGTATATTTATCCAATACCTGTACCACCATTTATCTTGGAAGTAACTAACTTGATTTTGATTTTACAGGCTCCTAGGCAGAAGGGACTTGCCTGGTCTCAGATGAAACTTTGGACTTGGACATTTGAGTTAATGTTGAAATGGGTTAAGACTTTGGGGACTGTTGGGAAGGCACGATTGGTTGTGAAATGTGAGGACATGAGATTTGGGAGGGGTCAGGGCCATTCCCACCCAAATCTCATCTTGAGTTGTAGCTCCTATAATTCCCACATGTTGTTAGAGGGAC
The DNA here is from genome assembly GCF_000001405.40 of Homo sapiens. Lineage (NCBI taxonomy): Eukaryota > Metazoa > Chordata > Mammalia > Primates > Hominidae > Homo > Homo sapiens. The sequence continues at coordinate 43,509,553 of NC_000004.12, read as the reverse complement.
TGATGGGAGCTAATTGAATCATGGGTGTGGTTTCCCCCATATTGCAATCTTTGTAGTGAATAAGTCTCAGGAGATCTTATGGTTTTATAAGGAGAAACCCTTTGCACTTGATTCCATTCTTTCTTTGTCTGCTGCCATGTGAGACATGACTTTCGCCTTCCGATATAATTATGAGTCTTCCCTAGCCACTTGAAACTGATTACATTAAACCGCTTTTTCTTTATAAATTACCCAGTCTTGAGTATGTCTTTATCAGAATCATGAAAATGAACTAATACACTAGGTAATAAATCAACAACATCAGCAATGGATCTTTGTGGCTGCACACACCAATTGGAACTCAATCCAGGCAAGAAAATTCATTTATAGGAGGCTTACTCAGTGGCTGGAAAATTAGTAAGACTCTTCATGGGACTGCCTCATCTTCCTCATGGCATGGTGGATGAATTTCAGAGAGCATTCCAGGATCCATGAAGTTGAAGCTGTAAGTTCCTTAAAGACTTGTCCTGGAAACTGGTGCATCACTTTGACTCTGCTCCACTGTTCACTAAACTTGGCCAGATTCAGAAAGAGGGAACATAAACTTTACCTCTCTATTGAAAAAATGTAAAAGCATTTGCAACTACTGTTAATCTACCACCAAGCTACCCAAACGAATGAGGATATACTTGTAAAAATAGATAAATAAATTATATATATACATATATATAGTACATGCATGCACACATACATACACATATAAAAGGCAAAACAAAACAAAAAACAAAATCTTAATGCACTAACTAACTAAGTGTGTTTATTTCTTAATACATGTCACAGTCCAGTGCCAGTTAGTGGGAGTTGGAGGAGGGGCTTGCTCCAGAATATCATAAACACACATTCCTTCTTCCATGTAATTATGACATATTCTTGGACTTGATCCTCTTCTACTGTCAGCTAATACCTGGGGAAAGACAGTAAGCATGTAAGATGGTGAAGAAAGTGTTTAAAAATGTCAGTCCTAAAAGTGACATAAATCACATATCAGCAAAAATTCAGTCACATAATTATACCTCACTGAAAGGGAAAATAGGACATTTGAACTACCTCTGGACTTAAGAATAAATAGGTTTGTGAGCATCCAGCCAATCTTTGACACACCCCATGTCTAAGACTGTTCAGTCTGCTATCAAAGATAACTTATATTGGGTAATTTATAAATAACATAAATGTTTTTCTCATAACTCTAGAGGCTGAGAAGTCCACGATCAAAGTGCCAGCAGGTACAGTGACTAGTGGGGGCCCATTTCTTATAGATGATGCCTTCTCACTCTCTCCTCACATAGCGTAAAGGTAAAAGGAGTGAACAACATTTCTCAAGTCTCTTTTATAAGAGAGTTAATCCTATTCATGAGAGCTCTACCCTCATGTCTTAGTCACATACCAAAGGCCCCACCTCTTATTACCAACTTATTGGGGTTAGATTTCAACATAAATATTTTGGAGGGACACAAACATTCAGACCATAGCACCCTCAAAATTACAATTGTATGATAGATACCTGTGTAAACTAGCTGTGAATTTTATGAACATTTTTCTATTAGTTAAATGAAGGAGCAGATGATCTTTAAATTCCAATATTCCAATAATCTGATTTTTGATTAGGATTGTTCATAATAAGCCTATGGCTTTAGACAGTAAGAATCTACCTCAATGTCTAAGCTGGGCTGTCACTCTTTGAGAGTTTTGAATCCCTCATATCTTAGTTCATTTGTACTACTATAATAAACTAGCACATACTGGGTAATTTATAAATAACAAAAATTTATTTTTCACAATTCTAGAGGCTGGGAAGTCAAAGATCTAGGAGCTAAGAGGTTCCATGTCTGATTAGGGTCTGTACTCTGCTTCCAAGAGGACACCTTGAATGTTCTGTCCTCACATGGCAGATGAGGAAAGGCAAAAAGGAAGTATTCCCTTTGGCAAGCTCTTTTATAAGGGTAGCTAATTCAATTCACAATGGAGGAGCCCTCATAGCCTAATCACCTCTTAAAGGTTCCACCTTAATACTATCACATTAGCAACATCTGAATTTTGGAGGGTACACATTTAAATAATAGTTCCTGGTTTGTTCAACAAACCAAACCCTGGATACTTACTTCATGGTAAATTTTGTTTCTTCAGCTGTTCCTTATCTCCCGGCTTTGGACCTCATTCACTGTGTCCTGTCACACATTGAATATAATGCCACTGATCCTGGTGTTGTGCTAATATTAGTTCATGTTGTGTTTAATTCTTCTCTTTAGATTTGCAGCATTTCTCAAAGCATGTGCCCCTCATCAACAGCAACAGCATCACTTAGGATTTTGGTATGTCCCCCATCCCAGACCTACTAAATCAGAAACTCTGGAGATGGAATCCCACAGCCTGAACTGTAACTATCCATTTAGGTAACTGATAGAATAAAGTGTTAGAACCACTGAACTAGAATATGCTGATTTCTCTGTTTCTATATCCATAATCAGCTGTCCATCTAGTTTCTAACCTGTGTACTAGTGAGCCGTGTTTCTGCTATTTTCCCAGAAAGGAGTGACTATGTAAGTATTAATCTCTTTGCTTAATTAATGTTAGTTCTATAAGGAAATAAGTTAGGGAATTTGCTGCAGCTTATTTAATACCTAGAATAAATTTTGAGATTAGCTCTTATTTACACCTTTTATTTATATAGTTGCTATGAAGAAAAGCTGTCTAGTTTGTTTTTTCACATTTTTCCCTGAAAGCTTTAGTACCGTGTTTGTTATTACTCAGCTAAAAACCTAATTGCTTCTCCTTTTAGGAATTTTCACTGGATGGTTATGCAGCATTTTAGAAATCTCTTGATTTGTACACTTCTTCAGTTACATGTTGGTGACCATAATATTCATATTATAACCAGTCATGTGGTTACAAATTATTTAATATTGTTTATGTCTAAAAATCACAGCTATTTGAGATGGAGTACAAGTCAAAATGTTGAGTCTATCCCTGTTAAGTTCTTAATTACTCTCGTATATAAGTGTTTTTACCTAAAATGTCTTTCTTTTTTTTTTCTTTATTATACTTTAAGTTCTAGGGTACATCTGCACAACGCGCAGGTTTGCTACCTAGGTATACATGTGCCATGTTGGTTTGCTGCACCCATCAACTGGTTCTTAAAGTAAGTTAATACTAGAATAACCCACATAATATTTGTGATATAGTGAATAAACATGTTTCTCTGAACTGCTGCTTTTAGAGGGAAATTTAACAGTGTTATGCAATATACATGATGGTGTTTTGCTGCTGCACAATGGGGAATCCGTTGTAAGCTTGAGACCAAGCAGAAAATGATTCGTTACATCAAAGATACTGAAAACACTTCTATGACCCAATAGCATAGGCTGAAATATTATAGTAGGAAACACACACACATAGACACACACATGCAACGCTCATGTTAGAGAAAACAAGAGCTTCCTGTCACAGCCACTTTCATTAAAAAGTAAAACGAGGCCGGGCGCGGTGGCTTACGCCTGTAATCCCAGCACTTTAGGAGACTGAGGCGGATGGATCACGAGGTCAGGAGTTCAAAACATGACTGGCCAAGATGGTGAAACCCCATCTCTACTAAAAACACAAAAAAATTAGCTACGCATGGTGGCGGGTGCCTGTAATCCCAGCCACTCGGGAGGCTGAGGCAGAGAATTGCTTGAACTCAGGAGGCGGAGCTTGCAGTGAGCCGAGATCACACCGCTGCACTCCAGCCTGGGCGACAGAACGAGACTCGTCTCAAAAAAAAAAAAAAAAAAAAAAAAATAGAAAAAGAAAAGTACAATGAGTAGCTAGTTTTAAGCAACATTTATTTAAAAAGAAACAAGTTCTTCTATAAAAATAGAACTCAGACATGATAAATGCCTTGCTGAAGTTAGTAATGAGCTCCTTTAAGCAGTAAGTGAATATTCCAGCATTGGTATCTTAGAATGGAATAATGGCAAATAGTTTAGAACAGAACCCTTGCTCTACCTGAAAAAAATCCAACCCTATTGTTTAGGGGTATTCACCAGTCTCTTTGAAAGCATATCCCTGCAATTTTATAATAGAAATCTTGGTACACTTTTATTTTTATTATTTTTATTTTTCTGAGACAGAGTCTTACTCTATCACTCAGGCTGGAGTGCAGTGGCTCGATCTCGGCTCACTGCAATCTCTGCTTCCAGGGATCAAGCAATTCTCCTGCCTCAGCCTCCGAGTAGCTGGGATTACAGGCATCTGCCACCATGACCGGCTAATTTTTGTATTTTTAGTAGAGATAGGATTTCACCATGTTGGCCAGGCTGGTCTCGAACTCCTGACCTCAAGTGATCCGCCCACCTCGGCCTCCCAAGGTGCTGGGATTACAGGCATGAGCCACCGCACCTGGGCTCATTTTAAATTTGTTCTATAAAGTGTACATAACTTGTTATCATCAGAGAGTGTGAGTCACTCTTAGTACATTATTTTGTGGTCTCTGTAAATTTCCAAGTTATGTAACCTCTTCAAGATTATTATAAATAGCTCTGTGAATAAGGTGGACTCTATATGGCTGTTAATTAAGTAGGGCAAGAAGAAACTTAGGAATTCTGCTTCAGCAAAAATTGAATTTTAATTCAGAAAGTATAAATTAATTAGCTTCTTCCTGCCATGTTATTGAGCTAGCTGAGCAGGTAGTTCTATGAACAACTCAAATATAGTCTTTGTCCTTATTTGTTTTACATTCTTGTGAGGGAACAATCAAAAACACTGTAAGCAATAAAATATATAAAATAATTAAAGCTATTAAGGAAAAACATGAGAGTTCAAGATAAGTATAATATTAGAGGAAGAAGTTTCTAGATTAGAAAGGCTAATAATAGAATTTTTATAAACAAAAGCTAAATTGACCTCTAAAGGATTCAGTTACATGAAGATGGAAGAAATAATGATCTCCCCTGCAAATGAATTCTTTTTATAAAGCCACATGGTAAAAAAGTAGCCTTAGATAGAGAGGAACAGGATCATGCGTGACCTTTTAGGTCCTGATACAGAGTTTTAATTTCATTTTAAGTGCAGTGACAACCCAATAAAAATTTTAGACAGGAAGTTACACAACTCTATTTACATTTTCAACAGATATTTTGGAATAATTTAGGTGAAAAAAGAAATGGGATAAATTTGGATTATAGATACCAGTTGCAAGTCTGGGGCAATAGTTCAGACAAGAACATTTTAGAGCCCAAACATGGGGAGTGCCAAGGCACATGGAAGTAATTGAAGAAATCCGAAAAAGAACTGACAAGGTTTGCTATGAATTATATGTGGAGGATGAATGAAAGTGAGGAATCAAAGATGGTTCAAAGATGAGTGACAATGCTCTTTGATGGGAAAAGAAGATAGCTCTAATACAAGGTTGAATAATAATGAAAAGAGGCATTTTTAAATAAAGTTGTGACATCTGTGATACATCTAGTTGAAGCTATCTGTTTGGGCAACTGAAAATATGAACATGGGGCTAGAATGAGAGTTTTGGCAGGAAGTCCACATTAGGAGGTCATAGCTATGTAAATATTATGTTAAAATGTGTAATGGATATACCTGCCTAATAAGACAGAGAAATGAAGTGGACTCAGAATGGAATCGTGTTAAGTATGGGATAATATGGGGTAAAGGAGTTTATAAGGGAGTGGCCAAGAAGGTAGGATAAAATTCAGGAAAAAATGACATCATGAGAAAAAGGAATGAAAAAAATTAAAAAGAGGGAGTCTTCAACATTATCAACTTTTATTGAGAATTTTAGTGAGGTGAGTACGCAAAGTAATTCTATGGACTTGGAACCATGAACAGACTTACTGACTATGGTAAAAAACTGTCAGTGGGTGAATGAAGAAGCCAGAGAGAGACTGACTGGGGAATAGGGAGTGGGAAAGTGGAGGCAGCACGTGTAGATTTCTCAAGCAAGTAGAAAGAGAAATACAATAGGCATGCTTGATACTATTAAGTACCAGTTTGTGGCCTCTATTGATGATAATGATTAATTTAACTGAAACTACTCAACTCAGTTATATGATTTCCTTCAGCTATTCAGGCTGGTTTTACTTACACATTGAAAGTGCAGCTGTTACACGCTATTCATGTTGGAGTTTTGAAAACAAATTCAACAAAGAAAGAGAGGATTAAAGGGAATGAAGGTACTCATGAAGAAATTCTTATAGTAATGAACCATTAAATCTAGTAAAGTGAATAGAAATAAAGGGAAACTGGGTGAGAAAGTAGTGAAATAGATGCATATGAGGGTTTGGGTGACATCTAAATGTGGTAATGGCAGTAATTCAGGAAATGGCTGGAAATGAGGAGCTCCATTGACTCCCTGAGTGGTCAATGTTTGAAAAGTGGAATTTCATGGCTGGCTAATATTCATAAGGTGAAGTTGTTGATAATGGCAAAGTTCAGCATCATTATAGATCAGGATGAGTGAAAGAAAATCATCTTGGAGATGGGTGAGTCAGTGACCTTGAGGTCAAAATGTAACATGCGTCATTGATTCAGATAACAAAGTAACCAAGGATGCTGCCAGAGTTTAGGATGGTAGGAAAGACATTAAGCCAGGAGGAATGATACACCAGGATAGTTTTGATCCCAGCTTAAAAATTTCAGAAGGTGCAGTAGAAAAGTTAATGGGGAAGATGAGTGAAGTTTGCAGAGTAATTTGGAGGTGTCCAACTGTTGTTCTGTATATTGCATTAGTATAGGCATTTTCTACCATATTTCATGGCTCAATTTTACCCATAAGCAGAACCCATTTGATGAAAAAGTTAGTGGACTTCTTATGTTATAATCAGTGTGTTATTTAAAATATATGTTATAAAAGTTGGGTTTCTTTTATTACTAAAGGAGAAAGAAAGAATTTGTAGGAGTAGTTAGCAGCTCCTGCCTTAGGAAACATTTATTGGCAAAATCTAGAAATCAAAATAAAGTTACCTCCTTGAACTTAACGTTTTTTGTTTGTTTTCAGCTAAGGGAAGTATATAATCAGTCTGTCATAGAGGCTGATAATACAGATTGATGGAAGAGTCCCACTTAATTTTATTTCAATTTGGATGATAAATGTTGTAGTCACCTTATATATGATAGCTTTTTAAATTTGTTATTGTCAATACAATGAACCATTTCCAATTCATGTTAGGGAAGGAATATGTTATAAACTATTAGATTTATAGAGGTTAAGAATTCTAAAAAGGTAAACAGTCATACCATTCTGAAAATATGCTCCATATCTTTAATGAAAGGCAGTTAATTAACATCTTGCTTTTCTGTAAAACTTCATCTGTGTTCTTTTCTCTGAAATGTTCCTAAAATTTCAGAATTAGAAATTAGAGCCTGTAACATTTTTACTTCTGCCTCTAGACCATTACTATTTCTCTCTTTCTAAATATTCTTGTTTCCTTAGGTACAGTTTAACTTCTTCTTCATAATCATTTCCACACCTCTAGTCACTCTACCTTCCTCACTGAATATTTTAACTCCCGGACAGAGTCATCTTCACTCCAACTCCTGTCACGATTATAAATAATTTGAACATTCCTGTGTACAGCTTCAAATAGGAAATGTGATTTAAAAGTTCTCTTTAAACATCAGAGTTCCCAGCTTCTTCAAAGGGAGTCTTTCTGAACGAGATCCCCTATAGGAGGTGTTCATAAAGTCATAAATTTTACTTAATATTTTACCAAAACTTATAATTATGTATTTATTTATGTAATTATTTGTTTAATATCTCCGCCACTAGATCCTAGATTCCGTCATGTCGAAGAATATTGTTTGTTTTCCATTGTATCCCCAAAACAGGGACTCAGAGACATTTATTGAAGAATTTATTAAAAACATAATTAAATAAATGCACTTTAAAAAGAAAAGATAAATACAAGGCAAAGCAGGATATGTTATTAATTTTTAGATAATTTACATTTGTGCTGATTCCATGTATACCCCCAAAAACATTTAAAGCACTTTACAAGCAAATACATAATAAAATTGAACAAGCATATTGAAAAGAAAATATTCGGCAAAACTGTTTAGAAATATATCAAGTTGCTGTACCTGCTGCTAGAGATTGACCACAGTTTGGCTCTGGGCTTCCTAGAGAAATAAGAAAAAATGGGAAATGGAATCTCCTGCAAGCCTTATAGGTTTCATAACACAAAACAAAACAGTTGCTCAAAGGTAGGACTTTCATGGAAAATGGGATCACCTGCAAGCTTCATAGGTTTTGTAACGTAGAACAAATCAGTTGCTCAAAGGTAGGGCTTTCATGGAAAATGGGATCACCCGCAAGCTTCATAGGTTTTGTAATGTAAAACAAATCAGTTTCTCAAAGGTAGGGCTTTCTTCTGCTAAGACAAAAAAATAATATTCTCTGCACATTCTTATAAAAGAGGTTCTCATGACACATAACAGAATTATTCTTAATTATCATTGTATTGGTTTAATAAGACAATATTGTAACATTCTTCAATAAAATCAAATGGAATACCTAAGTTAAAGAATTACTTTGTGGTTAAAGCAATGAGAATACTAAAATGTTAAAAACATTTTTAAATGTTTTAAATGAATGAGTAAATGTATTATCCTCCTAATACAAGGATAAAATTATCTCTGAGCACAGATAGTGATTATGTTTTCTGTAATGGCCATGAATGTTTATGAGAAATGGTCTGCGTTCTAATAGCAGTTCACCTTGAAGTTTAATGGGACATATGCATCTTCCTTTATTGAGAATTTCAGTAATCTCTTTAATTGTATAATACATGTACATATTTATCTTTATTACAGTTTTATTGCAATGTGTAATTGCTACACATGATTATTAGTATATATTCACTTACTAATATTTATTAAGCCTCTAAACTATATTATCTTTTCTTGAGAAATAGTAAAGTAGATAGCATTAGGAGATATACCTAACGCTAAATGACGAGTTAATGGGTGCAGCACACCAACATGGCACATGTATACATATGTAACAAACCTGCACATTGTGCACATGTACCCTAAAACTTAAAGTATAATAATAATTAAAAAAAAACAAAAAAAAGAATCATTTTAATGTATATATTTCTGCTATCTCTCTCATAAATATCTCAAATTTCACTTCAAATATAACTGTGTCTTACTTATATTTTAATCCCAGTTCTAATTTCAAAGCTGGGATTATACACATTTTCAATCTCTGCTTATTGATTTTGTAAGCAATTATACAGAACTGTGGTCAAAGAATATATTGTTTGTATTAATTTAGATAATACTTGTTGCTATAAAAAACACCAGTTTTCCAATAGTTTAATAAACTAGAAATTTATTTTTCTTTTATGTAAGCATCTAAAACAGATCCTGGTTGGCGGTGAGCTTTTTTCATCTATATTGTGATTCAGGTGCCCACATTACTTCCATCTTGTGTTTCCACACCCCTCAGCCTGTCTCACTAGGGAAGAAATTCTCCAGGCAATTAAGCCAGAATGTTCTAAGGCATCCATTGTATGTAATGAATTAACTTCTCTCCTAGACCTCTAACAGCAATAGTTATGTGGATCCCAAGGAGAACTGAGAAAATAGTCAATCAAATTACTTACTCTGTTCTATGGTTTAGCCAAGAGCCCCAGCTGAGAAAGCCTCTCTTGGAATCTCCTTAATTGAGTTAGCAGGAAGAGGAAGAGAGACTGGTGAAAGCATTTCTTCAAAGATTCAGGCAATAAGTGAAACACAAAACTATTACATATTTTATTGGCAAGAACATGTCACCTAGGCACAGATGCCCAGGTGCTAGAGAAAGCAGAGCCTCTGGCTGAACAGCCTCCTTCCAGTGGTAGCTCTACACTCTGGAAAAGGAAACAGAAATTTTGCTACAAATCTCATTGCCTTTACGTCACTGTTTTGTGTAAGATCAAAGGTAATTCTCATACGATTAAAAATAATACTTATACCTATTCTTTATTAAGCATTTCTATGAATAAAGCCATGCAGTAATTACATGATGTAACTTCTTAACAAATTTTACAACACAGTTAAATTTGAACCCTAATCCAAGGTTCCATCTGGGAACTCTACTTCTAACACTGATTTGCTAGTATAATCAGAGCTAACACAAAATTGAGAAACACATATTTAGTAACTTTTATTTTCCTATGAACTTAGAGAAAAATACCAATATTCTGTTTTCTCGAAAGGAAAATCTGATTCAATTCATTAAACATCTCTGAGAATGTAATTTGATAAAGAACATTCTAAATGTTGATCATCTCTTTGGTATTTATCCAAAGGAGCTGAAAAACTTACATCTCCACAAACACCTGCACGTTGATTTTATAGCAGCTTTATTCATAATGGCCAAAACTTGGAAGCAACCTTCAGCAGGTGAGCAAATAAGTAATCTGGCACATATAGATAATGGAATATTATTCAATATTAAAAAGAAATGAGCTATGAAGCCATGAAAAAACATCAAAGAAAGTTAAACACATAAAATATGGATATGGTTTGGCTGTGTCCTCACCCAAATCTCAACTTGAATTATATCTCCCAGAATTCCCACATGTTGTGGGAGGGACCCACGGGGAGGTAATTGAATCATAGGCGCTGGTCTTTCCTGTGCTAGTCTCATGATAGTCAATTAAGTCTCACAAGATCTGATCGGTTTATCAGAGATTTCCACTTTTGCTTCTTCCTCATATTTCTCTTGCAGCTGTCACGTAAGAAGTGCCTTTTGCCTCCCGCCATAATTCTGAGGCCTCCCCAGCCATGTATAATAACTGTAAGTACAATTAAACCTCTTTTTCTTCCCAGTCTCGGGTTTGCTTTATCAGCAGCATGAAAACAGACTAATATAAATACAGTGAAATAAGCCAATCTGAAAGGCTATGTACTATATGATTCCAACTATATGACATTGTGGAAAAGGCAAAACTATGGATAAAGTAAAAAGATCAGTGGTGGCCAGGGGTTGAGGGTAGGAAAGAGGATTTTTAGGGCAGTGAAAATACCCTGTATAATACTGCAATGGTGGATACATGTCATTATACATATGACCAAACCCGCAGAATGTACAATACCAAGAGCGAACTCTAAGGTAAACTATGGATTTTGTATGATAAGGATATGTCAATGTAGGTTCATGGATTGTAATAAATATATTATTCTGGTGGGGGATGTTGATAATGTGGGAGATGTTCCTATAGGGTAGTATGTGGGCAATCTCTACCTTCCTCTAGATTTTGTTGTGATTCTAAAACTGTTCTAAAAAACCAGTCTTTAGAAAAATTTGAGCAAGAGGGACAGAAGATTTAAAGCACTGACTTGTGAGAGAAATGTTTATAGCAGCTATTATTTTTCTTATCCCTAAATAACAGCAGAAAGTCATTTTTGAAAAATAATCAAGTAATACCAAATAATATAAAGTAAAAGCCTAAAGGTCCCTCTCTGTTTCCAACCTCTCTCAATATTCTATCCCATGGTGGAATCACTATTAAGGAGGCGTGTGTGCGTGCGTGCGTGTGTGTGTGTGTGTATACATTTAACAACAAAAAAAACAAAAAATAGTGTTATTTCATGCATATTATTTCACAATCTTTTTATAAAAACAGTATATCTTAAACTTTTTCATGTCATGGCATATATATTTCTGTAACATCAATATATAAAGGTTAATAATGATTTTCTTATTTTAGACATTTGTGTAATCTCTATTTTTCTACTATGATAAATTATGAATTTGTATTCAACAATATATTTTTAAACAATCTCATGCCATGCATATAATTCTGTATTAAGTATATATCAAAAATACTTCACCTATTGATAGATATGAGATTGTTTCTATTTTTCCATAACAATACTGCAATAAGTATACTAATAAATACATTTGTTGTAATATGCATGCACTTAGGTTTGATAAATTGTTCAGGCTGTGAAAAAGTTGTAAAATTGTATTCACATATGTTTCAAATTTTTTGTGTGATGTGAACATTTTAAACTTTCAAATTACATTTTCTCATAGAATAATAATAGCATATAAGAAAAGATTTAATTTGGACTGATGATCATACACCTACTTTGTGAGTACATGTATTTACATTTACCAAGAACCTATTATTCTGTTCTATAATGAATCATATTCTTTTCTTGTATTCTTTCATCTAAATCTTACCAAAAGACTGTAATATTATTATCTCCATTTTAACAAATAGCAAACTGAGGCTGAAGTGATTGTTTTCTGACAACCAGCAGCAGAGGGGTATACAATTCAGATCCAAGTATATCTGTCTCTATAGTCTAAACTCTTTGTGCTATACTGTATTCAGGTTCTAATGATTTCTCATTTCAGGATCATATTTTGTAAGTAAACTTTTTTTTGCAAATACTTATAATTTTGATTTTTATTTCTCATATTGATACATATTTTTTCTCTCTTATTTCTTAGGCTGAAATATGAGTCTTATTTTGTCACTGAGAGTCTTAATCAAGTTTTTCCAGTATTCTGATATTTCAGAAAAAGCATATTTGTACATGAACACTCTCTGAATTCATTATTCCAATAGGGAAGCACTTAGGAAACCTCTCAAAATTTTAAGTGCTATAAGAAAATGGTGAAGTTAAAGATTCTGAAATTTATAAGCATTTGGGTTAATCTTTTATCTCAAATACCAAGTGAGCAACTTCTTTAGAATTAAATTTTTTTGGCTGACTCCGCAATTTTACCTACTTCACAACGATAGCACCTCTTCAGTATAATTTTGTAGTCTAGTGCTTATTTCCTAATTTTAATCTATAGCATAGTAGATAAAGATTTACCTTTCCTCTAAACTCCCATGTTTTTTGTCTAAAATCTAACTTGGTATCTTTTAAGCTACAACTAAAGATCTGTCTTTTGTGCCTTTGCCTACACAAAAAGGACATTGATAGGAATAAAACTACCATTTTGAATGACTACTCCACATCAGGAATGTTGAGAAGCACTTCTGCTTATTTTACCTGTTACTCTCATTTAATCTTCACCAAAAAAGTATGATGTTGATATTATTTTTCCTGCTTCTAGATGTCAGACTACCACCTTTATGCTCCTTGGTCACTTCATTACTCCTTTTTAAGCATCAGGGCTGCTGTTTGCTTCTCCTTTCACTTTCAGTTAGCAAATGTGATTTCATATGTATGTAGTTGAATACATGAAAAAAATGTTTGCAAAATAATTAGATAGTGTTGCTGAGAGAGCTTAGGCTACAAATCTTGGTTTACCTACCAACTCTATTATTTACTACATAGTGAATTGGTGCAAGTTGCCTAACTTTATGTGCCATAGTTTCTTCACTGATAAAATGAAAATAAGACTAATATCATAGCATTAGTGGAATGATTAAATAAGAGAACATGTGTTAAGTGCTGAGTTGCGAAGTGTGGCACAGTGTATATTAATACAAACTGATGTTAATAATATGCTTTCAAGACATCTAGTCAAAAATGAATAAAAATATTTACTAGCATTTTAGAATATTTTTGCTAAAATATGGCTCTATTTGAAAACTGAAGAAATTTTGAAGGAAACAATATTTTGTTATAAATATTATTTTATCAATTCTAATATAAAATTAGCAAAACATAATATTTATTAAAAAGAGAATTAAAAATCAGGAGTATTCTAAGATCAGATAATCAGAATAAAGAAATGGCAAACCCTGGGACTTAGAGGATTTTTCACCAAGAAAGTGTTAAAGTTTGTTTTTCCATTACCTACATGTCTATTTCTTTTAGTACTGTTTAGAAATATCCCAAACCACAAAACTATCTAGCAAATGGAATTAAAAAGTCATTTTTAAAATGTTTACTGGCTTAATGCTATTAAATACATATGTAATCCAAATATTTAGTTTCAAATGTTTTTCTCAAAATATTTTTCTGCCATAGTTATTTTTTCATTTGTGCTTTTTTCTACACTCATTTCATGTCATCTAACCAGAAAATTGAGATACATTTTATAAATTATTCAAAGATTTATTGCTGTTGCACTTGAAGCATAAAAATGTGATTGATTCAGTGTTGCCAGAATGTTATATGGGGTATAAAAATTAAATAAATAGAATGTATACTTGGAGAATGTCATAAAAATTAATTATTTCAATAAACTAAATATGTTAGATTCTTAAAAATTACCTTTAGGAATCTAGGTTATTAAATAATGTATTGTTTTATGTTTGTCAAATGGCAAAAATTTCTAGCTAATATTTTATGTTGACTATTAGAAAATTTCTTGATGTCTTTGTTTTAAAGTTTCAAGATCAAAATTTATGAAACTTTCTTATATGTTCACTGCATTCTGTCACTGCTAGAATAAAATGGCAAAGGAAACACAAATCAGAAAAAAATAATCTAAAGTAGGAACTATGGCAGTTATAGATATAAGCCACTCAGATCTTCTCCAAAAAACAAACAATTGCTGTCCAGTTGCAACGAAGGTAGGTCAATAGGATGCCTCCAAATGTCGATTCTACAGGATCCACCTCAGCCTTCAAGGTCATGATATTCTTGGGACAATCCCTATGCAATTACTACACAGGTATTATTAGTTTAAGATCCTAGTGGTTTCCATCCAATGTGGGACTTTTCTAGCAGGCAGGCTTTGCTCTAGAGCTTTATCATGCTTTAACATTTTTGGTCAGGTCTGCATCTTGATCTGATGGCTCTCCTTGCCTAATTATATTTCATTTTCTTTCTCTTCACAGCTAGTAATTCCTGTGAATCTTTTGCACTGCTTACTACTTCTAAGTTTCTAGCGCCCAGAGAATCCAATCAGCTCAGGAATTAAATTCAAATGTTTTTCCAACGACATTATTGCATTTGAAGAATGAAATACTATTTTTCCAAAACAAAATATGCTTACCAAAACACCTAACTTAATAACTGCTTGAGTACAACTTCAATTTTTCCCCAACATGGGTGAAACTATTTTGCCTGTCTAATTTATATCTGCACATATTATTTATGACTGATCTTTTCCCATTACTGGTCTCTTTCTATTTTATTAGGTGAATGAATATGGATGGGTAGATTCATGACCAAAAATTATATAGCATAGTAATACTGTTAGTTATGCTATTGGGTTTTAAAGTACAGATTTTAAAAATAGTATCATTAAATTATATCTTAAGATATTTAAGTTGAATTAGAGGGAGATAAATTTCAGTGGGAATCAGTGAGAAATCAAGCTTTGCAGATGAAACAGGATTGGGAATCTCTGACATTTATGCACAATAACAGCTGACAGAGCGAATCATGTTAGCTCACTCACATTAGAAAGTATGAATATAATTTTGTCTTGTTTTATTTCTATCCTTGATGTGTGTTGTATAATATTTCTTTGGCAGGAAAGATAAGAAGCAGAGATTAAAACCATTCTATAAAGAAGACTTCAGTGCATGTGCCAGAGTAATCCATAGATATAATAACTTCTTAAATGAATGATCTCTCTGAAATATCTGTAAATATGTTTTTCAATTGAATGTTTTCATACTTGGATTTATTATAAATTCATTAAGGGAGCTTGCAGAATGAATGAATTTCTTTTGCGAATTATCTTGGAAAATTAATAGTCAACTCAATTTACTACTAGTATGTTGAATTTTCTTAAGATAAGAAAATCATGTATATTCAAATATCCTCCATGAGCACATGTTTTTCTCTCTCTTTTTTAAATTTTTTCTTTTGAGAATGAAGTTTCGCTTTTTTGTCCAAGCTGGAATGCAGTGGCATGATCTCAGCTCACTGCAACCTCCACCTTCCAGTTTCAAGCTATTCTCCTGCCTCAGCCTCCCAAGTAGCTGGGATTACAGGCGCCTGCCATCACATCCAGCTAATTTTTAGTAGAGACTGGGTTTCACCATGTTGGCCAGGCTGGTCTCGAACTACTGACCTCGTGATCCGCCCACCTTGGCCTCCCAAAGTGCTGGGATTACAGATGCTATACATAGCTACAAAAACCAACATACATCAAAATTAAAATATTGGGAAAAAGCCAATCTTAGATTGTCTGGCATTGAGGAAATAATTCTGCTTCTAGAAAAAAAAATGTACTAATAAAAACATAAGTGGAGTGCTTACATGTATAAACAGCATAAAATGAGGAACAACAACAGAAACATAATAATTTGTATGACAACTTTCCTCTAAAGAGATCAAAGTGCTCTCCAGGGCACTACCTCATTTAACCTTAACTTCCTCCCTGCTTGAAAAGTTAACAATTCAACATCTATTACATTTCATTAATTCCCAGCTCCCTCTATTTTTCCTGAAGTAGAAAAGCTTAAATCAGACAAAACTTTTACAAGCTTGCTTCAAAGTTGAATCTAAAATATGGACATTATTATTACTACCACAAGCTCTAAGATCACATATTTTTAAGACAAGAATTCCTAAAATATCAATCTGTTCTAGATATAATTACAGACAGTTGCAGGAAAATCATGAATTTTTCGATTCAGACAAACAGCTTTAAATCAGGCTGCAATCCAGAAATTTAAATAACTGGTGATTTAACCTACTACATAAATAGTTCAGGTTTACAAAAAATGCCTCCTTTCTCAGGAATCTCTTAATCTAAGACATAAAAATTGCTATTCTTGCCTCTATAGTCTCCAACCAATAGGCAGCCTTTCTTTTAAAATGAAAGTTATAGAATGTTTACATGGAATTTATGTTACAGGCAGTAAGGTATTATATATCTCTGTGTGTTTGTGTATGTATGTGTGTGTGTACACACATACACACACACATACACACATATATACCTTATAATATATATGTTTGGAACACATACACATTATATGTGTGTATGTGTGGATTAAATGTGTTTTGGAGATGGGACAATTGAAAGGTAATTAGGTCATAAAGGTGGATACCTCATGAATGGAATTAATGCACTTATGAAAACAGGCCAGAGAGCTAACTAGATCTTTTTCTGCCATGTGAGAATACAACAAGAAGTTAGCATTCTGCATCCCAGAAGAGGACACTCACTAGAACCCAACTGTGCTACATCCTGATCCTGATCTCAGATTTCCAGTTCCCAGTACTGTGAGAAATAATTTGCTGCTGTTTATAATTCATCCAGTCTATGGTCATTTGTTTTAACAGCCCAAACTGAAATAGACAATATGACATTAGAAAGTTAGGAACCAGACTTTCCTTTCCTTGTGATCTTATGATATTCATCTATTTTTTTCCTCCAACATGCTAATCATAAATCTGATGCAGGGTATTTGTACTTGCTCTTCCTTCTGCCTGGATCTCTCCTTCCCCAGAATTCACAGAGGTCTCCCTCACCTTTACTTTATTCAGGCATCTGCTGAAAAATCACCTCCTTTAAACACTTATCTGAACGACAGATATTTAAGTAAGAACCTACATCTCCACCCACCAGCCTCTAAAACTTGCAGTCCTTTCTTTTTCATGTATAGCATTCTTCAGTCTGACAATACATTATTTATATTTCTGTTGTATTCATTTATCATTTATCACTGGTCTCTCCCTCTGAAATTCATATGCCATAAAGGCAGGTAATGTTATTCACTGCTGTGTTTAGAGCAATGTTTGGTCCATAATATTGACTCAATATATATTTGATGAACAAATGAATTAATGAATTCATCTAAACAAAACATCTGCTATTTTCTCTCTTGAAAAAAATTTCACCTAATTAATAATAAAAGGATTATTAATTAGCTTAGACATTACTATTCAGAATCTTTTCAAATAAGTTGGCTTCTCAATATAAGATTTTTAGGAAGCAAACAGGATGTGTTATATGTAAAATATAACATAAATGACTAACGAATACACATTATAAGGTATTTTACAATGTCACTGGAATGATATTGTTTTGCCGAAATCAACCCTGGAAGAAATGGTCAATTCTATCATTATAATATTCCCCTATAACAATGAGATTTAACTTTCTGGGTAACAAAATATCTTAGAGTTAATAAAACTATAAAAATTATTTCCTGCAAAATGTGTTTAAGCAAATATCTTTTTTTTTTTTTTTTTTTTTTGAGACGGAGTCTCGCTCTGTCGCCCAGGCTGGAGTGCATTGGCGCGAGCTCTGCTCACTGCAAGCTCCGCCTCCTGGGTTCACGCCATCCTGCCTCGGCCTGGCCTCTCAGAGTAGCTGGGACCACAGGTGGCCACCACTGTGCCGGGCTAATTTTTTTGTATTTTCAGTAGAGACGGGGTTTCACCGTGGTCTCGATCTCCTGACCTCGTGATCCGCCCGCCTCTGCCTCCCAAAGTGCTGGGATTACAAGCGTGAGCCACCGCGCCCAGCCGCAAATATCTTAAAATACGATATATTCAATGTCAGTGAGCCTGGATGTAAGACTAAGAACTGCAGCCATAGACCAAGAGCATTTAGTGTTAGAAAGCAGTTTTAGAATCCTCCAGTCAAAATCCCTCATTTTAAAAGTGAATAAATAGAACCATAGAGAGTTAACATGGCTTGTGGAAGGACACACAGCTGCTAAGTGGTAGATCAATATTTTAAACAGAACATGAAAACTTAGTGCTTTTTCAATAACATATATGCTAAAAAGACTTTCAAAAACAAAATTTCTGATACAACAGCTTGCATACGTTATGAAGTCACTTGAATATCTCTGATGAAATAAAATGGTAAATGCCACAAGAAAGTTCCACTAGGTCTTGTACTTCATACTTATTTTTCCAAAATGCTTTATAAATACTTTTTTTCACCACTCCAACCGTCTATGTATATTTCTTCAATGTCTTTTAAAATCCTCTCAATAAAGTATATCATCATATATGCCAAATAAATATTTTCTTAAACTAATATGTCCATTTTTTAATATTTAATGAAAGTAAAATTTTTGACAAAGGCATGCTACACTATTATTTCTTATCCTGATTTGTTGGAGAAAATTTGTATGTACATTTTCTCATTTTTAGGCTTTTATTTATATTTTTATGTACATAATTTTTTATATATGCCTTTGGGAATATTAATTTTTCAATGGAGAAAAAATGTACAGTGAAAATGTTAAGAGTTGATTGAAATAAAGCCTTGTTTGAGTGAAAGCCTTTTTTGACTTCTCTTCCAGCAACAGTATGAGAGCTTTTCCGATGTTCACTGATTCAACTATGACAGAATGTCTATATAGTATACATTTTCCATAGATTTTTAAAATTCATTTAAAAAACTGTTTCTTTTTTAGCATCCCCCCTAATTATTCTAGACAACATGTAAGTGTGGCTAACAGTTTTGGTGGCAAAATATGTAAGAAGAGAACAGATATCCCATAGGGAAACTACTCAATAGAAATGTAAAATATGATAAGTAGAGTAAATTATCAGAAAGAATGCTAACCTAATAACATTGTTACAAATTTAATTATGGATGAGTCATAATCACTTCAGTGCAATAATTTCCTAAGCACAGGTAAGATAAGAAATACATTAATTGATCTTTTCTCTTTAAGCAGTTCTTGAATTATAAAGTGATATATCAAAGACATGGTGCTGCAAGACATACATGAAGTTTTGGTGAAGATTTGAGAAAATGTAGTACTGTCCTAGAAATAGCTAATAGCAGAAGAGTAAAGAAAAATATCCATAATACTCTAGAATAAAAATTTTAGGTAATAGCTAGTTAATTTGGGACATAGAAGAGAACAAAAGAGGTAAAACCATGGGAAAATGTTTATCAATTAAAAATTAAAATATTTAAATACACTTTTCTAGTGTGATATAAAATGAAATAATAAGTTAAAATGATGAAACAACGTCCAAATATATACATTATTATGATGAATGCAAATGGACTAAATTTAAAAGTTAAAAGATAAAAATTCACAAATTGGATAAAATGAATGCAAATTCCAGAAATTCACTGTTTACAAGAGGCATGAAAAAGCATAAAATCAAAAAATTTTAAAGAACTGGGAAAAGACACATGAAGCAAATGTTAACTCCAAGATAATGTTTCAGTTTAGTATCATATACAATAAGATTAAAAGGTAAAGATATAAACCTACAGAAATGACACTAAGATGTTAATTATAAAGAAAAATCAATTTTATACTGTAAACTACTTATAAAATAAGCTCAAAACATGAAGCAAGACTTGATAGAACTATAGAGAAAAACTGACAAATCTACCATTATAAATTATTTCTCTATTATTCATAAGTCAAAAATTTAGCAATAATATAGCAAGGGCGTAGAATATATAAAAACAAAGTGACAATTTAATCTAATGAAAACATTTAGTCATGAAGTCTTTGCCCATGCCTATATCCTGAATGGTATTGCCTAGGTTTTCTTCTAGGTTTTTTATGGTTTTAGGTCTTACGTTTAAGTCTATAATCCATCTTGAGTTAATTTTTGTATAAAGCGTAAGGAAGGGGTCCAGTTTCAGTTTTCCACATATGGCTAGTCAGTTTTCCCAACACCATTTATTAAATAGGTAATCCTTTCCCTATTGCTTGTTTTTGTCAGGTTTGTCAAAGATCAGATGGTTGTAGATGTGTGGTGTTATTTCTGAGGCATCTGTTCTGTTCCAGTGGTCTATATATCTGTTTTGGTACCAGAACCATGCTGTTTTGTTTACTGTAGCTTTATAGTATAGTTTGAAGTCAAGTAGTGTGATGCCTCCAGCTTTATTCTTTTTGCTTAGGATTGTCTTGGATACATGGGCTCTTTTTTAGTTCCATGTGAAATTTAAAGTAGTTTTTTCTAATTCTGTGAAGAAATTCAGTGGTAGCTTGATGGGGATAACCTTGAATCTATAAATTACTTTGGGCAGTATGGCCATTTTCATGATACTGATTCTTAATTAAACTAAAGAGCTTAATTAAACTAAAGAGCTTCTGCACAGCAAAAGAAGCTATCATCAGAGTGAACAGGCAACCTACAGAATGGGAGAAAATTTTTGCAATCTATCTATCTGATAAAGGGCTAATATCCAGAATCTACAAGGAACTTAAACAAATTTACAAGAAAAATAAAAAACAACCCCATCAAAAGTGGGTAAAGGATATGAACAGACACTTCTTAAAAGAAGACATGTATACGGCCAATAAACATGGAAAAAGCTCATCATCACTGTTCATTAGAGAAATGTAAATCAAAACCACAATGAGATACAATCTCATGCCAGTTAGAATGGTGATCATTAAAAAGTCAGGAAACAACAGATGCTGGAGAGGATGTGGAGAAATAGGAATGCTTTTACACTGTTGCTGGGAGTATAAATCAGTTCAACCATTGTGGAAGACAGTGTGACAATTCCTCGTGATCTACAACCAGAAATACCATTTGACCCAGCAATCAATTACTGGATATATACACAAAGGATTATAAATCATGCTACTATAAAGACACGTGCACACATATGTTTCTCACAGCACTATTCACAATAACAAAGACTTGGAATCAAACCAAATACCCATCAATGATAGACTGGATAAAGAAAATGTGGCACATATACACCATGGAATACTATGCAGCCATAAAAAAGAATGAGTTCATGTCCTTTGCAGGAACATGCATGAAGCTAGAAACCATCATTCTTAGCAAACTAACACAGGAACAGAAAGCCAAACACTGCATGTTCTCACTTATAAGTGGGAGTTGAACAATGAGAACACATGGACACCTGGAGGGGAACATCACACACCTGGGCCTTTTAGGGGGTACGGGGCTGGGGGAAGGATAGCATTAGGAGAAATACCTAATGTAGATGACGGGTTGATGGGTGTAGCAAACTACCATGGCACACATATACCTATATATCAAACTTGCATGTTCTGCACGTGTATCCCAGAACTTAAACTATAGTAATAATAAAAAAAGAAAGTCAGGAGGTAACATTTAAGCTGAGACCCATAAGATGACAAGAATCCAACTATGCTGAAAGTCACAGAAATAGTATGTTCAGGCAGAAGTGTCAACATGTGAACAGGCCAGATAGCAGAGCTTGCTGTATTTCTCTCCAGAGAAAATATGTATATATGTGTGACTGTATTTGTGTGCACACATAGGTTGGTAAACATCTATATAACTAAAGCTATCTCAAATGGCATAATATAAATGCATGGGCTCTGGAATTAAACAGCCCAGGGGCAAATCCTGCTGCTTACAATTAGCAGCAAAGGATGTTCTGCAATTCACTTAACTCTTAGTTTCAACACTTTCTTCTGTTAAGTGAGGCTTGTTATATACATGCAGCAGGACTTTTGTGGGGGTTAAATGTGATTATGTATGTTAAGTATCTAGCAAGATAGTAGAATACTATATAATGTGAAAAAAAAAGAAAATATTTGGAGTTCTCTGTACAGCAATTAGAGTGAATATGCATCTGTATTAACACTCATGGAACATTTACAATAATGAGTTATTTACAAGGTAAAATTCCTCAAAACATAAATAATAGTTGTCAAAAATATAATCTTTCACTATAATACAGCAGTTATAATTAGCAAAAAGATAAATTTTAAATCATATATTTGGAAAGAAAAAAATACATGTTACATAACTAAAGAATAAATAATAAATAATGTAAAAAATGGAGCAAATAGTAGAATGCATTAAAATTACACTGTAAACAGCACATGTGGGGTTTGAGATGTAACAATAGTTGTGCATTATGGAGAAATCTGTAGTCTTGCATGACTATATTGAAAAGACAAAAATTAATATAAAGAGCTTAGGGTCCATCATTAATTAGTAGAAAAAAACAGAATGAACCCAAATGAATGGAATGATAGATTTAAAAATAAAACCAGGGATTAATAAGCTACAAAATAAAGATACTATACAAAAAACAACAAAGCCAAAAGCTTCTTCATTGTAAAAGCTGACAATATCAACAAATCTCTGGCAGTGCTTATCAAGAGAAGAGAAGAAAAGTAATAAAAACTATTTTGAATAAAAATAGATACATATATATAGGCAAAAGATATTAGACAATAATAATAGAACATCAATAACAGTATACCAAATAGTTTTAAAATGTAGATAAAAGGCACAAATTTCTTGAGAAATTCTTTCTACTAAAAAGGCTCTACAAGAATGAAAAGTTTGAAGATTTCTATAATAATTAAAGAAACTGATGTCAGGATAAAATTTTTCTGCATAGAAAACATCAGGCCCAGAAAGTTTCATAAGAAAATTCTATTAACCTTTCAAGGAACAGATTATCCCAATTCTATTTAAACTTTTCCAGACAGTAGGATAAAAAGGAAATTTTCTTCAATTCATTCTAAGAAGCCAGCATAAACCTGATACACATATTATCCTAAATGTAGAAATTTTAGAAGACTTATTATCATAAAGGTATCAATTTGCTACAAATTGACCTGTACATTTCATGAAATTCCAAGAAAAATCATATATTTTAATGAATTTTAGAATTACTATAAAATTTACATGAAGAGCTATAATTCTAAGAAAACAGAATACATCCAAAGAATAACCAAAGGGGAATTGTCATATAAGAGTTTAATTCTAAGAAAACAGAATACATCCAAAGAATAACCAAAGGGGAATTGTCATATAAGAGTTTAAGCTTTTCTATGAAGATATAGTTTATAAGTTGACTGAGAAGAGAGAGAGAAAGAGAGAGGAGCCAATTAACTGACCTACCTATGTAGGAAACTTTTGTATATGTTAAAACTGCCAGTTCAGATAAGCACTAAAAGAAAAACTTTTCAATTAGTGGAGTTGGAAAAAAAATGGTTTTCTTAAAGAATATAGCATTAAATCCTATCATCACTATATATTATAATCAACTCCAGATGCATTACGGAGTTATGTGCCTAAACTCTTAGTAGAAAACAACTTAAAAACTGAGGAATAAAAATATGCATGGCTTTCAATCTGTGTATTTATATTTAAATAACATCTCTTCTAAAGACCATAAAATTTAGTATTAAATTTATTCAGCCTGGCAATCAATGCATGATATAATTTTGCCGAGTCCACACCCAAATCTCATCTTGAATTGTAGTTCCCATAATCCCCACGTGTTAACAAGAGGGACCAGGTGGAGATAATTGAATCATGGGGGTGGTTTCCCACATCCTGTTCTCATGATAGTGAGTTCGTTTTCATGAACTCTGATAGTTTTCCCAGGCACTCATTCTCCTTCCTGCTGCCCTGTGAAGACGGAGTGTTTGCTTCCCCTTTAGCCATAATTGTAAGTTTAGTGAGGCCTCTCCAACCATGCTGAACTGAGTCACTTAAACCTCTTTTCTTTATAAATTATCCAGTCTCAAGTATGTCTTTATTAGCAGTGTGAGAATGAATGAATACAATAAATTGGTACCGCAAAGAGTGGGGTGCTGCTATAAAGACACTCGAAAATGTGGAAGTGACTTTGGAACTGATTAACAGGCTTTATAAATTACCCAGTCTCAGGTATTTCTTCATAGCAGCATGAGAACAGACTAATACACTGCCTTTAAATTAGAGTGCTTAATCCGTTTACATTTAATGGAATTAAATGTCCTCATGTGTCCTCTTCTCTGTGTCAGTGTCTCCCTGGTATCTCTTCCTCCTCTTATAAGTATACCCGTCATATTGGATTAAGACACCACTGATGATCTCATTTGACCTTCATTGCATTTTCTAAGGTCCCATTCTCCAAATATAGACAATTTAGAGTTTAGGGCGTCAATATATGAATATGAATTTTGGTGGTCACAATTCCATCCACAACACTGTTCTCCACTTCTGTCGTTTTTCATCATATCTTCATTTTATTGTTTAGTCATAAGTGTATTGTCTTGAAATTGTAATGCACATCCCTAACTTATCAAATTCTACCTGAGACTAATATTATGCCACTTTACATATTATCTAGGAAACATACAACAATATAATTCCATTGACTACTCAGTTGTTTTGATTATTGATGTCACGTTTTGTTTCTCCTATGCATTAAAAAAAACCCAAAATACATTATAGAATATTTTATTTATTTATTTATTTTTCATTATTTTTTCCCATCACTTCGAGGATTGTTCTTTTCTTTGTGTTACAAACAATCCAATTATATCCTTTTCATTATTTAAAACTCGACAATAAATTATTGTTGACTGTAGTCACCCTATTGTGCTATCAAGTGCTACATCTTATGCATTCTATGTAACTATATTTTTACACCCATTAACCATCCACCCCACCCCACCCATTACACTTTCCAGCCTCTGGTAATCATTATTCTGCTCTCTATTTCCATGAGTTTAATTGTTTTAATTTTTAACTCCGACAAATAAATAAGAACATGCTTGTGTTTCTCTGCCTGGCATATTTTTGCCTAACATATTGTCCTCCAGTTTCATCTATGTTGTTGCAAATGACAGGAACTCATTCTTTTTTATGGCTGAATAATAACCTATTGTGTATATGAATATTTTTATTTATTTAAACTGACAATTATTTTATAAAATAAATTAAGAAAACACAAAGTAGTCTTTAACGCGAGCCTGCATATTTACCATATCTGGTACTCTTTATTCCTTCTTCTACATTTGCATTTCCTTCTTGTATTATTTTTCTTCATCCCTGAACAATTTTTCTTAGTGTCTGTTTTAGTACATGTCTGCTGGCTATATACCTTCATACCTTTCATTTATCTAAAAATAGGTTTATTTGGTCCTGATTTTTAAAATATAATCTTAATAGATATAAAATTCCATGTTTAAAATTTGTTGTTTTCTGCCTTCTGGCTTACATATTTTTTAATAATAAGACTATTATCATTCTTATAATTATTCCTCTTCATACTATGTATTTTTTCTCCTGGATGCCATTAACATGTTCTTTTGGTTTCCAGTGATTTAACTACAATGGCCTTGTTGGGGTTTTCCTTGTTATATTTCCACTAAGTATTTGTTGTTACATCAGTAGGTTGAGATTTTTTATTCTCCCATTCTTTTCTTCTAAGCCTTTAATTACACTTAAGATAGATTTGTTGATATTTTCTTATAGGTTAGTGATACTCACTTTACACTTTTTATTCTTTTTACCCTCTCTCTTCCTGTTTTAATTTAGATAAATTTTATGTTAGTTTATTGATTTTTTTTCTGCAATGTGCTTTTACCCCCATGCAATACTTTTTAAAATGTCAGGTATTTTATTTTTCATTTCTAGAATTCATAATTTATTCATATTTTATTTACATCCATTATTATTTGCTAAGCCTAAAGAAAATGGGAATTTTCCTCTCCATGTTTTTCAAGTTGTTAACGCAGTAGCAAAAGATTTTCACATAGTTCCATATCTTAGCTAGAAGGGTTAGTGCACAAATGTATATGCCTAGGAAGATATTTTAAGGGCTAATGGCTTCAGGAACACCCTCCCCAATAAACTAACTAAATAAATAAAAATAATAAATTCTTCTGAAAAAAACAATAACATTAAAATAATTCAAACTGAACAAAATCTGTACTCTGAGATTTTTTTCTAAATTTTAAACTTAATGTATTTAAAGATTTCGATGAACAGATTTTTAAAACCTCACAAGTACCCTCTTGAATTACTATCTCTACATATTTATATATATATAATTCTATATGTAATATATATATTTTACCAACCTTCTAAAGATAACTCAACTACTATTCAGAAATACTTATCTCAGTACATGCCAATGTTTAAAGTTAAACTAGTTTCTATAAATTAAAAATATATATTGAGCAAATTGTTTTTAAATAATGAAAAAGAAATACAAGTAGTTTATTTCTTATGATTCATGTATTATAATGTTTCAGAATTACATAAGTTGCCATTAACTAAGAAATTTATCTGCTATTTTAGAGGCACTTGCTAAGGTGGGAAGTTTAATCCCTGAAATAGATAAATATCAATGTAAGAAAAAGTTTCCTTTTAGTATTTCTCAAATCGGTTTTATCCCATTGTCATAAGAGCATTGAGGATGTGGTGCAAACATTTAGTGCTGTGGGATTACAAATGTGGAGAAATTAGCACCAAAGATTGAAGGAGAGTTGGATTTTGGAAGGCTTCTATACTTGTATCACTGATTATCAAAATTTCTGGGACATCAGAGTTATCCCGGCATTATCCAGACCCAGGAATCAGAATGTGGTAGCAAGTCCTGACATTTATCTTTTAATATGTCTTCCAATTGGTTATGCTAATCAACCAGGTTACGCTAATCAACCAGGTTTGGAAATACTGAATCAGATGTCATTTGAGCTGAATTCTGAAGAATGCATAAACAAGCACAGAACAGATTAGTGGTAACTTGCTTTTAAGAAAGAGAGATGAACACTAAGATATGGCCATATTTTAAAAGAAAAAAGGACACCAGTTAGGCTTTGTAATTTACAAGAGTGAGTCTGCCAAGAATATAAGAATGGACAAGAGTGAGAGAAGAGAAGAGAGACACTTGATTAGGGAGTTTATTTAGATAGGCCAGGAGAGAACTAATGAGAATTTGAGCTATGAGAAGTAGAGAATCTGGGTGACTTACAGATGTAGCTGTTCTCTCATAGTGTAGCAATGCATTTTTATTTGACAGTATCTTCAGTGCTTTTTGAACAGAGAAACATTGTGTAATCTTTAACTTGGCTCCCTTAGAAAGAAAACCTCTTCTTAGGTAATGCCTTTGTAACTGGCTTACAGGGTCCTCAGGTCTGTGCTTTTTCTCTTCTGAGAAAAGGTCCTATTTTTGTCACACAAGTAAGTGGTAAATGTCTCAAATTAGATCTAACGTAAGGAGTAACATCTTGACTCTGTGGCTGATTTAAGATAAGGGCACAAGGCCCATGAAGGGCCAAACTACCTGCTTCCCTTTTTATCTGTGACTGATAGTTGGAAGAATATGAGCAGGGGCTCTGTTGTGTTACTCCCTACATTAAGACAGCCCACTTACATTAGGAAAGAATAAGGCCAACACAGAGAGAAGCAGAAACATAGACAAACCTGTTAATACTATATTTCTTTTTCTTAGTCTTCCCCAAAACAACCTACAAATCTGCGCTGAACAAAGTTTCTAAATATGAGCAAAAAATGTCCCATTTGATTATACCAGAATACATAGCTTAAGTTTTTCTCTAACACAGTAAAGAAGTCCAACACCTCCCATTACCACTGTCAAGCCCACTCTTAAAACTTGCCGCATCTCCCCAATCACCTATCTCAAGCTGCTTCTTCTTAGTGGAATCAAATCCCTATTAAGTATGGAACAGCTCTCTTTCAAGGGTGATTATCCGCCTGTCTCCTTTAGTCACAGATTACAATTGCCATTAAAATTGGAGGAGTTCAGAGGATATACAAAGGCATAAGTAATAGAAATTTGTGTAGTTTTTAAAAAAAAAAAACTTCATCTTATATTTCTGGAAAAAAGACAACCTGAAAGTTTAAATGTTTGTACACGTGCCAATGCTACCCTTCTGTCATTACTAGGTGGAATGAGAATCTCTCAGGTTCTTCACTGTTTTGTTTTTGTCCTTTTCTAAAACTTGTTAGACAATAATTTGGGCCATTTTCATTCACTAACCTTCCATGTGCTTGCATAAATAAATAAACAACCACTATGATGTCTCTTTTCCAAAGGAAAAATACAAAAAATTTTCTCCTTAATTTTTATTAACTGAAAAGAAAAACAAATTGAACACTGAAAGGTCTTTCGTAAAAAATAAAAATAATAAAAAAGAGGAATAAGGCCCTTTATTGTATAGTATGTAAAGAGAATTATCCGCTATGGCATTAACCTTTTAAGTAAACAAGGTCTTATAAAATAGAAGTTTATAAATTTATGATCTTTACTTTTCAATATTTTATAAGACACAGATTAAAATAATGGTACTAATAATATATGTAGTATATGCCTTTAAAATTTGTCAAACTTTTTATAACTGCTCATGCATCTTTTTCTCACATTACAGGATTAAACAATTAAGCTTTCTCCATGGTAGAGTTCAACCTAATGGTATAATAGAACTAGTTAAACCTAGTATATTGAACATCAAAATATAGACTTTTTCACAATAATTCATCTGCTTTGATGAATTAGAGAAAATTCAATATTATCCTTGTAATAACTCAGTCATTTTCATTGTTAAATCTTTTCGCCTGTGTAGGTGAAAAGGACATGAAGTAATGGATAATGTGCTTGGAATTCAGCACACTATAACCTGCCTTTTTTTCAGCCTCAGCCCTACAAAAGATTTCATTTAAGGACTTAATTGTTATGTTGAATATAGATTATGAAGGAGCTTTATTTTGTTAAAAATAATTTTGGCTTCATTAAAATATGAATGTTTTTCTAGCATTGTTATGCATGTGAGTAACATCCATTATAGTGACCAGTGGCCATTCATTTTGGGAGAAAGGGGATTGTGGATCAACAGATTGTTGATCAACTAGATTGTGGATCAACTAGATTGTCATCTTTAGATTGTTGATCAACTAGATTGTGGATCAACTAGATTGTCATCTTTACCTACTCAATAAATCTTCACTGGGTTCCCAATATGTGAAAAGGCTCTAAAACGCTGTTAACTCTAATTTCTTGTAATTAGTAGAAGAAATATTAATATTAAATGGTAAATTTTTCACCAATATCAGAGTAGTATTTTTTGTTGAGTTCATTTGCTGCTACTTACACCTACCTCATTGTTAGAAAAATATTTTTAAAAGACTGTCAGTTCTCTTGTTCCCATAAGCTTGGATTAAGGAAGAAAAATTAGTCTAACAAAAATAAGAATGTAATGACATTTTGAAAGTTTTCACATGATTTGGGGATATATCATCAAATTGAAGGGCTGTTAAATTAAATAAGGCTTCTTTTAGCTGCATTTGTTTAGGCTCCTTAAGCCAAAATGTCAGAGGTGTTTGAACCAAAGCAACTCCATCTTGAAGAGGGGCTGGATAAAATAAGGCGAAGGCCTACTGGGTTTCATTCCCAGTAGGTTAAGGCATTCTTAGTCACAGGATGAGATAGGAGGTCTGCACAAGATACAGGTCATAAAGACCTTGCTGATAAAACAGATTGCAATAAAGAATCTGGCCAAATCCCACCAAAACTAAGACGGCATTAAGAGTGACCTCTCATCATCCTCACTGCTACACTCCCACCAGTGCCATGACAGTTTACAACTGCCAAGGCAATGTCAGGAAGTTACCCTATATGGCCTAAAAAGAGGAGGTCTGAATAATCCACCACTTGTTTAGCATGAAATAACCATCAAGAAATACCCATAAAAACGGGCAACCAGCCCTTGGGGCTGCTCTGTCTATGGAGTAGCCATTCTTTTATTCCTTTACTTCCTTAATAAACTTGCTTTCACTTTACTCGGAAGACTCACCCTCAATTTTTTTTTTTTTTTTTTATGCATGAGATCCAAGTACCATCTTTTGGGAGTCTCAATCAGGATCCCTTTCCTGTACCAATCCATTGTAAAATTCAATCTGATTAATGCTAAGCATACATATGCCCAGTAGCAGAGACGTGACTATGCAGTTTCTGTTAACGATTTTTTCTAAAACACAGTGGCTTACAAATAATTGTATTCTTAATTTCAAGGTCTTTATTACTATTCTTTTAATTAATATATGTGTGTGTTTATATATGTGTACATACTATATAGGTATATATTCTTTATTATGTATATACTCTTTGACAACTAATTTGTATTTTTCTTTTTTCATATTAATGATCTTCAAAACCAATTTTAAAAAGAATTATAGTTAAAATATCATTAAGCTAAAATGATAAATTATCAGTTATTATCTAACTCATGAGATATTTAAAAAAATACATTTCTGGAATCAAAAGAGAAACCAAAATGTATCTTGAGACAAACAAAAATGGAAACACAATATATCAAAGTTTATGGGATGCAGCAAAAGAAGTTGTAAGGTTAAAATTTATAGAGATAAATGCCTACATTAAAAAAAAATCTCAAATACACAACCTAACTTTAACCTAAGGGGATTATAAAAAGAAAAACAAACTAAGCCTAAAGTTAGCAGAAAAAAATAAAATAGTGATTAGAGCAGAAATAAATAAAGACTAGAAAAAGTAAAAATATCAATGAAACTAAGAGTTTATTTTTAAAACCATGAATGAAATTTACAAACATTTAGCTAGACTAAGGAAGATAAATACAAGATAAATACAGAAAACTCAAATAAAAATATAATAAAAGAGGAGATAATACAACAGACGCCACAGAAATGCAAAGGATTATAAGAGACAATTATAAACAATTACATGCCAACAAATTGGATAACCTAGAGGAAATCGATAAATTCCTAGAAGCATGCAATACATCAAGACTGAATCGCAACAAAATAGCAAACCTAAACAGAAAAATAAGTAAGGAGATAGATATAGAATAAAAAACCTACCAACCAAGAAAAGCCAAGAACCAGATGGCTTCATGGGTGAATTCTACCACACATTTAAAGAATAGTTAGTACAAATTTTTCTCAAACTCTTCCTAAAATTTGCAGCATAGGAACCCTTCTAAATTCATTTTATGGGGCCAGGATTACCCTCATACCAAAGTGAGATAAGTACACTATACAAAAAGAAAATTACACACCAATATTCCTAATGATCCATGGGATGCAAGGATGATTCAACAATGTCAAATCAACAAATGTCATATACTACATTAATAGCATAAGGAGTGTGAATTATATAATCATCTTAATAGATGCTGAGAAATCATTTGACAAAATTTAAGATGGTTTCATAATAAAAACTCTCAGAAGATAAGGTAGACAAGAAATGTACCTCAACATAACAAAGGCCATTTATGACAAATTTGCTATTAATACCATGTCCAACTATGAAAAGTTGAAAGCTTTTCCTCTGAGATAAGGAACAAGACAAGAGTGCCTGCTCTCACCATGACTTCTGTTAACAGAGTACTGGAAATCCTATCCAGAGCAATTAGGCAAGAAATAGAATTAAAAATCATCCAAATGTATCTTTTAAATAGTTAAATTGTTTCTGTTTTGAGATGACATAATCTTATATACAGAAAATTATCAGGACTTAACCAAAAATCTGTTAGAAATAATTTTTAGAAAATACAGGATACAAAAATCAACATGCAGGAGAAAGGCAGAGGAAGATGGCAGGATAGAATGCTCTAGTTTTCCCCACCCCACAAAGACACCAATTTAACAACTATCTACACAGAAAAAAAAATACATTCATAAAAAACAAATCTAGATGAGCCTTCATGGTACCTAGTTTCAACTTTGTATCATTGAAAGAGCCACGAAAAGATGGAAAAAACAATCCTGAATCACTGACATGAACCTCTCCCTGACACCTTAGCAGCAACTGTGTGTTGTGTATAGTCTCTGCATGCTGCAGGAGGGAAAAAACAGCAATTGTGAGGCATTGAACTCAGTACTGTCCTATTACAGCAGAAAGAAAAAATGAACCAAACTCAGCTAAAACCTACCCAGAAACAGCCCTAGCCAGAAGGGAATCATGGATCCCAGTGGTCATAACTTGAGTTCCCACAAACCTTACCACCTAGGGCTACAGTGCTCTGTCCCCAAGTAAACTTGAAAGGCAGTCTAGACCATTAGGACTGCAATTCTTAGGCCATGTCCTAGTGCTGAACTAGACCCAGAGACAATAGATGATAAGAGCCCATGACATACGAAGATGCTGGCTGGGGATGCTAAGGGAGTGCTGGCATGAGCCCCTCCACTAAACACAGGCTGCACATCCACTAGTTTCAAAAAAGACCTCTTGCTTCCCCTTTAAAAGAGGAGAGGGAAGAGTGGGAAGGACTTTGTCTTGCATCTTGGATACCAGGTCAGCCACAACAGGATAGGGCACCAGTCAGAGTCCTGAGGCCACCATTCTGGGTCTTAGCTAAACACCCTGGGCCAGAAGGAAACCCACAGCCTTGAAGAAAATGACCCAAGCATAGCAGCATTCATTACCTGCTAATTGGCAAGTCCTTGGGCCATGAATAATCAGCAGAAATACCCAGGTATTACATGGGGGGCTTTTGTTGAGCTTGAGACTTGCTGGCTTCAGGTGAAACTCAATACATTGTCAGCTGTGTTGACTATGAGGCAAAGCTTCTGCTTAAGAAAAGGAGAGGGAAAAGGAAAGGGAAGTTTGTCTTGCACCTTAGATACCAGCACAGCCACAAGGGAGTACAGCGATCAACAGACTCTTGAGGTCGCTGATACCAGGACTTGATTCTGTGATAGCATTTCTGGACCTTCTCTGAACCAGAGGAGTGCCTATTGCCCTGAAGAGTGAGCGGCAAGCCAGGCAGCATGCACTACAAGCTGACTTAAGAGTCCTTGGACCTTAAGGGAATATTGTGGTGGTCTGGCAGTACTCCTCTTGGCCTGGTTGAGACTCTTCTGCATTTCAAAAAGGGAAGGGAGAGTAGGAAGTACAGTGACTTGTGGTCTGAGTTCCAGCTCAGCTGCAGTACAATAGAATACCAGGTAGACTTTTAAAGTTTTTGACCCTAGTCCCTATCTCTTGGATGACACCTCTGGACCCACCTGGGGCCTGAGGGACCTTGTTGCCCTAAACAGAAGAATACAGGCCTGGCTGGCTTTGCCACTGGCTGATTGTAGAGTCCCAGGGCCTTGAATGAACATAGGTAGTAGGCAGGAAGTGATGACAGCAGACCTTGGGTGAGACTCAGTGATGTGCTGTCTTCAGGTCTCACCCAGCATAGTCATGGTGGTAGTGGCCACAGGAGTGCTTGTGTCCCTCCACCCCCAGCTTTATGTGGCTCAAAAGAGAGGGAAAGAGTCTGTTTGTTTGGGAGAATGTAAGAGAAGATAACAAGAGGGTCTGTTTGGTAATCGAGAGAATTCAGCTGAATCTTGTGCAAAACCATCAAGGCAGTATCTCAAGACTATCACAGCTTAAAGAACCACAGTATTGCTGGGCTTGAGGTGTCCCCTAAAGCAGATATAGCTAAGAACACAACACCCAAGTTGTTTCAGATATCTGAAAGCCTTCCCAAGCAATGGTTACAAATATGCCCATACAGTGAATACTACAATAAATACCTAACTCTTCAATGCTTAGATGCCAAAGAACATCTACTAGCATCAACACCATCCAGAAAAACATGACCCCATCAAGTGAACTAAATGAGGCAATAACAACCAATCCTGGAGAAACAGAGATATGTGATTTTTCAGACAGAGAATTCAAAATAGCTATGTTGAGGAAACTCAAATAAATTCAAGAAAACACAAAAGAAATTCAGAATTCTATCAGTTAAATTTAACAAAGACATTGAAATAATTTAAAAGAATCAAGCAGAAATTCTGGGGCTGAAAAATATAATTGGTGTACTGAAGAATGTATCAGAGTCCTTTAATAGCAGAATTGATCAAGCAGAAGAAAGAATTAGTGATCTTGAAGATTGGTTAACTGAAAATACACAGTCAGAGGAGACAAAAGAAAAAAAAAAACCAATGAAGCACTTCTACAGGGTCTAGAAAATAGCCTCAAAAGGACAAATCTAAAAGCTATTGACCTTAAAGAGGAGATAGAAAATGAGATGGGATAGAAAGTTTATTCAAAGGGATAATAATAACAGAACTTCCCAAACCTAGAGAAAGTTATCAATATCCAAGTACAAGGAGGTTACAGAACACCAAGCAGATTTAAATCAAACAAGACTACCTCAAGACATTTAATAAGCAAACTCTCAAAGGTCAGGGATAATAAAAGGATTCTAAAAGCAGAAGGAGAAAAAAAATTAAATAACATGTAAAGAAGCTCCAATACATTTGGAAGCAGACTTTTCAGTGAAAACCTTACAATCTATGAGAAAGTGGCATGACATATTTAAAGTGCTGAAGAAAAAAAAAAAAACAACTTTTACCCTAGAATAGTAGATCAAGAAAAAATGTCCTTCAACCATGAAGGAAAAACAAAGAATTTTGCAGACAAATAAAAGCTGATGGATTTAATCAATACCAGACTTGTCCTACAAGAAATGCTAAAGGGGGTACTTCAATCAGAAAGAAAAGTATATTAATGAGGAATAATATCACTTAAAATACAAAACTTATTTGTAATAGTAAGTACACAGAAAACCATGGAATACCATAACACTGTAACTGTGGTGTGTAAGCTACTCTTATCCATAGTAGAAAGACTAAATGTTGAACCAATAAAAAAAAAGTACAATAAATTTTCAAGACATAGTACAACAGATATAAATAGAAACAACAAAAAGTTAAAAAGTGAGGGGACAAAGTTAAGGCAAGAAGTTTTTTTACTAGTTTTCTTTTTGCATGCTTATTTGCTTGTTTATGCAAACAGTGTTAAGTTGTTATCAGCTTAAAATAATGTGTTATAAGATAGTATTTATAAACCTCATGGTAAACTGAAACCAAATAACATACAATGGAGACACAGAAAATAAAAAGCAAAGAGCTAAATCATATCACCAGAGAAAATCATCTTCAGTAAAGGAAGACAGGAGGAGAGAAAGAAGGAGGAGGAGACCACAAAATGACCAGAAAACAAGTAACAAAATAGCTTGAGTAAGTCCTTACTTATCAATAATAAGATTGAAAGTAAATGGACAAAATTCTCCAATCAAAAGACAGGCTGGCTGAAAGGAGGAAAAAAGAAGACCCCTTGATTTGTTGCCCACAAGAAAGAGTTTACCTATAAAGAAACACATAAACTGAAAATAAAGGAATTGAAAAATATTCCATAACAATGGAAAACAGAAAGGAGTAAGAGTCACTATATTTATATCAGAGAACATAGACTTTAAGACGAAAAGTACAAGAGGAGACAAAGAAGTTCACTGTATAATGATAAAAGGGTCAATACAGAAAGAGGATATAACAATTTTAAATACATATGCACCAACACTGGAGCACTCAGATACACAATGCAAATATGATTGTGCTAAAGAGAGAGATAAGCCTCAGTACAATAATAAATGCATTGGACAGATCTTCTAGAGAGAGAATCAACAAAGAAAGCTCAGACTTAATCTGCACTATAGGCCAAATGGATCTAATGGATATTTACAGAACATTTCATCAAATAGCTGCAGAATACCCATTCTTTTCCTCAGCACATGGATTATTCTCAAGGATAGACCATATGTTATGTCACAAAACAAGTCTTAAAACCTTCAAAATATTGCAGTAATATCAAGCATCTTCTTTGATCACAACGGAAATTAACTAGAAATTAGTAACAAGAAGGAATTTTGAAAACTATACAAATACATGAAAATTAAACCATATGCTTCTAAATGACAAGTGGGTCAATGAAGAAATTCAAAAGGAAATTGAAAATTTCTTATTAAAACAAATGATAATGAAAATACAAAGAACTAAAACCTATGGGATACAGCCAAAACAGTACTAAGAGGAAAGTTTATAGCTGTAAGTGCCATATCATAAAAGAGGAAAAACTTCAAATAATCTAATAATGCATCTTAAGGAACTAGAAAAGTAAGATCAAACCAAACCCAAAATTACTAGAAGAAAAGAAATAATAAAGATAAGATCAGAAAAAAATAAAATTGAAATGAAAATAACAATACAAAGATCAATGAAAAAAGAAATTGGTGTTTTGAAAAGTTAAACAAAACTGAACAAACCTTTAGCCAGACTAAGAAAAAAAGAGAGAGGGTCCAAGTAAATTTTTGGGGTGATCCAACCCAACACCAGGACGTGGGTGTGACGAAGTCCAGCACAGTCAAAGGAATGAGAAAAGACAAGTTAAGAGAGAAAGTGGGACCAGGGGGCCAATGCTAGTATGGAGGCTGCGAAGTCCCCAAGCTCTGGGAGCCCACGCTATTTATTGGTGATCAAACAAAGAAACAGGTGGTAAGGATGTGTGGGTTGAAAGGAAGTGGTGTATCAAGTGAATGAGCTACAGCTGTGATGGTTTAGTATTTTCTTTGAAACATATGGCTACTTGAGATAATGGGAGTGCTAGAAGTAAGGAGGCAGCAAGTCTAGCAGACATGCAAGCCCTGCCTCAGTTTCTCTCCCAACACTCAGCTTTTCTCCCAACATGGCCCCCTTTTCTTTTTTGTAAAACCACCACAGCTATCATTGTTTGTTCTCGACCGTGGCTTTCTCTCCAGCAGCAGCTTCCGCATCTGCAGACCAAAAGGAGACAGTACAAGCACGTAATTATTATAACAAAATCTGCAAGTGTAGAGCTTCCAATGACCTAAATCCATTTAAGAGGACTGATTGTAGACAACCCATCGCCTGTCTTGTTCAAAATATCAGTTCCAGGGAGCAGGGCTAAGTGAGCCTGAGAGGCTTCAGAAACCTGCTCTTTTAGTTTCTCAATATCGAGGGTGAGATTTTCATCTCTGCCCTCCAGATGGCGTTTAAGAGTAACCTAACACAACTTTGAATCCAGAAGATCCTCTTTTTTTTTCTTAAATTAATTGATCAAGGCAATTGCAGGCTGTGCAGCCCTTAATTGCCGATTGGTGGTCCAGCTTCATTTTTCTTAGCCCTTATTTAAAATACAGTTGCTGTGGTTTGAATGCTTCTTACATATTTCCCCTTTCCCTTTTACAAGAGGACCCTCAGTTCTAAGGTTCCAGAAGGATGAAGGTCTGTCTTCTGTAACTTCTTCATGCTGAATGGGGGCAATGATATTCCTGCCTACCTATTAGGATCTCTTGTATTCAGGGTAGAGAGGAGTTCAGTCAGAAAGCATTGGTCCATGAAGCATCTATTGTACCTCTGAATCCCAGCAAAAGGTAAAACCCTGGCACTCCAGCAGTTTCTCAGCTTCCTGTGTGGTTTTTTTAATCTGTCCCCATGTTATGGGGGTTGATGTCAGTGTGACTTCAGTCAGTCCTCATTCCATCTTCGCATTCAGATTCAACTGGCTCATGGCTCATACTGGGGGAA
Organism: Homo sapiens; assembly: GCF_000001405.40. Lineage (NCBI taxonomy): Eukaryota > Metazoa > Chordata > Mammalia > Primates > Hominidae > Homo > Homo sapiens. The sequence goes on along the minus strand of NC_000004.12, from coordinate 43,471,591 downwards.
CTCGGTCCATGGTTGGGATCCATGGGTCCCTTCAGTCTCGCATTCCATGGTCATACACATCTTGAGGGCACCCATATGGTTTGTTCATCTCCTGCAAAAACACAAGCATACCCTCACCCCCGTGTTAGTAAATCTACTGAAACAGAAGCAAAGATTTTTGTTTTTTGTCTTTTTTTTCTTTTTTTTTTCTGTAGCTGGGAAGCATGCCATTGCTGAAGCATTTATAACTCAGCTTCTGCCTCTTTGGTTAATTACCGCAGGGTAAAACTTACCATTGATAACAAGAAGCAGGCTTTTTCTGATTAACAGAAGGCATAGAGAAAGCAAATTGAGGCTTATCCTTCTTGTACAACAGTATAGCAAAACAGCAATCCTTAAACCTTCAATGTGCACTGTACAGGTGGGTCCACTAGATGTTGTGGCCCATGATAGGTCTTCAGATGTTTGGTGGGCACCCACACAGGCACCTTATTGTCACCTGGAGAGACACAAGCAAATCCCCTTCCCCATATAATTATCTTTCCTTTTTCCCAGCTCTTTGTATGTGCATCCTTCCACCATACATCTTGTCTAGCCTTTTTGTTTTCCTTTTGTCCTGTCAGGTGTTGTTCAGCTGCAGTCATGGGTTGATATTTTTGTAAATTTTAAAAATTTAATGTTAATAAAGCTAAATGCAATTGCATATGCAGTGTCTTATATTCCTGATCCCCTCCCTTTTGCTTTCATATTTTAGTTTTTAAAGTACGATTAGCTCTTTCCACTATTGCCTGTCCTTGTGAGTTATATGGAATACCCGTAGTATGGGTAATATTCCATTGTTGAAAAAATCTAGCCATGGCTTTACTACAGTATCCTGGTCCATTATCAGTTTTGATTCTTTTCGGGGATTCCCATAACTGAAAAGCAAGATGAGAGATGTCTTTTAACATGAGCTGTGGCTTCCCCTGTTTGACATGTGGCCCAGATAAAAAGTGAATAGGTATCTACTTGAACATGAACAAAGGACAATTTTCCAAAAGCAGGAATATGTGTTACATCCATCTGCCAGATGGAATTTAGAGATAAACCTCTAGGGTTAACTTCTGTTCCTTGATGTGGCAGATGCAGGACTTGGCAGGCAGAACAGTGTTGTACCATTTCTTTAGCTTGTTTCTGTGATAGACCATGTCTTTTTCTAAGGTCTGTGGCATTAAGATGGGTTAAAGAATGGAATGTTTGTGCATCAGCAAAGACCGTAGACACCGATGCATCTGCCCTTTGATTAAGTTTAGTTAAAGGGCCAGGGAAGTTAGTATGTGCTCTCATATGAGTGATATAGAAAGGGGAATGCCTTTGTTGCACTGCTTGCTGTAAAGAATGAAATAAAAGATTAAGTAGTTCATCAGTCACACTTCAAATTAAGGCACATTCAATATTTTACATGGTTTGCACTACATAGGCTGAGTCGGAAACAATGTTTACTGGCTGTTTAAAAGTTTTTAACACTGTTATCACAGCCATAAGTTCAGCCCTTTGAGCAGAAGAAAAGTCAGTTTGAAAAACTTGCTGCTGAGGTCCTGCAAATGAGGTTTTTCCATTACTAGATAGCATTTCCTTTTCTACATTCCTTTCTTGTGTGTCCAAATTGGCCACAATTGAAACAAGAGCCTGAGAAATGGGGTATATTTTTTCCTACTTTCAATCCGGCCATAGCCTGAGCTAAAAGAGTAGCCTTATGTAAGTTACCTCCAATGCCATAGCAAGCCTTAATATATTCAGCTAATTCATTCTCTCACCCATTAAGAGGAGAGAGAGGAGGTGGCCATTCACTTAATTCAGCAGGTGGAGCCAACAGGCTAGTAAAACATACTTTTTTTAGTTTTCCTTTCTTTTCTTTAATCTCCTCTGGTAGTTGTTCCTCACACTCAGAGTCTGAAGTTAGTTTAGTTTTTTACACGCATCCTCCTTTTCCTCATCTGAATCTGCCTCATCATCTGTTTGAAATGGCTCAAGAACTGCCTTTATTAGCGCCCGCATTGACCAAATGGAAACTGGAATTTTTACTCCATCTTTATAAGACTTTTAAAAATCTCTTCCAATTCTCTCCCATTCATCCAACTCCATAGTCCCTTTTCCGAAAACCATGGGCAAAACTGCTTTACTGTACTAAAGAGTGATGACAAATTCTGAGTACTAACTTTCATTCCCCCTCTTCATAATATATGCCTTAAGAAATTCAAATAAGCAAATTGTTTGCTTTCACTTTGTCCCATTGTTACCCTGGTTCTTCTGAGTGCTCAGCTTTCCCACCGAGCTTCTTTCAGTCATCCTCTGGTGTCCTCTGACAATGCATCCTCTGCTTTCACACACTGTAGCGTTCCTTCACCAGAGTCTTCATTGCCCCATGTTGGGTGCCAGGAATGTTGGAGTGATCGGACCCAACACCAGGCTGTGGGGGCTACAAAGTCTGGCAGAGTCAAAGGAATGAGAAAAGACAAGTTAAGAGAGAAAGTGGAACCAGGGGGCCAATGCTAGTATGGAAGTTGCGATGATCCCAAGCTATGGGACCCCACGCTATTTACTGGTGATCAAATAAAGAAACAGTTGGTGAGGATGTGGGGGTTAAAAGGAAGTGGTGTATCAAGCAAATGAGCTACAGCTGTGACAGTTTACCATTTTCTTTGAAACATAAGGCTACTTGAGATAATGGGAGTGCTAGAAGTAAGAAGCCAGCAAGTCTAGCAGACATGCAAGCCCTGACTCAGCTTCTCTCCCAACACTCAGCTTTTCTTCCAACATAAATAAAATCAGAAATAGTAAAAGACATTACAACTGATACTGCAGAAATTCAAAAGATCATTAGTGGCTACTATGAGCAACTCTATGCAAATAAATTGGAAAATCTAGATGAAATGGACAAATTCCTAGACACATACAACCTACCAAGATTCAACCAGGAAGACATCCAAAATCTGAATAAACAATGAGTAAGAAGATCAAAAGTGTAATAGAAAGTCTCCCAGTAAAGAAAAGCTCAGGACCTGATGGTTTCACTACTGAATTCTATCAAACATTTTAAGGAGAATAATACCAATCTTACTAAAACTATTCTGAAAAATAGAGGAAGAAATACTTCCAAACTCATTCTGAGTCCAGTATTACCCTGATACCAAAACCAGATCTACATCAAAAAAAGAAAACTACAAGGTAGTATCTCTGATGAAGATTGATGCCAACATTCTCATCAAAATACCAGCAAACTGAATTCAACAATATATTAGAAAGATCATTTATCATGACCAAATAGGATTTATACCTGGGCTACAAAAATGTTTCTACATATGCAAATCAATCAATGTGATACATTATATCAACAGAATGAAAGGGAAAAGCCATGTAATCATTTCAATACATCCTGATAAAGCATTTGATAAAATTAAAAATTCCTTCATGATAAAAGCTCTCAAAAAAAAAAACTGAATACAGAAGAAATATATCTCTACATAAAAGTGATTCACAACAGATCCACAGCTAGTATCATACTTCATGGGAAAAAAACTGAAAGCTGTTCCTCTAAGATCTGGAACATGACAAGTATGCCCCCTGGCACCACTGTTATTCAACACAGTACTGGAAGTCCTAGGTAGCACAGGCAGACAAACAAAAGATATAACTGGAAAAAAACAAAGTCAAATTATCTTTGTTTGCAAATGATATGATGTGATATTTGAAAAAACATAAAGACTCCACAAGAAAACGATTAAAACTGATAAATTCAGTAATGTTGCAGGATACAAAATCAATGTACAAAAATGAGTAGCATTTCTGTCAACACTGAACAATGTGAAAAAGAAATAAAAAGGTAATCCAATTTATATTAATTGCACATACAATTAAATACATAGAAATCAACAACTAAAAAGTGAAAAATCTCTATAATGAAATCTGTAAAACACTGATGAATGAAATTGAAGAGGACACCAAAAAATGAAAAAAAAAAACTCCATTCATGGATTGGAAGTATCAATATTGTTAAAATGTCCATACTACCCAAAACAATCTACAGATTCAGAGCAATCCTTATCAAAATACTAATGACATTCTTTACAGAATCAGAAAAAAAAATCTAAAATTTATGTAGAACCACAAAAGACTCAGAATAACCAGTATCCTAAGCAAAAAGAACAAAACTGGAGGAATCACATTAACTGACTTCATATTACCCTACTGAGATATAGTAACCAAAACAGCATGGTACTGGCATAAAAACAGACACATAGGCCAATGAAACAGTAGCAAGCCTATAAACAAGTCCACACACCTAAAATGAATTCATTTTTGACAAAGATGCCAAGAACATTGGGGAAAGAACAGTCTCTTTAATAAATGGTTCTGGAAAAACTGGATATCCATATGCAGAAGAATGAAACTAGACCTCTATCTCTTATCATATACCAAAAAATGAAAATGGATTAAAGACTTAAATCTAAAACCTCAAACTATAAAACTACTACAAGAAAACATTAAGGAAACTCTCCAGGACATTGGTCTGGGCAAAATTTTCTTGAGAAATACCCCGCAAGCACAGACAGTCAAACCTAAAATGGACAAATGGGATTACATTAAGTTAAACAGCTTGTGCACAGCAAAGGACACAACCAACATAGAGACAGAATAGGAGAAAATACTTGCAAACTATCCTTCTAAGAAGGGACCAAGATATGTAAGGAGCTCAAACAACTCTAATGGAAAATATACAATAATCCTATCAAAAAAATGGCAAAGCTTTTGAATGGACATTTCTCAAAGAGGACATATACAGATGGCAAACAGGCATATGAAAAGGTGCTCAACATAATTCATTATCAGATAAATGTAAATCAAAACAATAATGAGATATTTCACCCCAGTTAAAATGACTTACATCTAACAGACAGGCAACAAGAAATGCTGGCAAAAATGTGGAGAAAAGGGGACCCTTGTACAATGTTGGAGGAGAAGTAAATTAGTACAACCACTATGGAGAACAGGTTGAAGCTTCCTCAAAAATCTAAAAATTGAGCTATCATATGATCCAGCAGTCCCACTGCTGGGTGTATACCCCCCCAAAAAAGAAAATCAGTACTTCAAAGAGATATCCACATTCCTATGCCTGTTGCAATACTGCTTACAATAGCTAAGATTTGGAAGCAATGTAAGTGTCCATCACCAGACAAAGGGTTAAAGAAAATATGGTACATGTACACAATGGAGTACTAATCAGCCATATAAAAGAATGAGATCCAGTGATTTGCAACAACATAAATGGAACTGGAGATCATTATGTTAAGTGAAATAAGCCATGCACAGAAAGGCAAGCATAACATATTCTCATTTATTTGTGGGTTCTAAAAATTAAAGCAATTGAATTCATGCACATAGAGAGTAGAATAATAGTTACCAGAGGCTGGTAAGTGTAGTGGGGGTCTAAGGGAGGAGGTAGTAATGGTTAATGGGTACAAAAAATAGAGAGAATGAATAAGACCTGCTATTTGACAGCATAACAGGGTAACTATAGTCACCTTAAATGTACATTTTAAAATAACCTAAAGCATGTAATTGGATTGTATGTAACTCAAAGAATAAATGTTTGAGGGAATATCTACCCCATTCTCTATGATGTGCTTATTTCACATTGCACACATGCATCAAAAGATCTCAGGTACCCCATAAATATAAACACCTACTGTGTATCCACAAGAAAAATAAATAAAGAGTGGAGTAAAAAAATCTTAAATGAATATGCAAAAATCAGTTGTATTTCTATACACTAAAAATAAAATATTTAAAAACAAATCAAGAAGCCAATCCCATATACAATAGCATCCAAAAAAGTAAAATACTTAGAAATAAATTTAACCAAGGAGATGAAAGATCTATACACTGTAAACTATATGATACTATACAAGAAATTGAAAAAGACTTAAATAGAAATATATCCCATGTTCATGAAATGGAAGAATTAATATTGTTAAAATTTTCATATTGTCCAAAGCAATTTATAGATTCAGTGTAATCTTTATTAAAATTCCAATAGCATTTTTCACAGAAAGAGAAAAATAATCCTGAACTTTGTAATAAACCACAAAAAATCCCAAATTATAAAAGGAATCATGTGAGAAATGAATAAAGCTGGTGATATCACACTCCCTCATTTTTTAATTATAGAGTAATCAAAATATATGGTGCTGGCATAAAGATAGACAATTTGCCTTGGCACAGTGGCTCACCCCTATAATCCCAGCACTTTGGGAGGCCAAGGCGGGTGGATCACGAGGTCAGGAGATCCAGACCATCCAGGCCAACATGCTGAAACCCCATCTCCACTAAAATACAAAAAATTAGCTGGGCATGGTTGCGAAGGTCTGTAGTCCCAGTTACTCAGGAGGCTGAGACATGGGAATCGCTTGAACCCGGGGAGGCAGAAGTTGCAGTGAGGCGGAGGTTGCAGTGAGCTGACAGAGCCAGCGACAGAGCCAGACTCTGTCTAAAAAAAAAAAAAAAAGACAACTAGAACAATGGAATAAATAGAAGGCCCAGAAATAAACCACATATATATGGTTAACTTTAACAAGTGCGGCAAGAATACACAGTAGGGTAAGGATTGTCTGTCTCTTCAATAAACAATCTCAGAAATCCTGGATATCCACATGCAAGAAAATGAAATTAGTCCTTAAGTTATACCATATAGAGAAATAAATTCAAGTTGGATTCAAGACTTAAATGTGAGATCTGTAAAACTATTAGAAGAAAACATAGGGAAAAATTTTTGACATGGATATTCACAATAATTTTTTGGACATGACACCAAAAGCACAGGCAACGAAAGCAAAAATAAATAAGTGGAACTACATTAAACTAAAAAGATTCTGCACAGTGAAGGAAACAATGAACAAAACAAACAGACAACACACACAATGGGAGAAAATATTTGCCAACCACGTATCTAATCAGTTTTTAATATCCAAAATATATAAAGAAATCATATTATTCAATAGAAAAAAAACAAGTTAAACATGACTAGAAGACCTGAATAGACATTTTTTTTCAAAGAGGACATATTGAAAAGTCACGAGGTATGTGAAAAGGGTCTCAACATCATTAATCATTAGGGAAATGCAAGTTAAAATCATACTGAGCTATCACTTCACATATGTTAGGATGATTGTTTTCCAAAAAATTAAGATATAACACCTGTTGGTGAAGATGTAGAGAAAAGGAAACTCTTGTGCACTCTTGGTGCAACTGTGTGTTTATATAGCCACTATGGAAAATAGTATAGATTTCCTCAAAATACTAATAATATAACTATAGTGTGATCCAGCAATCCCTTTTCGGAATATATATCCAAAAAAAAATGAAATTTGCATCTTTTTTTTTTTTTTTTTTTTTTTTTTTTTTTTTGAGACGGAGTCTCTCTTTGTCACCCAGGCTGGAGTGCAGTGGCCCGATCTCAGCTCACTGTAAGCTCCACCTCCCGGGTTCACACCATTCTCCTACCTCAGCCTCCCGAGTAGCTGGGACGACAGGCTCCCGCCACCACGCCAGGCTAATGTTTTGTATTTTTGTAGAGACGGGGTTTCACCGCGTTAGCCAGGATGGTCTCGATTTACTGACTTCGTGATCTGCCAACCTCGGCCTCCCAAAGTGCTGGGATTACAGGCCTGAGCCACCACGCCCAGCCGCCTGCATCTCAGAGATTTCTTAGCTCCTATGTTCATTGCATCTTTAGTCATAATAGCCACGATATGGAAACAACCCACATGTTCATTCATAGATAAATGGATAAAGAAAATGTGTTCACACACACGGGCACCCAAACACACACAATGCAATATCATTCAGCCACAAAAAAAGAAGAAAATCCTGCCATGGCAACAACGTGGGTATAGCTGGAAGACATTATGCTAAGTGAAATAAGCCAGACACAGAAAGATGAATACTGTATAACCTCACTTATATTTGGAAACTAAAAAAGTCAAACTCATAGAAACAGAGAGTAGAATGTGCTTGTTTAGGGATTGTGGGTTGGGGGATATGAAGAGATTGGTCAAAGAGTGTGAACTTTCAGTCATAAGATGAGTAAATTTGGCCAGGCACGGTGGTTCACGCTTGTAATCCCAACAGTTTAGGAGGATGAGGCAGGTGTATCACCTCGGTCAGGAGTTTGAGACCAGTCTGGCCAACATAGTGAAACCCTATCTCTACTAAAATACAAAAATTAGCTGGGTGTGGTATCGTGCGCCTGAAGCCCCAACTACTCGGGAGGCTGAGGCAGGAGAATCGCTTGAACTCGGTAGGCGTAGGTTGCCGGGAGCCAAGATCATGCCACTGCACTCCAGCATGGGCGACAGAGCAAGATTTCGCCACAAACAAACAAACAAAGATGGATAAGTTTCGGGAATCTGAAGTATATCATGGTGACTATAGTTAACAATACTACTGTATTGTTTTGTATTGTTTACTTGAAATTTACTTACTTAGATTTTACATGATCCCACCACACACACACACACACACACACACACAAAATAGTAACTATGGGTAGTGATGGATAGGTTAGTTACTTTGATTGTGTTAATCATTTCACAATGTATACATTATACATACATTAATATTATATCATGTAGACATTGAATATATACAATTTTTATTTGTTAATTATATCTCAATAAAGCTGGAAATAAACACTCTTCTGGTTTTGGACAGTGAAACCTCTGATCTGATTAAATAGAAACTCAACTATCTCTTTTTAAATCAGACTTTAATATTTCAATAAAAATCCTAATTAAAGAGGTTTTTATCTATTAAAATTAAATATTGATGTTCTTATAAAATAGAAGAAAAATAAATGATTATTCCTAAGCATATGAAACTATTCAGTAGCTAAAAAAAAGAGACCCTTTTGGCAGAATAAAACAAAAATGCTTTTTTTCCCTGAAGGACAAATTTGCTATAAGAAAGTTTAAAAAGTCAACTAACTATAATTTATATACTCAACAATATTCAAAAAGTCATTATATCTTTAAAGCAGAATAATCTACGGTTACGAATGTGGCTTTCAAACATGAAGGTTAATTACCAAAATATATAATGCAATCAACACAATAAAAAGCAGTTTAAATATTGTAAATAATTAATCAATTATCTTTTAAAAATACCTTAAGATACATTCCCTGAACTAAGGCAAAAAAAGTATTCAACAACAAAGGAGATCTACTTTTTAAAAAAGATTTAGAGGTTGGGAAATTTTCTGAATTTTAATAATAAATTGAAGCTCTTGAGCGTGCATGTGTATATGTGTATATGTGTGTAAAGATGTATAGAGGGACAGTTTGTTAGTAGGAAAACAAAAGCAAATTGCCATCAAACATTTCTGAACCAAAAAATGTAAGAAAATAATGCAATATGTGTCATTTTCTAAATACAAAGATTGTACACCTCATATTCTATGCCAAAGTAATATATTCTTTATGAGTTAGAAAAAAAATTAACACAAATTGTCTGATTCTTAAGAACTTAGAAAACATTTATAATTTTTGAAACTAGAATACTCAGAATTATTCCAGAGTATCAGTAAAGAGAAATATTTCTCTTTTCAGAATTCCAACTAAAGAAAATAATTATTTCCTAAAATTCTTCCTTTCATGGTGGGACATCTACTTTCCCAGGAGAGATATCCTATATCCCAGACGATTAAAAAAAGAGGGGATAGATAATTAAACATACATACACTACGGGCTATAGAAAAGCATTCCACTCACCAATGCCTATAAAACCCATATACTGAAGCTCTGCCTATTCTGTCTTGAGTTTTTTCTGGGCCCAGCAAACAAAGACATAGTATTTTCATGTTGAACCATATCCATGGAAAGTGAAGCTATCTTTAAAATCTCAGGTTTCTTAAGGATGACCCTAATTTCCATACAACCCAGTCCTGCTTCAGTATTCCAAAGCAAGATCTCATTCACTAATGTTTCAGATTGAGGGCTTGGATATGTTTGTCTCAAAGCCAATAGCCACTCTTGGTAATGTACCTCACCACAACTCTGATTTTTATCATATTGTCTTTTGTTCCTTAAGATAGTGGCCTGGCATAGCTATGGCAAGAATTATTGGAGACCCCAAAATATGAGGATAATAGGTTTTATCCTTGAAGTGAGGGGAAAGAACAAACTAAAATATTTCCATGAGTTTCAAAGAGATTGGAGAAATTGATCATTTTTGGTCGCATGCCAAAATGGATCTGATAAGACTGTGTAGTTCAAGGCAGAGTACTTTCCTATGCCCCAGTTTCATATGCTATAAGAGAAACAGGGAGTACTTATCACACAAGGACAAAAAGGCCTTGGCCCTCCTAACATCCAGCTGCATGAATCCAAAGGGCAAAAAAGGTAACAGACTTAACCTAAGTCTTGTTACAATACAACTGCAGGAAGCACAAAAGGCAGCCCAGAGCATGCATCTTAACTGTAGTACAAAGGATCCCTAACCATGTGGCCTATTTAAATTCAGTATGACTGAATATCAGGTCTCCAACAGATCCCAGTTTGCCTCAGATCAAATTTTATAAAATAATTTTGAACAAACTGTTTGAAGAATAAGGGTAAGTAAAGAGAACATTACATTTTCAGAACTTTGATGATATGACAAATTTAAAGGAAAATGATTTGATTGAATTACTTTATTATTAAACAAGAAATAATGAAAGTAAACATGCTAGGTTTATAAAGTGCTTTAGCATTGCAGAAACTAACATCTAAAAAAAAATGATAATTGTTATCATCATTAAAAAATATAATGATTTGAAATAATAATGAGTCTCCAGAAAGGAAATCTGAAAGAAGGAATTCATAAACATAAAGACACCAATAAGAAGAAAATTATTGAAAATATTAAAATATCAAAGAAATTTTTTATTTCAAAGTCACAAGAAAATAGATAAAGCTCAGAAAAATCCAACCAAGAAAAAAGGTAAGAAAGTCAAGGTAAAAATGAGAGTAAAGCATTCAGTGAAACCACAGATATGAAAATAAGTAAACATTAGAAGAGGTTGTGAAGCACAACTCTTTACACTATATCAAAGATCAGTAAAATGTAGACATTTCACTTGAAATACACAATTATTCATTTTAAATGAAGAAGAGGCAGAATGCAGACAAAACTCATAGAGTTAAGACTCCTCTTGATGAACAGATGAAATAAGGATGCAATTTGAAATATTTCAATATTTGTTTTACTCTGAAGTGCCTTGGTCCATCTTCCAATCCTTTTCTCAGGAGTGTTTCTTTTTTGTTTTTGATGTATCCAATCCCTGCTTGATTTCAGTTTTGAAAGTTTCTCAAAATGTCTAGTCCACCAATAATGCATTCTCATGCTTTCCTATTAGGTATTACCAAAAAAAAATTAACACAATTTCTATTTCCATAACATTAATGGCAGGAATTTAGTTAGAACTGTATTCAGCCTCTAATCTTATATCCATATTCCAAGTATTCTTTATTTATATATGTATATATAGATATATATTTTTAAGCTAAAATTACTTTGAGTTCAGGCTTTGATGACATAGCACACACACACACATACACAAATTACACAGCAATATATCAAGAGTATTAATTCTTAATCAATGCATTTAAAGTTACATGATGTTCCAGTGAGAAAAATATCAACCAGGATTTTTTTTGGAAGAATACAACTTCCTGAAGTAGAAACCTATAAAAATTATTTTAATATTATAAAATATGTGATAAAGATAGGAAAGGTTGTTCCTACCAGATATTAAAATGTATTATAAAGACATTCTAATTTAAATAATACAATATGTGTTTGGGAATTGGTATGCAACTGTGGAACAGAAGAGAAGGTAGAGTTTCAATCTCAAATATATATAATATTTTAATATTGAAAAGTGACATTTCAAAGACATTAAATATAGGAAGGGGTTATTTAGATGACACTAGGTTTAACAATTCTATTTTATTTTACCTTACACCTAAAAATGACCACTAATAGTATAAATTTAAGTATTAAACACGAGATGATTAACACTTCATAGCATCAGTAAATAAAACATGGCAATGGTCGTAACAAGTTCACTTCATCTATAGTTCTTACCTGAGCTCAAGTAAGCAATTAGACTAACAAGGTCACAATAGGCCTGGCTGGCACCAGTTTACTCAGAAGGAATTGAACCAGAAATGCAGTAAGGCAGCAGGGCCTTATCACATGTTTCTTTTTTTCACCATGAGTTTTACAGAATTCCATAGAGCAAACAAAGTTCTATTCTTGCTGAAAATCCGGTAACAGTTCAAGTAAAAGGAGATGAAATATACACCAGTGAGTGCAAGGTTCAGAAACCAGTTCCTGCTTTACTTTCCTGGGATACTCAATAGCTGAGCTTGCTTCCTTCTAGGTCTAGTCATGTATTGTTATAATTTGACCCTCAAAAGTTGAGGAGAAATCAAAAATTAAAATTATAAATCAATTATAAGAATTAAATAAAATATAAAATTAAATTAAAATAGTTGTAAAAATACTTTAAAAATGGTTTTATATTAAAACTGTTAGAAAATTCTTTAATTTTAAATTTTAGAGATGTATTACTTATTTTGTAGAGATATTTTTAAAGTGAAAATATCTGCTGATTAGAATTTTATTGGGTTAAGATTTAATGAAACACTGTGTGTGTGTGTGTGTGTGTGTGTGTGTGTGTATTGCTAGTGCTTTATAACATCACTATTATTTATTTATTTATATAGCGTTGTGGACACTATGAGCTGCCCAGCTGCCCCTTAGAGGAAAAATTTATTGTTCTAGCTTCTAGGAATGTTATTGGCAGGTGGCATTTAAATCTCAGCCCCTTCAGGGTTTACCTGAACTGCAGAGAACGAGCCTACCTGACCAAGTACAAGATCCTTTCCAAGTCAGCCCAGGAGGGATGACTGACAGAGCAGAGGCAGAAAGGACCAGCCATTCTGGAGCAGGATAAGTAAGTTTAGGATGCCATACCGACTTGTCACCTTGTGTGAAGCCCAGTGGGCTCCTTTCACAACCCATGCACCTAACTCTTTTGCAAGATAAGCGGTGCTACATGATACCAGCTGCCAGGTGGATACAAGCTCCTGATACGCCCAGGGAAAGAGAACAAAAGCCCTTGTTTATGATGAGGCTCCCCTCATTTCCAGCCTATCAGCATCAAAAGCCCAAGAGGCTCTTAGCTACAATTTCCTGCCTTGGAGAGCTAGAGACATCTCTGAGGTCCCACTTGAGCAGCTAGGTTCAGGATTTAGATTGTAATGACATTTTCGTCATTTTAATAGTAAAAAACCACACTCCTAGGTGGAGATTTTAGATGCTAATGATTCATAGAATGTGTGTTAGAGCATGTTAATGCTGAATGCATGCGCCAACCTCAGGTCCACCTTTGCATACTTGACCTCACTTTTATGTATTTTATAAATACATATGTACAGCTCCCACAAAAGGAATTCCCCTTAAGGCACTAAGGGCTTTCTCTCCCTTGAAGCATCCTACTCAGCCTCTCAGAGTCTACTTTTGCTTTGCAATAAATTCATTGGCCTACTCTTACTTTGGACTTGCTCTCAAATTCTTTTTGTTAGTGAAGTCAAAAACCTGAACTGACTCACCAACAACAATTCTGGCCCAATTTGAGATAATGCAACAAGACATTTTAACTCCAAAGC